>NC_000003.12:92523107-92838825 GCF_000001405.40 Homo sapiens | reverse complement strand
TCTTCTGTCCTGGTTTATATGAACAAATCCCGTTTCCAACGAAGGCCTCAAAGACGTTTAAATATCCACTTGCAGACTTCACAAACAGAGTGTTTCCAAACTGCTCTATGAAAAGAAAGGTTAAACTCTGTGAGTTGAACGCACACATCACAAAGTAGTTTCTGAGAATGATACTGTCTAGTTTTTATACGAAGATATTTCCTTTTGTACCATTGGCCTCATACTGCTAGAATTTTCCACTTGCAAATTCCACAAAAAGAGTGTTTCCAATCTGCTCTGTCTAAAGGAAGGTTCAACTCTGTGAGTTGAGTACACACACACACAAAGAAGCTACTGAGAATTCTTTTGTCAAGAAGTATAAGAAGAAATCCCGTTTCCAACCAAGGCCTCAAAGAGTTCCAAATATCCACTTGCACACTGCACAAACTAAGTCTTTCCATACTGCTCTATGCAAAGAAATGTTCAACTCTGTGAGTTTAATACACACATCACAAAGCAGTTTCTGAGAATGATACTGTCTAGTTTTTATACGAAGATATTTCCTTTTGTACCATTGGCCTCATACTGCTAGAATTTTCCACTTGCAAATTCCACAAAAAGAGTGTTTCCAATCCGCTCTGTCTAAAGGAAGGTTCAACTCTCTGATTTGAATACATACATCCCAAAAGAAGTTACTGAGAATTCTTCTGTCTAGCATTATGTGAAGAAATCCCGTTTCCAACGAAAGCCTCAAAGAGGTCCAAATATCCAGTTGCAGAATTTACAAACTGACTGTTTCCAAACTCATCTATGAAAAGAAAGGTTAAACTCTGTGAGTTGAATGCACATATCACAAAGTAGTTCCTGAGAATGATTCTGTCTAGTTTTTATACGAAGATATTTCCTTTTCCACCAATGGCCTCAAAGTGCTTGAAATCTCCCCTTGCAAATTCCACAGACAAGTGTTTCAAATCTGCACTGTCTAAAGGAAGGTTCAACCCTGTGAGTTGAATACACACACACAGGAAAAAATTGACTGAGAATTCTATTGTCTATCATTACACGAAGAAATCCCGTTTACCACGAAGGCCTCAAAGAGGTCCAAATATCCAGCTGCAGACATTACAACCTGAGTGTTTCCAAAGTGCTCTATGAAAAGAAGTGTTAAACACTGTGAGTTCAATGCACACATCCCAAAGCAGTTTCTGAGAATGATTCCGTCTATTTTTTCTACGAAGATATTTCCTTTTCTGCCGTTGGCCTCAAAGCGCTTGAAATCTCCACTTGCAAATTCCACAAAAAGAGAGTTTCAAATCTGCTCTGTCTAAAGGAAGGTTCAACTCTGTGAGTTGAATACACACCACAAAAAGAAGTTACTGAGAATTCTTCTGTCTAGCATTATATGAAAAATCCCGTTTCCAACGAAGGCCACAAAGAGGTCCAAATATCCACTTGCAGATTCTGCAAAAAGAGTGTTTCCAAACTGCTCTATGAAAAGAAACGTTAAACTCTGTGAGTTGAACGCAAACATCACAAAGTAGTTTCTGAGAATGACTCCGTCTAGTTTTTATACGAAGATATTTCCTTTTCTACCGTTGGCCTCAAAGCGCTTGAAGTCTCCCCCTGAAAATTCCACAAAAAGTGTTTCCAATCTGCTCCGCCTAAAGGAAGCTTCAGCTCTGTTAGTTGAATACCCACAACCCAAAGAAGTTACTGAGAATTCTTCTGTCTAGCATTATATGAAGAAATCCCGTTTCCAACGAAGGCCTCAAATACATCCAAATATCCAGTTGCTGACTTTACAAACTGAGTGTTTCCAAACTGCTCTATGAAAAGAAAGGTTAAACACTGTGAGTTGAACACACACGTACCAAAGTAGTTTCTGAGAATGATTCTGTCTAGTTTGCATACGAAGATATTTCCTTTTCTACCATTGGCCTCAAAGCTCTGAAATCTCCACTTGCAAATTCCACAAAAAGAGAGTTTCAACTCTGCTGTTTCTAAAGGAAAGTTCAACTCTGAGAGTTGAATACACACCAGAAAAAGCAGTTACTGAGAAGTCTTCTGTCTAGCATTATATGAAGAAATCCCATTTCCAACGAAGACTTCAAAGAGGTCCAAATATCCACTTGCAGATTCTGCAAAAAGAGTGTTTCGAAACAACTGTATGAAAAGAAAGGTTAAACACTGTGAGTTGAACGCACACATTGCAAAGCGGTTTCTGAGAATGATTCCGTCTAATTATTATACGAAGGTATTTCCTTTTCTATCATTGGCCTCAAAGCGCTTGATACCTCCACCTGAAAATTCCACAAAAAGAGTGTTTCCAATCTACTCTGTCTAAAGGAACGTTCAACTCTGTGAGTTGAATACACACACACAGAAAGAATTCACTGAGAATTCTTCTGTCTGGCATTACATGAAGAAATCCCGTTTCCAACGAAGGCCTCAAAGAGGTCCAAATATCCACTTGCAGATTCTGCAAAAAGAGTGTTTCAAAACCGCTCCATTAAAAGGAATGTTGAACTCTGTGAGTTGAATGCAAACATCACAACTCAGTTGCTGAGAATGCTTCTGACTAGATTTTATGGTAAGATATTTCCTTTTCTACCGTAGGCTTCAATGCCCTCTAAATACACCCTTGCAAATTCTACAAAGAGACTGTTTCATAACTGCTCTATAGGAAGAAAGGTTCAACTCTGTGAGTTGAATGCAGAGATCACAACGTGGTTTCTGCGAATGATTCTTTGTAGTTTTTACATGAAGATATTTCGTTGTCAACCGTAGGCTTCAAAGCACTCAAAGTATTCACTTGGAACTTTTACAAAAAGAGGGTTAGAAAACTGCTCTTTCCAAAGTAAGGTTCAACTCTGTGAGTTGAATGCACACATAACAATCAAGAAGTTTCTGAGAATTCTTCTGTCCTGGTTTATATGAACAAATCCCGTTTCCAACGAAGGCCTCAAAGACGTTTAAATATCCACTTGCAGACTTCACAAACAGAGGGTTTCCAAACTGCTCTATGAAAAGAAAGGTTAAACTCTGTGAGTTGAACGCACACATCACAAAGTAGCTTCTGAGAATGATAGTGTCTAGTTTTTATACGAAGATATTTCCTTTCTACCATTGGCGTCAAAGCGCTAGAATTCTCCACTTGCAAATTCCACAAAAAGAGTGTTTCCAATCTGCTCTGTCTAAAGGAAGGTTCAACTCTGTGAGTTGAATACAAACACACAAAGAAGCTACTGAGAATTCTTTTGTCAAGAATTATAAGAAGAAATCCCGTTTCCAACGAAGGCCTCAAAGAGTTCCAAATATCCACTTGCACACTGCACAAACTAAGTCTTTCCAAACTGCTCTATGCAAAGAAATGTTCAACTCTGTGAGTTTAATACACACATCACAAAGCAGTTTCTGAGAATGATACTGTCTAGTTTTTATACGAAGATATTTCCTTTTGTATCATTGGCCCCATACTGCTAGAATTTTCCACTTGCAAATTCCACAAAAAGAGTGTTTCCAATCCGCTCTGTCTAAAGGAAGGTTCAACTCTCTGATTTGAATACATACATCCCAAAAGAAGTTACTGAGAATTCTTCTGTCTAGCATTATGTGAAGAAATCCCGTTTCCAACGAAAGCCTCAAAGAGGTCCAAATATCCAGTTGCAGAATTTACAAACTGACTGTTTCCAAACTCATCTATGAAAAGAAAGGTTAAACTCTGTGAGTTGAATGCACATATCACAAAGTAGTTCCTGAGAATGATTCTGTCTAGTTTTTATACGAAGATATTTCCTTTTCCACCAATGGCCTCAAAGTGCTTGAAATCTCCCCTTGCAAATTCCACAGACAAGTGTTTCAAATCTGCACTGTCTAAAGGAAGGTTCAACCCTGTGAGTTGAATACACACACACAGAAAAAAATTCACTGAGAATTCTATTGTCTATCATTACACGAAGAAATCCCGTTTACTACGAAGGCCTCAAAGAGGTCCAAATATCCAGCTGCAGACATTACAAACTGAGTGTTTCCAAAGTGCTCTATGAAAAGAAGTGTTAAACACTGTGAGTTCAATGCACACATCCCAAAGCAGTTTCTGAGAATGATTCCGTCTATTTTTTCTACGAAGATATTTCCTTTTCTGCCGTTGGCCTCAAAGCGCTTGAAATCTCCACTTGCAAATTCCACAAAAAGAGAGTTTCAAATCTGCTCTGTCTAAAGGAAGGTTCAACTCTGTGAGTTGAATACACACCACAAAAAGAAGTTACTGAGAATTCTTCTGTCTAGCATTATATGAAAAATCCCGTTTCCAACGAAGGCCACAAAGAGGTCCAAATATCCACTTGCAGATTCTGCAAAAAGAGTGTTTCCAAACTGCTCTATGAAAAGAAACGTTAAACTCTGTGAGTTGAACGCAAACATCACAAAGTAGTTTCTGAGAATGACTCCGTCTAGTTTTTATACGAAGATATTTCCTTTCCTACCATTCACTTCAAAGCGCTTGAAGTCTCCCCCTGAAAATTCCACAAAAAGTGTTTCCAATCTGCTCCGCCTAAAGGAAGCTTCAACTCTGTGACTTGAATACCCACAACCCAAAGAAGTTACTGAGAATTCTTCTGTCTAGCATTATATGAAGAAATCCCGTTTCCAACGAAGGCCTCAAATACATCCAAATATCCAGTTGCTGACTTTACAAACTGAGTGTTTCCAAACTGCTCTATGAAAAGAAAGGTTAAACACTGTGAGTTGAACACACACGTACCAAAGTAGTTTCTGAGAATGATTCTGTCTAGTTTGCATACGAAGATATTTCCTTTTCTACCATTGGCCTCAAAGCTCTGAAATCTCCACTTGCAAATTCCACAAAAAGAGAGTTTCAAATCTGCTGTTTCTAAAGGAAAGTTCAACTCTGAGAGTTGAATACACACCAGAAAAAGCAGTTACTGAGAAGTCTTCTGTCTAGCATTATATGAAGAAATCCCATTTCCAACGAAGACTTCAAAGAGGTCCAAATATCCACTTGCAGATTCTGCAAAAAGAGTGTTTCGAAACAACTGTATGAAAAGAAAGGTTAAACACTGTGAGTTGAACGCACACATTGCAAAGCGGTTTCTGAGAATGATTCCGTCTAATTATTATACGAAGGTATTTCCTTTTCTATCATTGGCCTCAAAGCGCTTGATACCTCCACCTGAAAATTCCACAAAAAGAGTGTTTCCAATCTACTCTGTCTAAAGGAACGTTCAACTCTGTGAGTTGAATACACACACACAGAAAGAATTCACTGAGAATTCTTCTGTCTGGCATTACATGAAGAAATCCCGTTTCCAACGAAGGCCTCAAAGAGGTCCAAATATCCACTTGCAGATTCTGCAAAAAGAGTGTTTCAAAACCGCTCCATTAAAAGGAATGTTGAACTCTGTGAGTTGAATGCAAACATCACAACTCAGTTGCTGAGAATGCTTCTGACTAGATTTTATGGTAAGATATTTCCTTTTCTACCGTAGGCTTCAATGCCCTCTAAATACACCCTTGCAAATTCTACAAAGAGACTGTTTCATAACTGCTCTATAGGAAGAAAGGTTCAACTCTGTGAGTTGAATGCAGAGATCACAACGTGGTTTCTGCGAATGATTCTTTGTAGTTTTTACATGAAGATATTTCGTTGTCAACCGTAGGCTTCAAAGCACTCAAAGTATTCACTTGGAACTTTTACAAAAAGAGTGTTAGAAAACTGCTCTTTCCAAAGTAAGGTTCAACTCTGTGAGTTGAATGCACACATAACAATCAAGAAGTTTCTGAGAATTCTTCTGTCCTGGTTTATATGAAAAAATCCCGTTTCCAACGAAGGCCTCAAAGACGTTTAAATATCCACTTGCAGACTTCACAAACAGAGGGTTTACAAACTGCTCTATGAAAAGAAAGGTTAAACTCTGTGAGTTGAACGCACACATCACAAAGTAGCTTCTGAGAATGATACTGTCTAGTTTTTATACGAAGATATTTCCTTTCTACCATTGGCGTCAAAGCGCTAGAATTCTCCACTTGCAAATTCCACAAAAAGAGTGTTTCCAATCTGCTCTGTCTAAAGGAAGGTTCAACTCTGTGAGTTGAATACACACACACAAAGAAGCTACTGAGAATTCTTTTGTCAAGAAGTATAAGAAGAAATCCCGTTTCCAACGAAGGCCTCAAAGAGTTCCAAATATCCACTTGCACACTGCACAAACTAAGTCTTTCCAAACTGCCTCTATGCAAAGAAATGATCAACTCGTGTGAGTTTAATGACACACATCACAAAGCAGTTTCTGAGAATGATTCCCTCTAGTTTTTATACGAAGATAGCCTTTTCTACCATTGGCCTCAAGGCTCTTGAAATCTCCACCTGAAAATTCCGCAAAAAGCGTGTTTCCAATGCGCTCTGTCTAAAGGAAGGTTCAACTCTCCGAGTTGAATACATACATCCCAAAAGAAGTTACTGCGAATTCTTCTGTCTAGCATTATGTGAAGAAATCCCGTTTCCAACGAAAGCCTCAAAGTAGGTCCAAATATCCAGTTGCAGAATTTACAAACTGACTGTTTCCAAACTCATCTATGAAAAGAAAGGTTAAACCCTGTGAGTTGAATGCACATATCACAAAGTAGTTCCTGAGAATGATTCTGTCTAGTTTTTATACGAAGATATTTCCTTTTCCACCAATGGCCTCAAAGTGCTTGAAATCTCCCCTTGCAAATTCCACAGAAAAGTGTTTCAAATCTGCACTGTCTGAAGGAAGGTTCAACCCTGTGAGTTGAATAAACACACACAGAAAAAAATTCACTGAGAATTCTAT
This sequence comes from Homo sapiens, assembly GCF_000001405.40. Taxonomy (NCBI): domain Eukaryota; kingdom Metazoa; phylum Chordata; class Mammalia; order Primates; family Hominidae; genus Homo; species Homo sapiens. The sequence goes on along the minus strand of NC_000003.12, from coordinate 92,832,013 downwards.
TGTCTATCATTACACGAAGAAATCCCGTTTACTACGAAGGCCTCAAAGAGGTCCAAATATCCAGCTGCAGACATTACAAACTGAGTGTTTCCAAAGTGCTCTATGAAAAGAAGTGTTAAACACTGTGAGTTCAATGCACACATCCCAAAGCAGTTTCTGAGAATGATTCCGTCTATTTTTTCTACGAAGATATTTCCTTTTCTGCCGTTGGCCTCAAAGCGCTTGAAATCTCCACTTGCAAATTCCACAAAAAGAGAGTTTCAAATCTGCTCTGTCTAAAGGAAGGTTCAACTCTGTGAGTTGAATACACACCACAAAAAGAAGTTACTGAGAATTCTTCTGTCTAGCATTATATGAAAAATCCCATTTCCAACGAAGGCCACAAAGAGGTCCAAATATCCACTTGCAGATTCTGCAAAAAGAGTGTTTCCAAACTGCTCTATGAAAAGAAACGTTAAACTCTGTGAGTTGAACGCAAACATCACAAAGTAGTTTCTGAGAATGACTCCGTCTAGTTTTTATACGAAGATATTTCCTTTCCTACCATTCACTTCAAAGCGCTTGAAGTCTCCCCCTGAAAATTCCACAAAAAGTGTTTCCAATCTGCTCCGCCTAAAGGAAGCTTCAACTCTGTGACTTGAATACCCACAACCCAAAGAAGTTACTGAGAATTCTTCTGTCTAGCATTATATGAAGAAATCCCGTTTCCAACGAAGGCCTCAAATACATCCAAATATCCAGTTGCTGACTTTACAAACTGAGTGTTTCCAAACTGCTCTATGAAAAGAAAGGTTAAACACTGTGAGTTGAACACACACGTACCAAAGTAGTTTCTGAGAATGATTCTGTCTAGTTTGCATACGAAGATATTTCCTTTTCTACCAGTGGCCTCAAAGCTCTGAAATCTCCACTTGCAAATTCCACAAAAAGAGAGTTTCAAATCTGCTGTTTCTAAAGGAAAGTTCAACTCGGAGAGTTGAATACACACCAGAAAAAGCAGTTACTGAGAAGTCTTCTGTCTAGCATTATATGAAGAAATCCCATTTCCAACGAAGACTTCAAAGAGGTCCAAATATCCACTTGCAGATTCTGAAAAAGAGTGTTTCGAAACAACTGTATGAAAAGAAAGGTTAAACACTGTGAGTTGAACGCACACATTGCAAAGCAGTTTCTGAGAATGATTCCGTCTAATTATTATACGAAGGTATTTCCTTTTCTATCATTGGCCTCAAAGCGCTTGATACCTCCACCTGAAAATTCCACAAAAAGAGTGTTTCCAATCTACTCTGTCTAAAGGAACGTTCAACTCTGTGAGTTGAATACACACACACAGAAAGAATTCACTGAGAATTCTTCTGTCTGGCATTACATGAAGAAATCCCGTTTCCAACGAAGGCCTCAAAGAGGTCCAAATATCCACTTGCAGATTCTGCAAAAAGAGTGTTTCAAAACCGCTCCATTAAAAGGAATGTTGAACTCTGTGAGTTGAATGCAAACATCACAACTCAGTTGCTGAGAATGCTCTGACTAGATTTTATGGTAAGATATTTCCTTTTCTACCGTAGGCTTCAATGCCCTCTAAATACACCCTTGCAAATTCTACAAAGAGACTGTTTCATAACTGCTCTATAGGAAGAAAGGTTCAACTCTGTGAGTTGAATGCAGAGATCACAACGTGGTTTCTGCGAATGATTCTTTGTAGTTTTTACATGAAGATATTTCGTTGTCAACCGTAGGCTTCAAAGCACTCAAAGTATTCACTTGGAACTTTTACAAAAAGAGTGTTAGAAAACTGCTCTTTCCAAAGTAAGGTTCAACTCTGTGAGTTGAATGCACACATAACAATCAAGAAGTTTCTGAGAATTCTTCTGTCCTGGTTTATATGGAAAAATCCCGTTTCCAACGAAGGCCTCAAAGACGTTTAAATATCCACTTGCAGACTTCACAAACAGAGGGTTTCCAAACTGCTCTATGAAAAGAAAGGTTAAACTCTGTGAGTTGAACGCACACATCACAAAGTAGCTTCTGAGAATGATACTGTCTAGTTTTTATACGAAGATATTTCCTTTCTACCATTGGCGTCAAAGCGCTAGAATTCTCCACTTGCAAATTCCACAAAAAGAGTGTTTCCAATCTGCTCTGTCTAAAGGAAGGTTCAACTCTGTGAGTTGAATACACACACACAAAGAAGCTACTGAGAATTCTTTTGTCAAGAATTATAAGAAGAAATCCCGTTTCCAACCAAGGCCTCAAAGAGTTCCAAATATCCACTTGCACACTGCACAAACTAAGTCTTTCCATACTGCTCTATGCAAAGAAATGTTCAAATCTGTGAGTTTAATACACACATCACAAAGCAGTTTCTGAGAATGATACTGTCTAGTTTTTATACGAAGATATTTCCTTTTGTACCATTGGCCTCATACTGCTAGAATTTTCCACTTGCAAATTCCACAAAAAGAGTGTTTCCAATCCGCTCTGTCTAAAGGAAGGTTCAACTCTGTGAGTTGAATACACACCACAAAAAGAAGTTACTGAGAATTCTTCTGTCTAGCATTATATGAAAAATCCCGTTTCCAACGAAGGCCACAAAGAGGTCCAAATATCCACTTGCAGATTCTGCAAAAAGAGTGTTTCCAAACTGCTCTATGAAAAGAAACTTTAAACTCTGTGAGTTGAACGCAAACATCACAAAGTAGTTTCTGAGAATGACTCCGTCTAGTTTTTATACGAAGATATTTCCTTTTCTACCATTCACTTCAAAGCGCTTGAAGTCTCCCCCTGAAAATTCCACAAAAAGTGTTTCCAATCTGCTCCGCCTAAAGGAAGCTTCAACTCTGTGAGTTGAATACCCACAACCCAAAGAAGTTACTGAGAATTCTTCTGTCTAGCATTATATGAAGAAATCCCGGTTTCCAACGAAGGCCTCAAATACATCCAAATATCCAGTTGCTGACTTTACAAACTGAGTGTTTCCAAACTGCTCTATGAAAAGAAAGGTTAAACACTCTGAGTTGAACACACACGTACCAAAGTAGTTTCTGAGAATGATTCTGTCTAGTTTGCATACGAAGATATTTCCTTTTCTACCATTGGCCTCAAAGCTCTGAAATCTCCACTTGCAAATTCCACAAAAAGAGAGTTTCAAATCTGCTGTTTCTAAAGGAAAGTTCAACTCTGAGAGTTGAATACACACCAGAAAAAGCAGTTACTGAGAAGTCTTCTGTCTAGCATTATATGAAGAAATCCCATTTCCAACGAAGACTTCAAAGAGGTCCAAATATCCACTTGCAGATTCTGCAAAAAGAGTGTTTCGAAACAACTGTATGAAAAGAAAGGTTAAACACTGTGAGTTGAACGCACACATTGCAAAGCAGTTTCTGAGAATGATTCCGTCTAATTATTATACGAAGGTATTTCCTTTTCTATCATTGGCCTCAAAGCGCTTGATGCCTCCACCTGAAAATTCCACAAAAAGAGTGTTTCCAATCTACTCTGTCTAAAGGAACGTTCAACTCCGTGAGTTGAATACACACACACAGAAAGAATTCACTGAGAATTCTTCTGTCTGGCATTACATGAAGAAATCCCGTTTCCAACGAAGGCCTCAAAGAGGTCCAAATATCCACTTGCAGATTCTGCAAAAAGAGTGTTTCAAAACCGCTCCATTTAAAGGAATGTTGAACTCTGTGAGTTGAATGCAAACATCACAACTCAGTTTCTGAGAATGCTTCTGACTAGATTTTATGGTAAGATATTTCCTTTTCTACCGTAGGCTTCAATGCCCTGTAAATACACCCTTGCAAATTCAACAAAGAGACTGTTTCATAACTGCTCTATAGGAGGAAAGGTTCAACTCTGTGAGTTGAATGCAGAGATCACAACGTGGTTTCTGCGAATGATTCTTTGTAGTTTTTACATGAAGGATATTTCGTTGTCAACCGTAGGCTTCAAAGCACTCAAAGTATTCACTTGGAACTTTTACAAAAAGAGTGTTAGAAAACTGCTCTTTCCAAAGTAAGGTTCAACTCTGTGAGTTGAATGCACACATAACAATCAAGAAGTTTCTGAGAATTCTTCTGTCCTGGTTTATATGAAAAAATCCCGTTTCCAACGAAGGCCTCAAAGACGTTTAAATATCCACTTGCAGACTTCACAAACAGAGGGTTTCCAAACCGCTCTATGAAAAGAAAGGTTAAACTCTGTGAGTTGAACGCACACATCACAAAGTAGCTTCTGAGAATGATACTGTCTAGTTTTTATACGAAGATATTTCCTTTCTACCATTGGCGTCAAAGCGCTAGAATTCTCCACTTGCAAATTCCACAAAAAGAGTGTTTCCAATCTGCTCTGTCTAAAGGAAGGTTCAACTCTGTGAGTTGAATACACACACACAAAGAAGCTACTGAGAATTCTTTTGTCAAGAATTATAAGAAGAAATCCCGTTTCCAACGAAGGGCCTCAAAGAGTTCCAAATATCCACTTGCACACTGCACAAACTAAGTCTTTCCAAACTGCTCTATGCAAAGAAATGTTCAACTCTGTGAGTTTAATACACACATCACAAAGCAGTTTCTGAGAATGATACTGTCTAGTTTTTATACGAAGATATTTCCTTTTGTACCATTGGCCTCATACTGCTAGAATTTTCCACTTGCAAATTCCACAAAAAGAGTGTTTCCAATCCGCTCTGTCTAAAGGAAGGTTCAACTCTCTGATTTGAATACATACATCCCAAAAGAAGTTACTGAGAATTCTTCTGTCTAGCATTATGTGAAGAAATCCCGTTTCCAACGAAAGCCTCAAAGAGGTCCAAATATCCAGTTGCAGAATTTACAAACTGACTGTTTCCAAACTCATCTATGAAAAGAAAGGTTAAACTCTGTGAGTTGAATGCACATATCACAAAGTAGTTCCTGAGAATGATTCTGTCTAGTTTTTATACGAAGATATTTCCTTTTCCACCAATGGCCTCAAAGTGCTTGAAATCTCCCCTTGCAAATTCCACAGACAAGTGTTTCAAATCTGCACTGTCTAAAGGAAGGTTCAACCCTGTGAGTTGAATACACACACACAGAGAAAAATTCACTGAGAATTCTATTGTCTATCATTACACGAAGAAATCCCGTTTACTACGAAGGCCTCAAAGAGGTCCAAATATCCAGCTGCAGACATTACAAACTGAGTGTTTCCAAAGTGCTCTATGAAAAGAAGTGTTAAACACTGTGAGTTCAATGCACACATCCCAAAGCAGTTTCTGAGAATGATTCCGTCTATTTTTTCTACGAAGATATTTCCTTTTCTGCCGTTGGCCTCAAAGCGCTTGAAATCTCCACTTGCAAATTCCACAAAAAGAGAGTTTCAAATCTGCTCTGTCTAAAGGAAGGTTCAACTCTGTGAGTTGAATACACACCACAAAAAGAAGTTACTGAGAATTCTTCTGTCTAGCATTATATGAAAAATCCCGTTTCCAACGAAGGCCACAAAGAGGTCCAAATATCCACTTGCAGATTCTGCAAAAAGAGTGTTTCCAAACTGCTCTATGAAAAGAAACGTTAAACTCTGTGAGTTGAACGCAAACATCACAAAGTAGTTTCTGAGAATGACTCCGTCTAGTTTTTATACGAAGATATTTCCTTTCCTACCATTCACTTCAAAGCGCTTGAAGTCTCCCCCTGAAAATTCCACAAAAAGTGTTTCCAATCTGCTCCGCCTAAAGGAAGCTTCAACTCTGTGACTTGAATACCCACAACCCAAAGAAGTTACTGAGAATTCTTCTGTCTAGCATTATATGAAGAAATCCCGTTTCCAACGAAGGCCTCAAATACATCCAAATATCCAGTTGCTGACTTTACAAACTGAGTGTTTCCAAACTGCTCTATGAAAAGAAAGGTTAAACACTGTGAGTTGAACACACACGTACCAAAGTAGTTTCTGAGAATGATTCTGTCTAGTTTGCATACGAAGATATTTCCTTTTCTACCATTGGCCTCAAAGCTCTGAAATCTCCACTTGCAAATTCCACAAAAAGAGAGTTTCAAATCTGCTGTTTCTAAAGGAAAGTTCAACTCTGAGAGTTGAATACACACCAGAAAAAGCAGTTACTGAGAAGTCTTCTGTCTAGCATTATATGAAGAAATCCCATTTCCAACGAAGACTTCAAACAGGTCCAAATATCCACTTGCAGATTCTGCAAAAAGAGTGTTTCGAAACAACTGTATGAAAAGAAAGGTTAAACACTGTGAGTTGAACGCACACATTGCAAAGCAGTTTCTGAGAATGATTCCGTCTAATTATTATACGAAGGTATTTCCTTTTCTATCATTGGCCTCAAAGCGCTTGATACCTCCACCAGAAAATTCCACAAAAAGAGTGTTTCCAATCTACTCTGTCTAAAGGAACGTTCAACTCTGTGAGTTGAATACACACACACAGAAAGAATTCACTGAGAATTCTTCTGTCTGGCATTACATGAAGAAATCCCGTTTCCAACGAAGGCCTCAAAGAGGTCCAAATATCCACTTGCAGATTCTGCAAAAAGAGTGTTTCAAAACCGCTCCATTAAAAGGAATGTTGAACTCTGTGAGTTGAATGCAAACATCACAACTCAGTTGCTGAGAATGCTTCTGACTAGATTTTATGGTAAGATATTTCCTTTTCTACCGTAGGCTTCAATGCCCTGTAAATACACCCTTGCAAATTCAACAAAGAGACTGCTTCATAACTGCTCTATAGGAGGAAAGGTTCAACTCTGTGAGTTGAATGCAGAGATCACAACGTGGTTTCTGCGAATGATTCTTTGTAGTTTTTACATGAAGATATTTCGTTGTCAACCGTAGGCTTCAAAGCACTCAAAGTATTCACTTGGAACTTTTACAAAAAGAGTGTTAGAAAACTGCTCTTTCCAAAGTAAGGTTCAACTCTGTGAGTTGAATGCACACATAACAATCAAGACGTTTCTGAGAATTCTTCTGTCCTGGTTTATATGAAAAAATCCCGTTTCCAACGAAGGCCTCAAAGACGTTTAAATATTCACTTGCAGACATCACAAACAGAGTGTTTCCAAACTGCTCTATGAAAAGAAAGGTTAAACTCTGTGAGTTGAACGCACACATCACAAAGTAGTTTCTGAGAATGATACTGTCTAGTTTTTATACGAAGATATTTCCTTTCTACCATTGGCGTCAAAGCGCTAGAATTCTCCACTTGCAAATTCCACAAAAAGAGTGTTTCCAATCTGCTCTGTCTAAAGGAAGGTTCAACTCTGTGAGTTGAATACACACACACAAAGAAGCTACTGAGAATTCTTTTGTCAAGAATTATAAGAAGAAATCCCGTTTCCAACGAAGGCCTCAAAGAGTTCCAAATATCCACTTGCACACTGCACAAACTAAGTCTTTCCAAACTGCTCTATGCAAAGCAAATGTTCAACTCTGTGAGTTTAATACACACATCACAAAGCAGTTTCTGAGAATGATACTGTCTAGTTTTTATACGAAGATATTTCCTTTTGTACCATTGGCCTCATACTGCTAGAATTTTCCACTTGCAAATTCCACAAAAAGAGTGTTTCCAATCCGCTCTGTCTAAAGGAAGGTTCAACTCTCTGATTTGAATACATACATCCCAAAAGAAGTTACTGAGAATTCTTCTGTCTAGCATTATGTGAAGAAATCCCGTTTCCAACGAAAGCCTCAAAGAGGTCCAAATATCCAGTTGCAGAATTTACAAACTGACTGTTTCCAAACTCATCTATGAAAAGAAAGGTTAAACTCTGTGAGTTGAATGCACATATCACAAAGTAGTTCCTGAGAATGATTCTGTCTAGTTTTTATACGAAGATATTTCCTTTTCCACCAATGGCCTCAAAGTGCTTGAAATCTCCCCTTGCAAATTCCACAGACAAGTGTCTCAAATCTGCACTGTCTAAAGGAAGGTTCAACCCTGTGAGTTGAATACACACACACAGAAAAAAATTCACTGAGAATTCTATTGTCTATCATTACACGAAGAAATCCCGTTTACTACGAAGGCCTCAAAGAGGTCCAAATATCCAGCTGCAGACATTACAACCTGAGTGTTTCCAAAGTGCTCTATGAAAAGAAGTGTTAAACACTGTGAGTTCAATGCACACATCCCAAAGCAGTTTCTGAGAATGATTCCGTCTATTTTTTCTACGAAGATATTTCCTTTTCTGCCGTTGGCCTCAAAGCGCTTGAAATCTCCACTTGCAAATTCCACAAAAAGAGAGTTTCAAATCTGCTCTGTCTAAAGGAAGGTTCAACTCTGTGAGTTGAATACACACCACAAAAAGAAGTTACTGAGAATTCTTCTGTCTAGCATTATATGAAAAATCCCGTTTCCAACGAAGGCCACAAAGAGGTCCAAATATCCACTTGCAGATTCTGCAAACAGAGTGTTTCCAAACTGCTCTATGAAAAGAAACGTTAAACTCTGTGAGTTGAACGCAAACATCACAAAGTAGTTTCTGAGAATGACTCCGTCTAGTTTTTATACGAAGATATTTCCTTTCCTACCATTCACTTCAAAGCGCTTGAAGTCTCCCCCTGAAAATTCCACAAAAAGTGTTTCCAATCTGCTCCGCCTAAAGGAAGCTTCAACTCTGTGACTTGAATACCCACAACCCAAAGAAGTTACTGAGAATTCTTCTGTCTAGCATTATATGAAGAAATCCCGTTTCCAACGAAGGCCTCAAATACATCCAAATATCCAGTTGCTGACTTTACAAACTGAGTGTTTCCAAACTGCTCTATGAAAAGAAAGGTTAAACACTGTGAGTTGAACACACACGTACCAAAGTAGTTTCTGAGAATGATTCTGTCTAGTTTGCATACGAAGATATTTCCTTTTCTACCATTGGCCTCAAAGCTCTGAAATCTCCACTTGCAAATTCCACAAAAAGAGAGTTTCAAATCTGCTGTTTCTAAAGGAAAGTTCAACTCTGAGAGTAGAATACACACCAGAAAAAGCAGTTACTGAGAAGTCTTCTGTCTAGCATTATATGAAGAAATCCCATTTCCAACGAAGACTTCAAAGAGGTCCAAATATCCACTTGCAGATTCTGCAAAAAGAGTGTTTCGAAACAACTGTATGAAAAGAAAGGTTAAACACTGTGAGTTGAACGCACACATTGCAAAGCAGTTTCTGAGAATGATTCCGTCTAATTATTATACGAAGGTATTTCCTTTTCTATCATTGGCCTCAAAGCGCTTGATACCTCCAACTGAAAATTCCACAAAAAGAGTGTTTCCAATCTACTCTGTCTAAAGGAACGTTCAACTCTGTGAGTTGAATACACACACACAGAAAGAATTCACTGAGAATTCTTCTGTCTGGCATTACATGAAGAAATCCCGTTTCCAACGAAGGCCTCAAAGAGGTCCAAATATCCACTTGCAGATTCTGCAAAAAGAGTGTTTCAAAACCGCTCCATTAAAAGGAATGTTGAACTCTGTGAGTTGAATGCAAACATCACAACTCAGTTGCTGAGAATGCTTCTGACTAGATTTTATGGTAAGATATTTCCTTTTCTACCGTAGGCTTCAATGCCCTCTAAATACACCCTTGCAAATTCTACAAAGAGACTGTTTCATAACTGCTCTATAGGAAGAAAGGTTGAACTCTGTGAGTTGAATGCAGAGATCACAACGTGGTTTCTGCGAATGATTCTTTGTAGTTTTTACATGAAGATATTTCGTTGTCAACCGTAGGCTTCAAAGCACTCAAAGTATTCACTTGGAACTTTTACAAAAAGAGTGTTAGAAAACTGCTCTTTCCAAAGTAAGGTTCAACTCTGTGAGTTGAATGCACACATAACAATCAAGAAGTTTCTGAGAATTCTTCTGTCCTGGTTTATATGAAGAAATCCCGTTTCCAACGAAGGCCTCAAAGACGTTTATATATCCACTTGCAGACTTCACAAACAGAAGGTTTCCAAACTGCTCTATGAAAAGAAAGGTTAAACTCTGTGAGTTGAACGCACACATCACAAAGTAGCTTCTGAGAATGATACTGTCTAGTTTTTATACGAAGATATTTCCTTTCTACCATTGGCGTCAAAGCGCTAGAATTCTCCACTTGCAAATTCCACAAAAAGAGTGTTTCCAATCTGCTCTGTCTAAAGGAAGGTTCAACTCTGTGAGTTGAATACACACACACAAAGAAGCTACTGAGAATTCTTTTGTCAAGAAATTATAAGAAGAAATCCGGTTTCCAACGAAGGCCTCAAAGAGTTCCAAATATCCACTTGCACACTGCACAAACTAAGTCTTTCCAAACTGCTCTATGCAAAGAAATGTTCAACTCTGTGAGTTTAATACACACATCACAAAGCAGTTTCTGAGAATGATACTGTCTAGTTTTTATACGAAGATATTTCCTTTTGTACCATTGGCCTCATACTGCTAGAATTTTCCACTTGCAAATTCCACAAAAAGAGTGTTTCCAATCCGCTCTGTCTAAAGGAAGGTTCAACTCTCTGATTTGAATACATACATCCCAAAAGAAGTTACTGAGAATTCTTCTGTCTAGCATTATGTGAAGAAATCCCGTTTCCAACGAAAGCCTCAAAGAGGTCCAAATATCCAGTTGCAGAATTTACAAACTGACTGTTTCCAAACTCATCTATGAAAAGAAAGGTTAAACTCTGTGAGTTGAATGCACATATCACAAAGTAGTTCCTGAGAATGATTCTGTCTAGTTTTCATACGAAGATATTTCCTTTTCCACCAATGGCCTCAAAGTGCTTGAAATCTCCCCTTGCAAATTCCACAGACAAGTGTCTCAAATCTGCACTGTCTAAAGGAAGGTTCAACCCTGTGAGTTGAATACACACACACAGAAAAAAATTCACTGAGAATTCTATTGTCTATCATTACACGAAGAAATCCCGTTTACCACGAAGGCCTCAAAGAGGTCCAAATATCCAGCTGCAGACATTACAACCTGAGTGTTTCCAAAGTGCTCTATGAAAAGAAGTGTTAAACACTGTGAGTTCAATGCACACATCCCAAAGCAGTTTCTGAGAATGATTCCGTCTATTTTTTCTACGAAGATATTTCCTTTTCTGCCGTTGGCCTCAAAGCGCTTGAAATCTCCACTTGCAAATTCCACAAAAAGAGAGTTTCAAATCTGCTCTGTCTAAAGGAAGGTTCAACTCTGTGAGTTGAATACACACCACAAAAAGAAGTTACTGAGAATTCTTCTGTCTAGCATTATATGAAAAATCCCGTTTCCAACGAAGGCCACAAAGAGGTCCAAATATCCACTTGCAGATTCTGCAAAAAGAGTGTTTCCAAACTGCTCTATGAAAAGAAACGTTAAACTCTGTGAGTTGAACGCAAACATCACAAAGTAGTTTCTGAGAATGACTCCGTCTAGTTTTTATACGAAGATATTTCCTTTCCTACCATTCACTTCAAAGCGCTTGAAGTCTCCCCCTGAAAATTCCACAAAAAGTGTTTCCAATCTGCTCCGCCTAAAGGAAGCTTCAACTCTGTGACTTGAATACCCACAACCCAAAGAAGTTACTGAGAATTCTGCTGCCTACCATTATATGAAGAAATCCCGTTTCCAACGAAGGCCTCAAATACATCCAAATATCCAGTTGCTGACTTTACAAACTGAGTGTTTCCAAACTGCTCTATGAAAAGAAAGGTTAAACACTGTGAGTTGAACACACACCTACCAAAGTAGTTTCTGAGAATGATTCTGTCTAGTTTGCATACGAAGATATTTCCTTTTCTACCATTGGCCTCAAAGCTCTGAAATCTCCACTTGCAAATTCCACAAAAAGAGAGTTTCAAATCTGCTGTTTCTAAAGGAAAGTTCAACTCTGAGAGTTGAATACACACCAGAAAAAGCAGTTACTGAGAAGTCTTCTGTCTAGCATTATATGAAGAAATCCCATTTCCAAAGAAGACTTCAAACAGGTCCAAATATCCACTTGCAGATTCTGCAAAAAGAGTGTTTCGAAACAACTGTATGAAAAGAAAGGTTAAACACTGTGAGTTGAACGCACCCATTGCAAAGCATTTTCTGACAATCATTCCGTCTAATTATTATACGAAGGTATTTCCTTTTCTATCATGGGCCTCAAAGCGCTTGATACCTCCACCTGAAAATTCCACAAAAAGAGTGTTTCCAATCTACTCTGTCTAAAGGAACGTTCAACTCTGTGAGTTGAATACACACACACAGAAAGAATTCACTGAGAATTCTTCTGTCTGGCATTACATGAAGAAATCCCGTTTCCAACGAAGGCCTCAAAGAGGTCCAAATATCCACTTGCAGATTCTGCAAAAAGAGTGTTTCAAAACCGCTCTATTAAAAGGAATGTTGAACTCTGTGAGTTGAATGCAAACATCACAACTCAGTTTCTGAGAATGCTTCTGACTAGATTTTATGGTAAGATATTTCCTTTTCTACCGTAGGCTTCAATGCCCTCTAAATACACCCTTGCAAATTCTACAAAGAGACTGTTTAATAACTGCTCTATAGGAAGAAAGGTTGAACTCTGTGAGTTGAATGCAGAGATCACAACGTGGTTTCTGCGAATGATTCTTTGTAGTTTTTACATGAAGATATTTCGTTGTCTACCGTAGGCTTCAAAGCACTCAAAGTATTCACTTGGAACTTTTACAAAAAGAGTGTTAGAAAACTGCTCTTTCCAAAGTAAGGTTCAACTCTGTGAGTTGAATGCACACATAACAAACAAGAAGTTTCTGAGAATCCTTCTGTCCTGGTTTATATGAAAAAATCCCGTTTCCAACGAAGGCCTCAAAGACGTTTAAATATCCACTTGCAGACTTCACAAACAGAGTGTTTCCAAACTGCTCTATGAAAAGAAAGGTTAAACTCTGTGAGTTGAACGCACACATCACAAAGTAGCTTCTGAGAATGATACTGTCTAGTTTTTATACGAAGATATTTCCTTTCTACCATTGGCGTCAAAGCGCTAGAATTCTCCACTTGCAAATTCCACAAAAAGAGGGTTTCCAATCTGCTCTGTCTAAAGGAAGGTTCAACTCTGTGAGTTGAATACACACACACAAAGAAGCTACTGAGAATTCTTTTGTCAAGAATTATAAGAAGAAATCCCGTTTCCAACGAAGGCCTCAAAGAGTTCCAAATATCCACTTGCACACTGCACAAACTAAGTCTTTCCAAACTGCTCTATGCAAAGAAATGTTCAACTCTGTGAGTTTAATACACACATCACAAAGCAGTTTCTGAGAATGATTACTGTCTAGTTTTTATACGAAGAATATTTCCTTTTGTACCATTGGCCTCATACTGCTAGAATTTTCCACTTGCAAATTCCACAAAAAGAGTGTTTCCAATCCGCTCTGTCTAAAGGAAGGTTCAACTCTCTGATTTGAATACATACATCCCAAAAGAAGTTACTGAGAATTCTTCTGTCTAGCATTATGTGAAGAAATCCCGTTTCCAACGAAAGCCTCAAAGAGGTCCAAATATCCAGTTGCAGAATTTACAAACTGACTGTTTCCAAACTCATCTATGAAAAGAAAGGTTAAACTCTGTGAGTTGAATGCACATATCACAAAGTAGTTCCTGAGAATGATTCTGTCTAGTTTTTATACGAAGATATTTCCTTTTCCACCAATGGCCTCAAAGTGCTTGAAATCTCCCCTTGCAAATTCCACAGACAAGTGTTTCAAATCTGCACTGTCTAAAGGAAGGTTCAACCCTGTGAGTTGAATACACACACACAGAAAAAAATTCACTGAGAATTCTATTGTCTATCATTACACGAAGAAATCCCGTTTACTACGAAGGCCTCAAAGAGGTCCAAATATCCAGCTGCAGACATTACAAACTGAGTGTTTCCAAAGTGCTCTATGAAAAGAAGTGTTAAACACTGTGAGTTCAATGCACACATCCCAAAGCAGTTTCTGAGAATGATGCCGTCTATTTTTTCTACGAAGATATTTCCTTTTCTGCCGTTGGCCTCAAAGCGCTTGAAATCTCCACTTGCAAATTCCACAAAAAGAGAGTTTCAAATCTGCTCTGTCTAAAGGAAGGTTCAACTCTGTGAGTTGAATACACACCACAAAAAGAAGTTACTGAGAATTGCTTCTGTCTAGCATTATATGAAAAATCCCGTTTCCAACGAAGGCCACAAAGAGGTCCAAATATCCACTTGCAGATTCTGCAAAAAGAGTGTTTCCAAACTGCTCTATGAAAAGAAACGTTAAACTCTGTGAGTTGAACGCAAACATCACAAAGTAGTTTCTGAGAATGACTCCGTCTAGTTTTTATACGAAGATATTTCCTTTCCTACCATTCACTTCAAAGCGCTTGAAGTCTCCCCCTGAAAATTCCACAAAAAGTGTTTCCAATCTGCTCCGCCTAAAGGAAGCTTCAACTCTGTGAGTTGAATACCCACAACCCAAAGAAGTTACTGAGAATTCTTCTGTCTAGCACTATATGAAGAAATCCCGTTTCCAACGAAGGCCTCAAATACATCCAAATATCCAGTTGCTGACTTTACAAACTGAGTGTTTCCAAACTGCTCTATGAAAAGAAAGGTTAAACACTGTGAGTTGAACACACACGTACCAAAGTAGTTTCTGAGAATGATTCTGTCTAGTTTGCATACGAAGATATTTCCTTTTCTACCATTGGCCTCAAAGCTCTGAAATCTCCACTTGCAAATTCCACAAAAAGAGAGTTTCAAATCTGCTGTTTCTAAAGGAAAGTTCAACTCGGAGAGTTGAATACACACCAGAAAAAGCAGTTACTGAGAAGTCTTCTGTCTAGCATTATATGAAGAAATCCCATTTCCAACGAAGACTTCAAAGAGGTCCAAATATCCACTTGCAGATTCTGCAAAAAGAGTGTTTCGAAACAACTGTATGAAAAGAAAGGTTAAACACTGTGAGTTGAACGCACACATTGCAAAGCAGTTTCTGAGAATGATTCCGTCTAATTATTATACGAAGGTATTTCCTTTTCTATCATTGGCCTCAAAGCGCTTGATACCTCCACATGAAAATTCCACAAAAAGAGTGTTTCCAATCTACTCTGTCTAAAGGAACGTTCAACTCTGTGAGTTGAATACACACACACAGAAAGAATTCACTGAGAATTCTTCTGTCTGGCATTACATGAAGAAATCCCGTTTTCAACGAAGGCCTCAAAGAGGTCCAAATATCCACTTGCAGATTCTGCAAAAAGAGTGTTTCAAAACCGCTCCATGAAAAGGAATGTTGAACTCTGTGAGTTGAATGCAAACATCACAACTCAGTTTCTGAGAATGCTTCTGACTAGTATTTTATAGTAAGATATTTCCTTTTCTACCGTAGGCTTCAATGCCCTCTAAATACACCCTTGCAATTTCTACAAAGAGACTGTTTCATAACTGCTCTATAGGAAGAAAGGTTCAACTCTGTGTGTTGAATGCAGAGATCACAACGTGGTTTCTGCGAATGATTCTTTGTAGTTTTTACATGAAGATATTTCGTTGTCAACCGTAGGCTTCAAAGCACTCAAAGTATTCACTTGGAACTTTTACAAAAAGAGTGTTAGAAAACTGCTCTTTCCAAAGTAAGGTTCAACTCTGTGAGTTGAATGCACACATAACAATCAAGAAGTTTCTGAGAATTCTTCTGTCCTGGTTTATATGAACAAATCCCGTTTCCAACGAAGGCCTCAAAGACGTTTAAATATCCACTTGCAGACTTCACAAACAGAGTGTTTCCAAACTGCTCTATGAAAAGAAATGTTAAACTCTGTGAGTTGAACGCACACATCACAAACTAGTTTCTGAGAATGATACTGTCTAGTTTTTATACGAAGATATTTCCTTTCTACCATTGGCGTCAAAGCGCTAGAATTCTCCACTTGCAAATTCCACAAAAAGAGTGTTTCCAATCTGCTCTGTCTCAAGGAAGGTTCAACTCTGTGAGTTGAATACACACACACAAAGAAGCTACTGAGAATTCTTTTGTCAAGAATTATAAGAAGAAATCCCGTTTCCAACGAAGGCCTCAAAGAGTTCCAAATATCCACTTGCACACTGCACAAACTAAGTCTTTCCAAACTGCTCTATGCAAAGAAATGTTCAACTCTGTGAGTTTAATACACACATCACGAAGCAGTTTCTGAGAATGATACTGTCTAGTTTTTATACGAAGATATTTCCTTTTGTACCATTGGCCTCATACTGCTAGAATTTTCCACTTGCAAATTCCACAAAAAGAGTGTTTCCAATCCGCTCTGTCTAAAGGAAGGTTCAACTCTCTGATTTGAATACATACATCCCAAAAGAAGTTACTGAGAATTCTTCTGTCTAGCATTATGTGAAGAAATCCCGTTTCCAACAAAAGCCTCAAAGAGGCCCAAATATCCAGTTGCAGCATTTACAAACTGACTGTTTCCAACTCATCTATGAAAAGAAATGTTAAACTCTGTGAGTTGAATGCGCATATCACAAAGTAGTTCCTGAGAATGATTCTGTATAGTTTTCATACGAAGATATTTCCTTTTCCACCAATGGCCTCAAAGTGCTTGAAATCTCCCCTTGCAAATTCCACAGACAAGTGTTTCAAATCTGCACTGTCTAAAGGATGGTTCAACCCTGTGAGTTGAATACACACACACAGAAAAAAATTCACTGAGAATTCTATTGTCTATCATTACACGAAGAAATCCCGTTTACTACGAAGGCCTCAAAGAGGTCCAAATATCCAGCTGCAGACATTACAAACTGAGTGTTTCCAAAGTGCTCTATGAAAAGAAGTGTTAAACACTGTGAGTTCAATGCACACATCCCAAAGCAGTTTCTGAGAATGATTCCGTCTATTTTTTCTACGAAGATATTTCCTTTTCTGCCGTTGGCCTCAAAGCGCTTGAAATCTCCACTTGCAAATTCCACAAAAAGAGAGTTTCAAATCTGCTCTGTCTAAAGGAAGGTTCAACTCTGTGAGTTGAATACACACCACAAAAAGAAGTTACTGAGAATTCTTCTGTCTAGCATTATATGAAAAATCCCGTTTCCAACGAAGGCCACAAAGAGGTCCAAATATCCACTTGCAGATTCTGCAAACAGAGTGTTTCCAAACTGCTCTATGAAAAGAAACGTTAAACTCTGTGAGTTGAACGCAAACATCACAAAGTAGTTTCTGAGAATGACTCCGTCTAGTTTTTATACGAAGATATTTCCTTTCCTACCATTCACTTCAAAGCGCTTGAAGTCTCCCCCTGAAAATTCCACAAAAAGTGTTTCCAATCTGCTCCGCCTAAAGGAAGCTTCAACTCTGTGACTTGAATACCCACAACCCAAAGAAGTTACTGAGAATTCTGCTGCCTAGCATTATATGAAGAAATCCCGTTTCCAACGAAGGCCTCAAATACATCCAAATATCCAGTTGCTGACTTTACAAACTGAGTGTTTCCAAACTGCTCTATGAAAAGAAAGGTTAAACACTGTGAGTTGAACACACACGTACCAAAGTAGTTTCTGAGAATGATTCTGTCTAGTTTGCATACGAAGATATTTCCTTTTCTACCATTGGCCTCAAAGCTCTGAAATCTCCACTTGCAAATTCCACAAAAAGAGAGTTTCAAATCTGCTGTTTCTAAAGGAAAGTTCAACTCTGAGAATTGAATACACACCAGAAAAAGCAGTTACTGAGAAGTCTTCTGTCTAGCATTATATGAAGAAATCCCATTTCCAACGAAGACTTCAAAGAGGTCCAAATATCCACTTGCAGATTCTGCAAAAAGAGTGTTTCGAAACAACTGTATGAAAAGAAAGGTTAAACACTGTGAGTTGAACGCACACATTGCAAAGCAGTTTCTGAGAATGATTCCGTCTAATTATTATACGAAGGTATTTCCTTTTCTATCATTGGCCTCAAAGCGCTTGATACCTCCACCTGAAAATTCCACAAAAACAGTGTTTCCAATCTACTCTGTCTAAAGGAACGTTCAACTCTGTGAGTTGAATACACACACACAGAAAGAATTCACTGAGAATTCTTCTGTCTGGCATTACATGAAGAAATCCCGTTTCCAACGAAGGCCTCAAAGAGGTCCAAATATCCACTTGCAGATTCTGCAAAAAGAGTGTTTCAAAACCGCTCCATTAAAAGGAATGTTGAACTCTGTGAGTTGAATGCAAACATCACAACTCAGTTTCTGAGAATGCTTCTGACTAGATTTTATGGTAAGATATTTCCTTTTCTACCGTAGGCTTCAATGCCCTCTAAATACACCCTTGCAAATTCTACAAAGAGACTGTTTCATAACTGCTCTATAGGAAGAAAGGTTCAACACTGTGAGTTGAATGCAGAGATCACAACGTGGTTTCTGCGAATGATTCTTTGTAGTTTTTACATGAAGATATTTCGTTGTCAACCGTAGGCTTCAAAGCACTCAAAGTATTCACTTGGAACTTTTACAAAAAGAGTGTTAGAAAACTGCTCTTTCCAAAGTAAGGTTCAACTCTGTGAGTTGAATGCACACATAACAATCAAGAAGTTTCTGAGAATTCTTCTGTCCTGGTTTATATGAAAAAATCCCGTTTCCAACGAAGGCCTCAAAGACGTTTAAATATCCACTTGCAGACTTCACAAACAGAGGGTTTCCAAACTGCTCTATGAAAAGAAAGGTTAAACTCTGTGAGTTTAATACACACATCACAAAGCAGTTTCTGAGAATGATACTGTCTAGTTTTTATATGAACATATTTCCTTTCTACCATTGGCGTCAAAGCGCTAGAATTCTCCACTTGCAAATTCCACAAAAAGAGTGTTTCCAATCTGCTCTGTCTAAAGGAAGGTTCAACTCTGTGAGTTGAATACACACACACAAAGAAGCTACTGAGAATTCTTTTGTCAAGAATTATAAGAAGAAATCCCGTTTCCAACGAAGGCCTCAAAGAGTTCCAAATATCCACTTGCACACTGCACAAACTAAGTCTTTCCAAACTGCTCTATGCAAAGAAATGTTCAACTCTGTGAGTTTAATACACACATCACAAAGCAGTTTCTGAGAATGATACTGTCTAGTTTTTATACGAAGATATTTCCTTTTGTACCATTGGCCTCATACTGCTAGAATTTTCCACTTGCAAATTCCACAAAAAGAGTGTTTCCAATCCGCTCTGTCTAAAGGAAGGTTCAACTCTCTGATTTGAATACATACATCCCAAAAGAAGTTACTGAGAATTCTTCTGTCTAGCATTATGTGAAGAAATCCCGTTTCCAACGAAAGCCTCAAAGAGGTCCAAATATCCAGTTGCAGAATTTACAAACTGACTGTTTCCAAACTCATCTATGAAAAGAAAGGTTAAACTCTGGGAGTTGAATGCACATATCACAAAGTAGTTCCTGACAATGACTCTGTCTAGTTTTTATACGAAGATATTCCCTTTTCCACCAATGGCCACAAAGTGCTTGAAATCTCCCCTTGCAAATTCCACAGAAAAGTGTTTCAAATCTGTACTGTCTGAAGGAAGGTTCAACCCTGTGAGTTGAATACACACACACAGAAAAAAATTCACTGAGAATTCTATTGTCTATCATTACCCGAAGAAATCCCGTTTACTACGAAGGCCTCAAAGAGGTCCAAATATCCAGCTGCAGACATTCCAAACTGACTGTTTCCAAAGTGCTCTATGAAAAGAAGTGTTAAACACTGTGAGTTCAATGCACACATCCCAAAGCAGTTTCTGAGAATGATTCCGTCTATTTTTTCTACGAAGATATTTCCTTTTCTACCGTTGGCCCCAAAGCGCTTGAAATCTCCACTTGCAAATTCCACAAAAAGAGAGTTTCAAATCTGCTCTGTCTAAAGGAAGGTTCAACTCTGTGAGTTGAATACACACCACAAAAAGAAGTTACTGAGAATTCTTCTGTCTAGCATTATATGAAAAATCCCGTTTCCAACGAAGGCCACAAAGAGGTCCAAATATCCACTTGCAGATTCTGCAAAAAGAGTGTCTCCAAACTGCTCTATGAAAAGAAACGTTAAACTCTGTGAGTTGAACGCAAACATCACAAAGTAGTTTCTGAGAATGACTCCGTCTAGTTTTTATACGAAGATATTTCCTTTTCTACCGTTGGCCTCAAAGCGCTTGAAGTCTCCCCCTGAAAATTCCACAAAAAGTGTTTCCAATCTGCTCCGCCTAAAGGAAGCTTCAACTCTGTGAGTTGAATACCCACAACACAAAGAAGTTACTGAGAATTCTTCTGTCTAGCATTATATGAAGAAATCCCGTTTCCAACGAAGGCCTCAAATACATCCAAATATCCAGTGGCTGACTTTACAAACTGAGTGTTTCCAAACTGCTCTATGAAAGGAAAGGTTAAACACTGTGAGTTGAACACACACGTACCAAAGTAGTTTCTGAGAATGATTATGTCCAGTTTGCATACGAAGATATTTCCTTTTCTACCATTGGCCTCAAAGCTTTGAAATCTCCACTTGCAAATTCCACAAAAAGAGAGTTTCAAATCTGCTGTTTCTAAAGGAAAGTTCAACTCTGAGAGTTCAATACACACCAGAAAAAGCAGTTACTGAGAAGTCTTCTGTCTAGCATTATATGAAGAAATCCCATTTCCAACGAAGACTTCAAAGAGGTCCAAATATCCACTTGCAGATTCTGCAAAAAGAGTGTTTCGAAACAACTGTATGAAAAGAAAGGTTAAACACTGTGAGTTGAACGCACACATTGCAAAGCAGTTTCTGAGAATGATTCCGTCTAATTATTATACGAAGGTATTTCCTTTTCTATCATTGGCCTCAAAGCGCTTGATACCTCCACCTGAAAATTCCACAAAAAGAGTGTTTCCAATCTACTCTGTCTAAAGGAACGTTCAA
Source organism: Homo sapiens (assembly GCF_000001405.40). Lineage (NCBI taxonomy): Eukaryota > Metazoa > Chordata > Mammalia > Primates > Hominidae > Homo > Homo sapiens. The sequence continues at coordinate 92,811,145 of NC_000003.12, read as the reverse complement.
CTCTGTGAGTTGAATACACACACACAGAAAGAATTCACTGAGAATTACTCTGTCTGGCATTACATGAAGAAATCCCGTTTCCAACGAAGGCCTCAAAGAGGTCCAAATATCCACTTGCAGATTCTGCAAAAAGAGTGTTTCAAAACCGCTCCCATTAAAAGGAATGTTGAACTCTGTGAGTTGAATGCAAACATCACAACTCAGTTGCTGAGAATGCTTCTGACTAGATTTTATGGTAAGATATTTCCTTTTCTACCGTAGGCTTCAATGCCCTCTAAATACACCCTTGCAAATTCTACAAAGAGACTGTTTCATAACTGCTCTATAGGAAGAAAGGTTCAACTCTGTGAGTTGAATGCAGAGATCACAACGTGGTTTCTGCGAACGATTCTTTGTAGTTTTTACATGAAGATATTTCGTTGTCAACCGTAGGCTTCAAAGCACTCAAAGTATTCACTTGGAACTTTTACAAAAAGAGTGTTAGAAAACTGCTCTTTCCAAAGTAAGGTTCAACTCTGTGAGTTGAATGCACACATAACAATCAAGAAGTTTCTGAGAATTCTTCTGTCCTGGTTTATATGAAAAAATCCCGTTTCCAACGAAGGCCTCAAAGACGTTTAAATATCCACTTGCAGACTTCACAAACAGAGGGTTTCCAAACTGCTCTATGAAAAGAAAGGTTAAACTCTGTGAGTTGAATGCACACATCACAAAGTAGCTTCTGAGAATGATACTGTCTAGTTTTTATACGAAGATATTTCCTTTCTACCATTGGCGTCAAAGCGCTAGAATTCTCCACTTGCAAATTCCACAAAAAGAGTGTTTCCAATCTGCTCTGTCTAAAGGAAGGTTCAACTCTGTGAGTTGAATACACACACACAAAGAAGCTACTGAGAATTCTTTTGTCAAGAATTATAAGAAGAAATCCCGTTTCCAACGAAGGGCCTCAAAGAGTTCCAAATATCCACTTGCACACTGCACAAACTAAGTCTTTCCAAACTGCTCTATGCAAAGAAATGTTCAACTCTGTGAGTTTAATACACACATCACAAAGCAGTTTCTGAGAATGATTCCGTCTAGTTTTTATACGAAGATAGCCGTTTCTACCATTGGCCTCAAGGCTCTTGAAATCTCCACCTGAAAATTCTGCAAAAAGCGTGTTTCCAATCTGCTCTGTCTAAAGGAAGGTTCAACTCTCTGAGTTAAATACACACAACCCATAAGAAGTTACTGAGAATTCTTCTGTCTAGCATTATGTGAAGAAATCCCGTTTCCAACGAAAGCCTCAAAGAGGTCCAAATATCCAGTTGCAGAATTTACAAACTGACTGTTTCCAAACTCATCTATGAAAAGAAAGGTTAAACTGTGAGTTGAATGCACATATCACAAAGTAGTTCCTGAGAATGATTCTGTCTAGTTTTTATACGAAGATATTTCCTTTTCCACCACTGCCCTCAAGGTGCTTGAAATTTCCCCTTGGAAATTCCACAAAAGTGTTTCAAATCTGCACTGTCTAAAGGAAGGTTCAAACCTGTGAGTTGAATACACACACACAAAAAAAATTCACTGAGAATGCTACTGTATATCATTACGCGAAGAAATCCCGTTTACTGCGAAGGCCTCAAAGAGGTCCAAATATCCAGTTGCAAACCTTACAAACTGAGTGTTTCCAAAGTGCTCTATGAAAAGAAGTGTTAAACACTGTGAGTTGAACGCACACATCCCAAAGTAGTTTCTGAGAATGATACTGTCTAGTTTTTATACGAAGATATTTCCTTTTGTACCATTGGCCTCATACTGCTAGAATTTTCCACTTGCAAATTCCACAAAAAGAGTGTTTCCAATCTGCTCTGTCTAAAGGAAGGTTCAACTCTGTGAGTTGAGTACACACACACAAAGAAGCTACTGAGAATTCTTTTGTCAAGAATTATAAGAAGAAATCCCGTTTCCAACCAAGGCCTCAAAGAGTTCCAAATATCCACTTGCACACTGCACAAACTAAGTCTTTCCATACTGCTCTATGCAAAGAAATGTTCAAATCTGTGAGTTTAATACACACATCACAAAGCAGTTTCTGAGAATGATACTGTCTAGTTTTTATACGAAGATATTTCCTTTTGTACCATTGGCCTCATACTGCTAGAATTTTCCACTTGCAAATTCCACAAAAAGAGTGTTTCCAATCCGCTCTGTCTAAAGGAAGGTTCAACTCTCTGATTTGAATACATACATCCCAAAAGAAGTTACTGAGAATTCTTCTGTCTAGCATTATGTGAAGAAATCCCGTTTCCAACGAAAGCCTCAAAGCAGGTCCAAATATCCAGTTGCAGAATTTACAAACTGACTGTTTCCAAACTCATCTATGAAAAGAAAGGTTAAACTCTGTGAGTTGAATGCACATATCACAAAGTAGTTCCTGAGAATGATTCTGTCTAGTTTTCATACGAAGATATTTCCTTTTCCACCAATGGCCTCAAAGTGCTTGAAATCTCCCCTTGCAAATTCCACAGACAAGTGTTTCAAATCTGCACTGTCTAAAGGAAGGTTCAACCCTGTGAGTTGAATACACACACACAGAAAAAAATTCACTGAGAATTCTATTGTCTATCATTACACGAAGAAATCCCGTTTACTACGAAGGCCTCAAAGAGGTCCAAATATCCAGCTGCAGACATTACAAACTGAGTGTTTCCAAAGTGCTCTATGAAAAGAAGTGTTAAACACTGTGAGTTCAATGCACACATCCCAAAGCAGTTTCTGAGAATGATTCCGTCTATTTTTTCTACGAAGATATTTCCTTTTCTACCGTTGGCCTCAAAGCGCTTGAAATCTCCACTTGCAAATTCCACAAAAAGAGAGTTTCAAATCTGCTCTGTCTAAAGGAAGGTTCAACTCTGTGAGTTGAATACACACCACAAAAGAAGTTACTGAGAATTCTTCTGTCTAGCATTATATGAAAAATCCCGTTTCCAACGAAGGCCACAAAGAGGTCCAAATATCCACTTGCAGATTCTGCAAAAAGAGTGTTTCCAAACTGCTCTATGAAAAGAAACGTTAAATTCTGTGAGTTGAACGCAAACATCACAAAGTAGTTTCTGAGAATGACTCCGTCTAGTTTTTATACGAAGATATTTCCTTTTCTACCATTCACTTCAAAGCGCTTGAAGTCTCCCCCTGAAAATTCCACAAAAAGTGTTTCCAATCTGCTCCGCCTAAAGGAAGCTTCAACTCTGTGAGTTGAATACCCACAACCCAAAGAAGTTACTGAGAATTCTTCTGTCTAGCATTATATGAAGAAATCCCGTTTCCAACGAAGGCCTCAAATACATCCAAATATCCAGTTGCTGACTTTACAAACTGAGTGTTTCCAAACTGCTCTATGAAAAGAAAGGTTAAACACTGTGAGTTGAACACACACGTACCAAAGTAGTTTCTGAGAATGATTCTGTCTAGTTTGCATACGAAGATATTTCCTTTTCTACCATTGGCCTCAAAGCTTTGAAATCTCCACTTGCAAATTCCACAAAAAGAGAGTTTCAACTCTGCTGTTTCTAAAGGAAAGTTCAACTCTGAGAGTTGAATACACACCAGAAAAAGCAGTTACTGAGAAGTCTTCTGTCTAGCATTATATGAAGAAATCCCATTTCCAACGAAGACTTCAAAGAGGTCCAAATATCCACTTGCAGATTCTGCAAAAAGAGTGTTTCGAAACAACTGTATGAAAAGAAAGGTTAAACACTGTGAGTTGAACGCACACATTGCAAAGCAGTTTCTGAGAATGATTCCGTCTAATTATTATACGAAGGTATTTCCTTTTCTATCATTGGCCTCAAAGCGCTTGATACCTCCACCTGAAAATTCCACAAAAAGAGTGTTTCCAATCTACTCTGTCTAAAGGAACGTTCAACTCTGTGAGTTGAATACACACACACAGAAAGAATTCACTGAGAATTCTTCTGTCTGGCATTACATGAAGAAATCCCGTTTCCAACGAAGACCTCAAAGAGGTCCAAATATCCACTTGCAGATTCTGCAAAAAGAGTGTTTCAAAACCGCTCCATTAAAAGGAATGTTGAACTCTGTGAGTTGAATGGAAACATCACAACTCAGTTGCTGAGAATGCTTCTGACTAGATTTTATGGTAAGATATTTCCTTTTCTGCCGTAGGCTTCAATACCCTCTAAATACACCCTTGCAAATTCTACAAAGAGACTGTTTCATAACTGCTCTATAGGAAGAAAGGTTCAACTCTGTGAGTTGAATGCAGAGATCACAACGTGGTTTCTGCGAATGATTCTTTGTAGTTTTTACATGAAGATATTTCGTTGTCAACCGTAGGCTTCAAAGCACTCAAAGTATTCACTTGGAACTTTTACAAAAAGTATTAGAAAACTGCTCTTTCCAAAGTAAGGTTCAACTCTGTGAGTTGAATGCACACATAACAATCAAGAAGTTTCTGAGAATTCTTCTGTCCTGGTTTATATGAAAAAATCCCGTTTCCAACGAAGGCCTCAAAGACGTTTAAATATCCACTTGCAGACTTCACAAACAGAGGGTTTCCAAACTGCTCTATGAAAAGAAAGGTTAAACTCTGTGAGTTGAACGCACACATCACAAAGTAGCTTCTGAGAATGATACTGTCTAGTTTTTATACGAAGATATTTCCTTTCTACCATTGGTGTCAAAGCGCTAGAATTCTCCACTTGCAAATTCCACAAAAAGAGTGTTTCCAATCTGCTCTGTCTAAAGGAAGGTTCAACTCTGTGAGTTGAATACACACACACAAAGAAGCTACTGAGAATTCTTTTGTCAAGAATTATAAGAAGAAATCCCGTTTCCAACGAAGGCCTCAAAGAGTTCCAAATATCCACTTGCACACTGCACAAACTAAGTCTTTCCAAACTGCTCTATGCAAAGAAATGTTCAACTCTGTGAGTTTAATACACACATCACAAAGCAGTTTCTGAGAATGATACTGTCTAGTTTTTATACGAAGATATTTCCTTTTGTACCATTGGCCTCATACTGCTAGAATTTTCCACTTGCAAATTCCACAAAAAGAGAGTTTCCAATCCGCTCTGTCTAAAGGAAGGTTCAACTCTCTGATTTGAATACATACATCCCAAAAGAAGTTACTGAGAATTCTTCTGTCTAGCATTATGTGAAGAAATCCCGTTTCCAACGAAAGCCTCAAAGAGGTCCAAATATCCAGTTGCAGAATTTACAAACTGACTGTTTCCAAACTCATCTATGAAAAGAAAGGTTAAACTCTGGGAGTTGAATGCACATATCACAAAGTAGTTCCTGAGAATGATTCTGTCTAGTTTTCATACGAAGATATTTCCTTTTCCACCAATGGCCTCAAAGTGCTTGAAATCTCCCCTTGCAAATTCCACAGACAAGTGTTTCAAATCTGCACTGTGTAAAGGAAGGTTCAACCCTGTGAGTTGAATACACACACACAGAAACAAATTCACTGAGAATTCTATTGTCTATCATTACACGAAGAAATCCCGTTTACTACGAAGGCCTCAAAGAGGTCCAAATATCCAGCTGCAGACATTACAAACTGAGTGTTTCCAAAGTGCTCTATGAAAAGAAGTGTTAAACACTGTGAGTTCAATGCACACATCCCAAAGCAGTTTCTGAGAATGATTCCGTCTATTTTTTCTACGAAGATATTTCCTTTTCTGCCGTTGGCCTCAAAGCGCTTGAAATCTCCACTTGCAAATTCCACAAAAAGAGAGTTTCAAATCTGCTCTGTCTAAAGGAAGGTTCAACTCTGTGAGTTGAATACACACCACAAAAAGAAGTTACTGAGAATTCTTCTGTCTAGCATTATATGAAAAATCCCGTTTCCAACGAAGGCCACAAAGAGGTCCAAATATCCACTTGCAGATTCTGCAAAAAGAGTGTTTCCAAACTGCTCTATGAAAAGAAACGTTAAACTCTGTGAGTTGAACGCAAACATCACAAAGTAGTTTCTGAGAATGACTCCGTCTAGTTTTTATACGAAGATATTTCCTTTCCTACCATTCACTTCAAAGCGCTTGAAGTCTCCCCCTGAAAATTCCACAAAAAGTGTTTCCAATCTGCTCCGCCTAAAGGAAGCTTCAACTCTGTGACTTGAATACCCACAACCCAAAGAAGTTACTGAGAATTCTTCTGTCTAGCATTATATGAAGAAATCCCGTTTCCAACGAAGGCCTCAAATACATCCAAATATCCAGTTGCTGACTTTACAAACTGAGTGTTTCCAAACTGCTCTATGAAAAGAAAGGTTAAACACTGTGAGTTGAACACACACGTACCAAAGTAGTTTCTGAGAATGATTCTGTCTAGTTTGCATACGAAGATATTTCCTTTTCTACCATTGGCCTCAAAGCTCTGAAATCTCCACTTGCAAATTCCACAAAAAGAGAGTTTCAAATCTGCTGTTTCTAAAGGAAAGTTCAACTCTGAGAGTTGAATACACACCAGAAAAAGCAGTTACTGAGAAGTCTTCTGTCTAGCATTATATGAAGAAATCCCATTTCCAACGAAGACTTCAAAGAGGTCCAAATATCCACTTGCAGATTCTGCAAAAAGAGTGTTTCGAAACAACTGTATGAAAAGAAAGGTTAAACACTGTGAGTTGAACGCACACATTGCAAAGCAGTTTCTGAGAATGATTCCGTCTAATTATTATACGAAGGTATTTCCTTTTCTATCATTGGCCTCAAAGCGCTTGATACCTCCACCTGAAAATTCCACAAAAAGAGTGTTTCCAATCTACTCTGTCTAAAGGAACGTTCAACTCTGTGAGTTGAATACACACACACAGAAAGAATTCACTGAGAATTCTTCTGTCTGGCATTACATGAAGAAATCCCGTTTCCAACGAAGGCCTCAAAGAGGTCCAAATATCCACTTGCAGATTCTGCAAAAAGAGTGTTTCAAAACCGCTCCATTAAAAGGAATGTTGAACTCTGTGAGTTGAATGCAAACATCACAACTCAGTTTCTGAGAATGCTTCTGACTAGATTTTATGGTAAGATATTTCCTTTTCTACCGTAGGCTTCAATGCCCTCTAAATACACCCTTGCAAATTCTACAAAGAGACTGTTTCATAACTGCTCTATAGGAAGAAAGGTTCAACTCTGTGAGTTGAATGCAGAGATCACAACGTGGTTTCTGCGAATTATTCTTTGTAGTTTTTACATGAAGATATTTCGTTGTCAACCGTAGGCTTCAAAGCACTCAAAGTATTCACTTGGAACTTTTACAAAACGAGTGTTAGGAAACTGCTCTTTCCAAAGTAAGGTTCAACTCTGTGAGTTGAATGCACACATAACAATCAAGAAGTTTCTGAGAATTCTTCTGTCCTGGTTTATATGAAAAAATCCCGTTTCCAACGAAGGCCTCAAAGACGTTTAAATATCCACTTGCAGACTTCACAAACAGAGGGTTTCCAAACTGCTCTATGAAAAGAAAGGTTAAACTCTGTGAGTTTAATACACACATCACAAAGCAGTTTCTGAGAATGATACTGTCTAGTTTTTATACGAAGATATTTCCTTTTGTACCATTGGCCTCATACTGCTAGAATTTTCCACTTGCAAATTCCACAAAAAGAGTGTTTCCAATCCGCTCTGTCTAAAGGAAGGTTCAACTCTCTGATTTGAATACATACATCCCAAAAGAAGTTACTGAGAATTCTTCTGTCTAGCATTATGTGAAGAAATCCCGTTTCCAATGAAAGCCTCAAAGAGGTCCAAATATCCAGTTGCAGAATTTACAAACTGACTGTTTCCAAACTCATCTATGAAAAGAAAGGTTAAACTCTGTGAGTTGAATGCACATATCACAAAGTAGTTCCTGAGAATGATTCTGTCTAGTTTTCATACGAAGATATTTCCTTTTCCACCAATGGCCTCAAAGTGCTTGAAATCTCCCCTTGCAAATTCCACAGACAAGTGTTTCAAATCTGCACTGTCTAAAGGAAGGTTCAACCCTGTGAGTTGAATACACACACACAGAAAAAAATTCACTGAGAATTCTATTGTCTATCATTACACGAAGAAATCCCGTTTACTACGAAGGCCTCAAAGAGGTCCAAATATCCAGCTGCAGACATTACAAACTGAGTGTTTCCAAAGTGCTCTATGAAAAGAAGTGTTAAACACTGTGAGTTCAATGCACACATCCCAAAGCAGTTTCTGAGAATGATTCCGTCTATTTTTTCTACGAAGATATTTCCTTTTCTGCCGTTGGCCTCAAAGCGCTTGAAATCTCCACTTGCAAATTCCACAAAAAGAGAGTTTCAAATCTGCTCTGTCTAAAGGAAGGTTCAACTCTGTGAGTTGAATACACACCACAAAAAGAAGTTACTGAGAATTCTTCTGTCTAGCATTATATGAAAAATCCCGTTTCCAACGAAGGCCACAAAGAGGTCCAAATATCCACTTGCAGATTCTGCAAAAAGAGTGTTTCCAAACTGCTCTATGAAAAGAAACGTTAAACTCTGTGAGTTGAACGCAAACATCACAAAGTAGTTTCTGAGAATGACTCCGTCTAGTTTTTATACGAAGATATTTCCTTTCCTACCATTCACTTCAAAGCGCTTGAAGTCTCCCCCTGAAAATTCCACAAAAAGTGTTTCCAATCTGCTCCGCCTAAAGGAAGCTTCAACTCTGTGACTTGAATACCCACAACCCAAAGAAGTTACTGAGAATTCTTCTGTCTAGCATTATATGAAGAAATCCCGTTTCCAACGAAGGCCTCAAATACATCCAAATATCCAGTTGCTGACTTTACAAACTGAGTGTTTCCAAACTGCTCTATGAAAAGAAAGGTTAAACACTGTGAGTTGAACACACACGTACCAAAGTAGTTTCTGAGAATGATTCTGTCTAGTTTGCATACGAAGATATTTCCTTTTCTACCATTGGCCTCAAAGCTCTGAAATCTCCACTTGCAAATTCCACAAAAAGAGAGTTTCAAATCTGCTGTTTCTAAAGGAAAGTTCAACTCTGAGAGTTGAATACACACCAGAAAAAGCAGTTACTGAGAAGTCTTCTGTCTAGCATTATATGAAGAAATCCCATTTCCAACGAAGACTTCAAAGAGGTCCAAATATCCACTTGCAGATTCTGCAAAAAGAGTGTTTCGAAACAACTGTATGAAAAGAAAGGTTAAACACTGTGAGTTGAACGCACACATTGCAAAGCGGTTTCTGAGAATGATTCCGTCTAATTATTATACGAAGGTATTTCCTTTTCTATCATTGGCCTCAAAGCGCTTGATACCTCCACCTGAAAATTCCACAAAAAGAGTGTTTCCAATCTACTCTGTCTAAAGGAACGTTCAACTCTGTGAGTTGAATACACACACACAGAAAGAACTCACTGAGAATTCTTCTGTCTGGCATTACATGAAGAAATCCCGTTTCCAACGAAGGCCTCAAAGAGGTCCAAATATCCACTTGCAGATTCTGCAAAAAGAGTGTTTCAAAACCGCTCCATTAAAAGGAATGTTGAACTCTGTGAGTTGAATGGAAACATCACAACTCAGTTGCTGAGAATGCTTCTGACTAGATTTTATGGTAAGATATTTCCTTTTCTACCGTAGGCTTCAATGCCCTCTAAATACACCCTTGCAAATTCTACAAAGAGACTGTTTCATAACTGCTCTATAGGAAGAAAGGTTCAACTCTGTGAGTTGAATGCAGAGATCACAACGTGGTTTCTGCGAATGATTCTTTGTAGTTTTTACAGGAAGATATTTCGTTGTCAACCGTAGGCTTCAAAGCACTCAAAGTATTCACTTGGAACTTTTACAAAAAGAGTGTTAGGAAACTGCTCTTTCCAAAGTAAGGTTCAACTCTGTGAGTTGAATGCACACATAACAATCAAGAAGTTTCTGAGAATTCTTCTGTCCTGGTTTATATGAAAAAATCCCGTTTCCAACGAAGGCCTCAAAGACGTTTAAATATCCACTTGCAGACTTCACAAACAGAGGGTTTCCAAACTGCTCTATGAAAAGAAAGGTTAAACTCTGTGAGTTGAACGCACACATCACAAAGTAGCTTCTGAGAATGATACTGTCTAGTTTTTATACGAAGATATTTCCTTTCTACCATTGGCGTCAAAGCGCTAGAATTCTCCACTTGCAAATTCCACAAAAAGAGTGTTTCCAATCTGCTCTGTCTAAAGGAAGGTTCAACTCTGTGAGTTGAATACACACACACAAAGAAGCTACTGAGAATTCTTTTGTCAAGAATTATAAGAAGAAATCCCGTTTCCAACGAAGGCCTCAAAGAGTTCCAAATATCCACTTGCACACTGCACAAACTAAGTCTTTCCAAACTGCTCTATGCAAAGAAATGTTCAACTCTGTGAGTTTAATACACACATCACAAAGCAGTTTCTGAGAATGATACTGTCTAGTTTTTATACGAAGATATTTCCTTTTGTACCATTGGCCTCATACTGCTAGAATTTTCCACTTGCAAATTAAACAAAAAGAGTGTTTCCAATCCGCTCTGTCTAAAGGAAGGTTCAACTCTCTGATTTGAATACATACATCCCAAAAGAAGTTACTGAGAATTCTTCTGTCTAGCATTATGTGAAGAAATCCCGTTTCCAACGAAAGCCTCAAAGAGGTCCAAATATCCAGTTGCAGAATTTACAAACTGACTGTTTCCAAACTCATCTATGAAAAGAAAGGTTAAACTCTGTGAGTTGAATGCACATATCACAAAGTAGTTCCTGAGAATGATTCTGTCTAGTTTTTATACGAAGATATTTCCTTTTCCACCAATGGCCTCAAAGTGCTTGAAATCTCCCCTTGCAAATTCCACAGACAAGTGTTTCAAATCTGCACTGTCTAAAGGGAAGGTTCAACCCTGTGAGTTGAATACACACACACAGAAACAAATTCACTGAGAATTCTATTGTCTATCATTACACGAAGAAATCCCGTTTACTACGAAGGCCTCAAAGAGGTCCAAATATCCAGCTGCAGACATTTCAAACTGAGTGTTTCCAAAGTGCTCTATGAAAAGAAGTGTTAAACACTGTGAGTTCAATGCACACATCCCAAAGCAGTTTCTGAGAATGATTCCGTCTATTTTTTCTACGAAGTATATTTCCTTTTCTGCCGTTGGCCTCAAAGCGCTTGAAATCTCCACTTGCAAATTCCACAAAAAGAGAGGTTCAAATCTGCTCTGTCTAAAGGAAGGTTCAACTCTGTGAGTTGAATACACACCACAAAAAGAAGTTACTGAGAATTCTTCTGTCTGGCATTACATGAAGAAATCCCGTTTTCAACGAAGGCCTCAAAGAGGTCCAAATATCCACTTGCAGATTCTGCAAAAAGAGTGTTTCAAAACCGCTCCATGAAAAGGAATGTTGAACTCTGTGAGTTGAATGCAAACATCACAACTCAGTTTCTGAGAATGCTTCTGACTAGATTTTATGGTAAGATATTTCCTTTTCTACCGTAGGCTTCAATGCCCTCTAAATACACCCTTGCAAATTCTACAAAGAGACTGTTTCATAACTGCTCTATAGGAAGAAAGGTTGAACTCTGTGAGTTGACTGCAGAGATCACAACGTGGTTTCTGCGAATGATTCTTTGTAGTTTTTACATGAAGATATTTCGTTGTCAACCGTAGGCTTCAAAGCACTCAAAGTATTCACTTGGAACTTTTACAAAAAGAGTGTTAGAAAACTGCTCTTTCCAAAGTAAGGTTCAACTCTGTGAGTTGAATGCACACATAACAATCAAGAAGTTTCTGAGAATTCTTCTGTCCTGGTTTATATGAAGAAATCCCGTTTCCAACGAAGGCCTCAAAGACGTTTAAATATCCACTTGCAGACTTCACAAACAGAGTGTTTCCAAACTGCTCTATGAAAAGAAAGGTTAAACTACTGTGAGTTGAACGCACACATCACAAAGTAGTTTACTGAGAATGATAACTGTCTAGTTTTTATACGAAGATATTTCCTTTTCTACCATTGGCGTCAAATCGCTAGAATTCTCCACTTGCAAATTCCACAAAAAGAGTGTTTCCAATCTGCTCTGTCTAAAGGAAGGTTCAACTCTGTGAGTTGAATACACACAAACAAAGAAGCTACTGATAATTCTTTTGTCAAGAATTATAAGAAGAAATCCCGTTTCCAACGAAGGCCTCAAAGAGTTCCAAATATCCACTTGCACACTGCACAAACTAAGTCTTTCCAAACTGCTCTATGCAAAGAAATGTTCAACTCTGTGAGTTTAATACACACATCACAAAGCAGTTTCTGAGAATGATACTGTCTAGTTTTTATACGAAGATATTTCCTTTTGTACCATTGGCCTCATACTGCTAGAATTTTCCACTTGCAAATTCCACAAAAAGAGTGTTTCCAATCCGCTCTGTCTAAAGGAAGGTTCAACTCTCTGATTTGAATACATACATCCCAAAAGAAGTTACTGAGAATTCTTCTGTCTAGCATTATGTGAAGAAATCCCGTTTCCAACGAAAGCCTCAAAGAGGTCCAAATATCCAGTTGCAGAATTTACAAACTGACTGTTTCCAAACTCATCTATGAAAAGAAAGGTTGAACTCTGGGAGTTGAATGCACATATCACAAAGTAGTTCCTGAGAATGATTCTGTCTAGTTTTCATACGAAGATATTTCCTTTTCCACCAATGGCCTCAAAGTGCTTGAAATCTCCCCTTGCAAATTCCACAGACAAGTGTTTCAAATCTGCACTGTCTAAAGGAAGGTTCAACCCTGTGAGTTGAATACACACACACAGAAAAAAATTCACTGAGAATTCTATTGTCTATCATTACACGAAGAAATCCCGTTTACCACGAAGGCCTCAAAGAGGTCCAAATATCCAGCTGCAGACATTACAACCTGAGTGTTTCCAAAGTGCTCTATGAAAAGAAGTGTTAAACACTGTGAGTTCAATGCACACATCCCAAAGCAGTTTCTGAGAATGATTCCGTCTATTTTTTCTACGAAGATATTTCCTTTTCTGCCGTTGGCCTCAAAGCGCTTGAAATCTCCACTTGCAAATTCCACAAAAAGAGAGTTTCAAATCTGCTCTGTCTAAAGGAAGGTTCAACTCTGTGAGTTGAATACACACCACAAAAAGAAGTTACTGAGAATTCTTCTGTCTAGCATTATATGAAAAATCCCGTTTCCAACGAAGGCCACAAAGAGGTCCAAATATCCACTTGCAGATTCTGCAAAGAGTGTTTCCAAACTGCTCTATGAAAAGAAACGTTAAACTCTGTGAGTTGAACGCAAACATCACAAAGTAGTTTCTGAGAATGACTCCGTCTAGTTTTTATACGAAGATATTTCCTTTCCTACCATTCACTTCAAAGCGCTTGAAGTCTCCCCCTGAAAATTCCACAAAAAGTGTTTCCAATCTGCTCCGCCTAAAGGAAGCTTCAACTCTGTGACTTGAATACCCACAACCCAAAGAAGTTACTGAGAATTCTTCTGTCTAGCATTATATGAAGAAATCCCGTTTCCAACGAAGGCCTCAAATACATCCAAATATCCAGTTGCTGACTTTACAAACTGAGTGTTTCCAAACTGCTCTATGAAAAGAAAGGTTAAACACTGTGAGTTGAACACACACGTACCAAAGTAGTTTCTGAGAATGATTCTGTCTAGTTTGCATACGAAGATATTTCCTTTTCTACCATTGGCCTCAAAGCTCTGAAATCTCCACTTGCAAATTCCACAAAAAGAGAGTTTCAAATCTGCTGTTTCTAAAGGAAAGTTCAACTCTGAGAGTTGAATACACACCAGAAAAAGCAGTTACTGAGAAGTCTTCTGTCTAGCATTATATGAAGAAATCCCATTTCCAACGAAGACTTCAAAGAGGTCCAAATATCCACTTGCAGATTCTGCAAAAAGAGTGTTTCGAAACAACTGTATGAAAAGAAAGGTTAAACACTGTGAGTTGAACGCACACATTGCAAAGCAGTTTCTGAGAATGATTCCGTCTAATTATTATACGAAGGTATTTCCTTTTCTATCATTGGCCTCAAAGCGCTTGATACCTCCACCTGAAAATTCCACAAAAAGAGTGTTTCCAATCTACTCTGTCTAAAGGAACGTTCAACTCTGTGAGTTGAATACACACACACAGAAAGAATTCACTGAGAATTCTTCTGTCTGGCATTACATGAAGAAATCCCGTTTCCAACGAAGGCCTCAAAGAGGTCCAAATATCCACTTGCAGATTCTGCAAAAAGAGTGTTTCAAAACCGCTCCATTAAAAGGAATGTTGAACTCTGTGAGTTGAATGCAAACATCACAACTCAGTTTCTGAGAATGCTTCTGACTAGATTTTATGGTCAGATATTTCCTTTTCTACCGTAGGCCTCAATGCCCTCTAAATACACCCTTGCAAATTCTACAAAGAGACTGTTTAATAACTGCTCTATAGGAAGAAAGGTTGAACTCTGTGAGTTGAATGCAGAGATCACAACGTGGTTTCTGCGAATGATTCTTTGTAGTTTTTACATGAAGATATTTCGTTGTCTACCGTAGGCTTCAAAGCACTCAAAGTATTCACTTGGAACTTTTACAAAAAGAGTGTTAGAAAACTGCTCTTTCCAAAGTAAGGTTCAACTCTGTGAGTTGAATGCACACATAACAAACAAGAAGTTTCTGAGAATTCTTCTGTCCTGGTTTATATGAAGAAATCCCGTTTCCAACGAAGGCCTCAAAGACGTTTAAATATCCACTTGCAGACTTCACAAACAGAGTGTTTCCAAACTGCTCTATGAAAAGAAAGGGTAAACACTGTGAGTTGAACGCACACCTCACAAAGTAGTTTCTGACAATGATACTGTCTAGTTTTTATACGAAGATATTTCCTTTTGTACCATTGGCCTCATACTGCTAGAATTTTCCACTTGCAAATTCCACAAAAAGAGTGTTTCCAATCTGCTCTGTCTAAAGGAAGGTTCAACTCTGTGAGTTGAGTACACACACACAAAGAAGCTACTGAGAATCCTTTTGTCAAGAATTATAAGAAGAAATCCCGTTTCCAACGAAGGCCTCAAAGAGTTCCAAATATCCACTTGCACACTGCACAAACTAAGTCTTTCCAAACTGCTCTATGCAAAGAAATGTTCAACTCTGTGAGTTTAATACACACATCACAAAGCAGTTTCTGAGAATGATACTGTCTAGTTTTTATACGAAGAATATTTCCTTTTGTACCATTGGCCTCATACTGCTAGAATTTTCCACTTGCAAATTCCACAAAAAGAGTGTTTCCAATCCGCTCTGTCTAAAGGAAGGTTCAACTCTCTGATTTGAATACATACATCCCAAAAGAAGTTACTGAGAATTCTTCTGTCTAGCATTATGTGAAGAAATCCCGTTTCCAACGAAAGCCTCAAAGAGGTCCAAATATCCAGTTGCAGAATTTACAAACTGACTGTTTCCAAACTCATCTATGAAAAGAAAGGTTAAACTCTGGGAGTTGAATGCACATATCACAAAGTAGTTCCTGAGAATGATTCTGTCTAGTTTTCATACGAAGATATTTCCTTTTCCACCAATGGCCTCAAAGTGCTTGAAATCTCCCCTTGCAAATTCCACAGACAAGTGTTTCAAATCTGCACTGTCTAAAGGAAGGTTCAACCCTGTGAGTTGAATACACACACACAGAAAAAAATTCACTGAGAATTGCTTCTATTGTCTATCATTACCCGAAGAAATCCCGTTTACTACGAAGGCCTCAAAGAGGTCCAAATATCCAGCTGCAGACATTACAAACTGAGTGTTTCCAAAGTGCTCTATGAAAAGAAGTGTTAAACACTGTGAGTTCAATGCACACATCCCAAAGCAGTTTCTGAGAATGATTCCGTCTATTTTTTCTACGAAGATATTTCCTTTTCTACCGTTGGCCTCAAAGCGCCTGAAATCTCCACTTGCAAATTCCACGAAAAGAGAGTTTCAAATCTGCTCTGTCTAAAGGAAGGTTCCACTCTGTGAGTTGAATACACACCACAAAAAGAAGTTACTGAGAATTCTTCTGTCTAGCATTATATGAAAAATCCCGTTTCCAACGAAGGCCACAAAGAGGTCCAAATATCCACTTGCAGATTCTGCAAAAAGAGTGTTTCCAAACTGCTCTATGAAAAGAAACGTTAAACTCTGTGAGTTGAACGCAAACATCACAAAGTAGTTTCTGAGAATGACTCCGTCTAGTTTTTATACGAAGATATTTCCTTTTCTACCATTCACTTCAAAGCGCTTGAAGTCTCCCCCTGAAAATTCCACAAAAAGTGTTTCCAATCTGCTCCGCCTAAAGGAAGCTTCAACTCTGTGAGTTGAATACCCACAACCCAAAGAAGTTACTGAGAATTCTTCTGTCTAGCACTATATGAAGAAATCCCGTTTCCAACGAAGGCCTCAAATACATCCAAATATCCAGTTGCTGACTTTACAAACTGAGTGTTTCCAAACTGCTCTATGAAAAGAAAGGTTAAACACTGTGAGTTGAACACACACGTACCAAAGTAGTTTCTGAGAATGATTCTGTCTAGTTTGCATACGAAGATATTTCCTTTTCTACCATTGGCCTCAAAGCTTTGAAATCTCCACTTGCAAATTCCACAAAAAGAGAGTTTCAACTCTGCTGTTTCTAAAGGAAAGTTCAACTCTGAGAGTTGAATACACACCAGAAAAAGCAGTTACTGAGAAGTCTTCTGTCTAGCATTATATGAAGAAATCCCATTTCCAACGAAGACTTCAAAGAGGTCCAAATATCCACTTGCAGATTCTGCAAAAAGAGTGTTTCGAAACAAAACTGTATGAAAAGAAAGGTTAAACACTGTGAGTTGAACGCACACATTGCAAAGCAGTTTCTGAGAATGATTCCGTCTAATTATTATACGAAGGTATTTCCTTTTCTATCATTGGCCTCAAAGCGCTTGATACCTCCACCTGAAAATTCCACAAAAAGAGTGTTTCCAATCTACTCTGTCTAAAGGAACGTTCAACTCTGTGAGTTGAATACACACACACAGAAAGAATTCACTGAGAATTCTTCTGTCTGGCATTACATGAAGAAATCCCGTTTCCAACGAAGGCCTCAAAGAGGTCCAAATATCCACTTGCAGATTCTGCAAAAAGAGTGTTTCAAAACCGCTCCATTAAAAGGAATGTTGAACTCTGTGAGTGGAATGGAAACATCACAACTCAGTTGCTGAGAATGCTTCTGACTAGATTTTATGGTAAGATATTTCCTTTTCTACCGTAGGCTTCAATGCCCTCTAAATACACCCTTGCAAATTCTACAAAGAGACTGTTTCATAACTGCTCTATAGGAAGAAAGGTTGAACTCTGTGAGTTGAATGCAGAGATCACAACGTGGTTTCTGCGAATGATTCTTTGTAGTTTTTACATGAAGATATTTCGTTGTCAACCGTAGGCTTCAAAGCACTCAAAGTATTCACTTGGAACTTTTACAAAAAGAGTGTTAGAAAACTGCTCTTTCCAAAGTAAGGTTCAACTCTGTGAGTTGAATGCACACATAACAATCAAGAAGTTTCTGAGAATTCTTCTGTCCTGGTTTATATGAAAAAATCCCGTTTCCAACGAAGGCCTCAAAGACGTTTAAATATCCACTTGCAGACTTCACAAACAGAGGGTTTCCAAACTGCATTATGAAAAGAAAGGTTAAACTCTGTGAGTTGAACACACACATCACAAAGTAGCTTCTGAGAATGATACTGTCTAGTTTTTATACGAAGATATTTCCTTTCTACCATTGGCGTCAAAGCGCTAGAATTCTCCACTTGCAAAATCCACAAAAAGAGTGTTTCCAATCTGCTCTGTGTAAAGGAAGGTTCAACTCTGTGAGTTGAATACACACACACAAAGAAGCTACTGAGAATTCTTTTGTCAAGAATTATAAGAAGAAATCCCGTTTCCAACGAAGGCCTCAAAGAGTTCCAAATATCCACTTGCACACTGCACAAACTAAGTCTTTCCAAACTGCTCTATGCAAAGAAATGTTCAACTCTGTGAGTTTAATACGCACATCACAAAGCAGTTTCTGAGAATGATACTGTCTAGTTTTTATACGAAGATATTTCCTTTTGTACCATTGGCCTCATACTGCTAGAATTTTCCACTTGCAAATTCCACAAAAAGAGTGTTTCCAATCCGCTCTGTCTAAAGGAAGGTTCAACTCTCTGATTTGAATACATACATCCCAAAAGAAGTTCCTGAGAATTCTTCTGTCTAGCATTATGTGAAGAAATCCCGTTTCCAACGAAAGCCTCAAAGAGGTCCAAATATCCAGTTGCAGAATTTACAAACTGACTGTTTCCAAACTCATCTATGAAAAGAAAGGTTAAACTCTGGGAGTTGAATGCACATATGACAAAGTAGTTCCTGAGAATGATTCTGTCTAGTTTTCATACGAAGATATTTCCTTTTCCACCAATGGCCTCAAAGTGCTTGAAATCTCCCCTTGCAAATTCCACAGACAAGTGTCTCAAATCTGCACTGTCTAAAGGAAGGTTCAACCCTGTGAGTTGAATACACACACACAGAAAAAAATTCACTGAGAATTCTATTGTCTATCATTACACGAAGAAATCCCGTTTACTACGAAGGCCTCAAAGAGGTCCAAATATCCAGCTGCAGACATTACAACCTGAGTGTTTCCAAAGTGCTCTATGAAAAGAAGTGTTAAACACTGTGAGTTCAATGCACACATCCCAAAGCAGTTTCTGAGAATGATTCCGTCTATTTTTTCTACGAAGATATTTCCTTTTCTGCCGTTGGCCTCAAAGCGCTTGAAATCTCCACTTGCAAATTCCACAAAAAGAGAGTTTCAAATCTGCTCTGTCTAAAGGAAGGTTCAACTCTGTGAGTTGAATACACACCACAAAAAGAAGTTACTGAGAATTCTTCTGTCTAGCATTATATGAAAAATCCCGTTTCCAACGAAGGCCACAAAGAGGTCCAAATATCCACTTGCAGATTCTGCAAAAAGAGTGTTTCCAAACTGCTCTATGAAAAGAAACGTTAAACTCTGTGAGTTGAACGCAAACATCACAAAGTAGTTTCTGAGAATGACTCCGTCTAGTTTTTATACGAAGATATTTCCTTTCCTACCATTCACTTCAAAGCGCTTGAAGTCTCCCCCTGAAAATTCCACAAAAAGTGTTTCCAATCTGCTCCGCCTAAAGGAAGCTTCAACTCTGTGACTTGAATACCCACAACCCAAAGAAGTTACTGAGAATTCTTCTGTCTAGCACTATATGAAGAAATCCCGTTTCCAACGAAGGCCTCAAATACATCCAAATATCCAGTTGCTGACTTTACAAACTGAGTGTTTCCAAACTGCTCTATGAAAAGAAAGGTTAAACACTGTGAGTTGAACACACACGTACCAAAGTAGTTTCTGAGAATGATTCTGTCTAGTTTGCATACGAAGATATTTCCTTTTCTACCATTGGCCTCAAAGCTCTGAAATCTCCACTTGCAAATTCCACAAAAAGAGAGTTTCAAATCTGCTGTTTCTAAAGGAAAGTTCAACTCTGAGAGTTGAATACACACCAGAAAAAGCAGTTACTGAGAAGTCTTCTGTCTAGCATTATATGAAGAAATCCCATTTCCAACGAAGACTTCAAAGAGGTCCAAATATCCACTTGCAGATTCTGCAAAAAGAGTGTTTCGAAACAACTGTATGAAAAGAAAGGTTAAACACTGTGAGTTGAACGCACACATTGCAAAGCGGTTTCTGAGAATGATTCCGTGTAATTATTATACGAAGGTATTTCCTTTTCTATCATTGGCCTCAAAGCGCTTGATACCTCCACCTGAAAATTCCACAAAAAGAGTGTTTCCAATCTACTCTGTCTAAAGGAACGTTCAACTCTGTGAGTTGAATACACACACACAGAAAGAATTCACTGAGAATTCTTCTGTCTGGCATTACATGAAGAAATCCCGTTTCCAACGAAGGCCTCAAAGAGGTCCAAATATCCACTTGCAGATTCTGCAAAAAGAGTGTTTCAAAACCGCTCCATTAAAAGGAATGTTGAACTCTGTGAGTTGAATGCAAACATCACAACTCAGTTGCTGAGAATGCTTCTGACTAGATTTTATGGTAAGATATTTCCTTTCCTACCGTAGGCTTCAATGCCCTCTAAATACACCCTTGCAAATTCTACAAAGAGACTGTTTCATAACTGCTCTATAGGAAGAAAGGTTCAACTCTGTGAGTTGAATGCAGAGATCACAACGTGGTTTCTGCGAATGATTCTTTGTAGTTTTTACATGAAGATATTTCGTTGTCAACCGTAGGCTTCAAAGCACTCAAAGTATTCACTTGGAACTTTTACAAAAAGAGTGTTAGAAAACTGCTCTTTCCAAAGTAAGGTTCAACTCTGTGAGTTGAATGCACACATAACAATCAAGAAGTTTCTGAGAATTCTTCTGTCCTGGTTTATATGAAAAAATCCCGTTTCCAACGAAGGCCTCAAAGACGTTTAAATATCCACTTGCAGACTTCACAAACAGAGGGTTTCCAAACTGCTCTATGAAAAGAAAGGTTAAACTCTGTGAGTTGAACGCACACATCACAAAGTAGCTTCTGAGAATGATACTGTCTAGTTTTTATACGAAGATATTTCCTTTCTACCATTGGCGTCAAAGCGCTAGAATTCTCCACTTGCAAATTCCACAAAAAGAGTGTTTCCAATCTGCTCTGTCTAAAGGAAGGTTCAACTCTGTGAGTTGAATACACACACACAAAGAAGCTACTGAGAATTCTTTTTTCAAGAAATTATAAGAAGAAATCCCGTTTCCAACGAAGGCCTCAAAGAGTTCCAAATATCCACTTGCACACTGCACAAACTAAGTCTTTCCAAACTGCTCTATGCAAAGAAATGTTCAACTCTGTGAGTTTAATACACACATCACAAAGCAGTTTCTGAGAATGATACTGTCTAGTTTTTATACGAAGATATTTCCTTTTGTACCATTGGCCTCATACTGCTAGAATTTTCCACTTGCAAATTCCACAAAAAGAGTGTTTCCAATCCGCTCTGTCTAAAGGAAGGTTCAACTCTCTGATTTGAATACATACATCCCAAAAGAAGTTACTGAGAATTCTTCTGTCTAGCATTATGTGAAGAAATCCCGTTTCCAACGAAAGCCTCCAAGAGGTCCAAATATCCAGTTGCAGAATTTACAAACTGACTGTTTCCAAACTCATCTATGAAAAGAAAGGTTAAACTCTGTGAGTTGAATGCACATATCACAAAGTAGTTCCTGAGAATGATTCTGTCTAGTTTTTATACGAAGATATTTCCTTTTCCACCAATGGCCTCAAAGTGCTTGAAATCTCCCCTTGCAAATTCCACAGAAAAGTGTTTCAAATCTGCACTGTCTAAAGGAAGGTTCAACCCTGTGAGTTGAATACACACACACAGAAAAAAATTCACTGAGAATTCTATTGTCTATCATTACACGAAGAAATCCCGTTTACCACGAAGGCCTCAAAGAGGTCCAAATATCCAGCTGCAGACATTACAAACTGAGTGTTTCCAAAGTGCTCTATGAAAAGAAGTGTTAAACACTGTGAGTTCAATGCACACATCCCAAAGCAGTTTCTGAGAATGATTCCGTCTATTTTTTCTACGAAGATATTTCCTTTTCTGCCGTTGGCCTCAAAGCGCTTGAAATCTCCACTTGCAAATTCCACAAAAAGAGAGTTTCAAATCTGCTCTGTCTAAAGGAAGGTTCAACTCTGTGAGTTGAATACACACCACAAAAAGAAGTTACTGAGAATTCTTCTGTCTAGCATTATATGAAAAATCCCGTTTCCAACGAAGGCCACAAAGAGGTCCAAATATCCACTTGCAGATTCTGCAAAAAGAGTGTTTCCAAACTGCTCTATGAAAAGAAACGTTAAACTCTGTGAGTTGAACGCAAACATCACAAAGTAGTTTCTGAGAATGACTCCGTCTAGTTTTTATACGAAGATATTTCCTTTCCTACCATTCACTTCAAAGCGCTTGAAGTCTCCCCCTGAAAATTCCACAAAAAGTGTTTCCAATCTGCTCCGCCTAAAGGAAGCTTCAACTCTGTGACTTGAATACCCACAACCCAAAGAAGTTACTGAGAATTCTTCTGTCTAGCATTATATGAAGAAATCCCGTTTCCAACGAAGGCCTCAAATACATCCAAATATCCAGTTGCTGACTTTACAAACTGAGTGTTTCCAAACTGCTCTATGAAAAGAAAGGTTAAACACTGTGAGTTGAACACACACGTACCAAAGTAGTTTCTGAGAATGATTCTGTCTAGTTTGCATACGAAGATATTTCCTTTTCTACCATTGGCCTCAAAGCTCTGAAATCTCCACTTGCAAATTCCACAAAAAGAGAGTTTCAAATCTGCTGTTTCTAAAGGAAAGTTCAACTCTGAGAGTTGAATACACACCAGAAAAAGCAGTTACTGAGAAGTCTTCTGTCTAGCATTATATGAAGAAATCCCATTTCCAACGAAGACTTCAAAGAGGTCCAAATATCCACTTGCAGATTCTGCAAAAAGAGTGTTTCGAAACAACTGTATGAAAAGAAAGGTTAAACACTGTGAGTTGAACGCACACATTGCAAAGCGGTTTCTGAGAATGATTCCGTCTAATTATTATACGAAGGTATTTCCTTTTCTATCATGGGCCTCAAAGCGCTTGATACCTCCACCTGAAAATTCCACAAAAAGAGTGTTTCCAATCTACTCTGTCTAAAGGAACGTTCAACTCTGTGAGTTGAATACACACACACAGAAATAATTCACTGAGAATTCTTCTGTCTGGCATTACATGAAGAAATCCCGTTTCCAACGAAGGCCTCAAAGAGGTCCAAATATCCACTTGCAGATTCTGCAAAAAGAGTGTTTCAAAACCGCTCTATTAAAAGGAATGTTGAACTCTGTGAGTTGAATGCAAACATCACAACTCAGTTTCTGAGAATGCTTCTGACTAGATTTTATGGTCAGATATTTCCTTTTCTACCGTAGGCCTCAATGCCCTCTAAATACACCCTTGCAAATTCTACAAACAGACTGTTTATAACTGCTCTGTAGGAAGAAAGGTTGAACTCTGTGAGTTGAATGCAGAGATCACAACGTGGTTTCTGCGAATGATTCTTTGTAGTTTTTACATGAAGATATTTCGTTGTCTACCGTAGGCTTCAAAGCACTCAAAGTATTCACTTGGAACTTTTACAAAAAGAGTGTTAGAAAACTGCTCTTTCCAAAGTAAGGTTCAACTCTGTGAGTTGAATGCACACATAACAAACAAGAAGTTTCTGAGAATTCTTCTGTCCTGGTTTATATGAAAAAATCCCGTTTCCAACGAAGGCCTCAAAGACGTTTAAATATCCACTTGCAGACTTCACAAACAGAGTGTTTCCAAACTGCTCTATGAAAAGAAAGGCTAAACTCTGTGAGTTGAACGCACACATCACAAAGTAGTTTCTGAGAATGATACTGTCTAGTTTTTATACGAAGATATTTCCTTTCTACCATTGGCGTCAAAGCGCTAGAATTCTCCACTTGCAAATTCCACAAAAAGAGTGTTTCCAATCTGCTCTGTCTAAAGGAAGGTTCAACTCTGTGAGTTGAATACACACACACAAAGAAGCTACTGAGAATTCTTTTGTCAAGAATTATAAGAAGAAATCCCGTTTCCAACGAAGGCCTCAAAGGGTTCCAAATATCCACTTGCACACTGCACAAACTAAGTCTTTCCAAACTGCTCTATGCAAAGAAATGTTCAACTCTGTGAGTTTAATACACACATCACAAAGCAGTTTCTGAGAATGATACTGTCTAGTTTTTATACGAAGATATTTCCTTTTGTACCATTGGCCTCATACTGCTAGAATTTTCCACTTGCAAATTCCACAAAAAGAGTGTTTCCAATCCGCTCTGTCTAAAGGAAGGTTCAACTCTCTGATTTGAATGCATACATCCCAAAAGAAGTTACTGAGAATTCTTCTGTCTAGCATTATGTGAAGAAATCCCGTTTCCAACGAAAGCCTCAAAGAGGTCCAAATATCCAGTTGCAGAATTTACAAACTGACTGTTTCCAAACTCATCTATGAAAAGAAAGGTTAAACTCTGGGAGTTGAATGCACATATCACAAAGTAGTTCCTGAGAATGATTCTGTCTAGTTTTTATACGAAGATATTTCCTTTTTCACCAATGGCCTCAAAGTGCATGAAATCTCCCCTTGCAAATTCCACAGACAAGTGTTTCAAATCTGCACTGTCTAAAGGAAGGTTCAACCCTGTGAGTTGAATACACACACACAGAAAAAAATTCACTGAGAATTCTATTGTCTATCATTACACGAAGAAATCCCGTTTACTACGAAGGCCTCAAAGAGGTCCAAATATCCAGCTGCAGACATTACAAACTGAGTGTTTCCAAAGTGCTCTATGAAAAGAAGTGTTAAACACTGTGAGTTCAATGCACACATCCCAAAGCAGTTTCTGAGAATGATTCCGTCTATTTTTTCTACGAAGATATTTCCTTTTCTGCCGTTGGCCTCAAAGCGCTTGAAATCTCCACTTGCAAATTCCACAAAAAGAGAGTTTCAAATCTGCTCTGTCTAAAGGAAGGTTCAACTCTGTGAGTTGAATACACACCACAAAAAGAAGTTACTGAGAATTTTTCTGTCTAGCATTATATGAAAAATCCCGTTTCCAACGAAGGCCACAAAGAGGTCCAAATATCCACTTGCAGATTCTGCAAAAAGAGTGTTTCCAAACTGCTCTATGAAAAGAAACGTTAAACTCTGTGAGTTGAACGCAAACATCACAAAGTAGTTTCTGAGAATGACTCCATCTAGTTTTTATACGAAGATATTTCCTTTCCTACCATTCACTTCAAAGCGCTTGAAGTCTCCCCCTGAAAATTCCACAAAGTGTTTCCAATCTGCTCCGCCTAAAGGAAGCTTCAACTCTGTGAGTTGAATACCCACAACCCAAAGAAGTTACTGAGAATTCTTCTGTCTAGCACTATATGAAGAAATCCCGTTTCCAACGAAGGCCTCAAATACATCCAAATATCCAGTTGCTGACTTTACAAACTGAGTGTTTCCAAACTGCTCTATGAAAAGAAAGGTTAAACACTGTGAGTTGAACACACACGTACCAAAGTAGTTTCTGAGAATGATTCTGTCTAGTTTGCATACGAAGATATTTCCTTTTCTACCATTGGCCTCAAAGCTCTGAAATCTCCACTTGCGAATTCCACAAAAAGAGAGTTTCAAATCTGCTGTTTCTAAAGGAAAGTTCAACTCTGAGAGTTGAATACACACCAGAAAAAGCAGTTACTGAGAAGTCTTCTGTCTAGCATTATATGAAGAAATCCCATTTCCAACGAAGACTTCAAAGAGGTCCAAATATCCACTTGCAGATTCTGCAAAAAGAGTGTTTCGAAACAACTGTATGAAAAGAAAGGTTAAACACTGTGAGTTGAACGCACACATTGCAAAGCAGTTTCTGAGAATGATTCCGTCTAATTATTATACGAAGGTATTTCCTTTTCTATCATTGGCCTCAAAGCGCTTGATACCTCCACCTGAAAATTCCACAAAAAGAGTGTTTCCAATCTACTCTGTCTAAAGGAACGTTCAACTCTGTGAGTTGAATACACACACACAGAAAGAATTCACTGAGAATTCTTCTGTCTGGCATTACATGAAGAAATCCCGTTTCCAACGAAGGCCTCAAAGAGGTCCAAATATCCACTTGCAGATTCTGCAAAAAGAGTGTTTCAAAACCGCTCCATTAAAAGGAATGTTGAACTCTGTGAGTTGAATGCAAACATCACAACTCAGTTGCTGAGAATGCTTCTGACTAGATTTTATGGTAAGATATTTCCTTTTCTACCGTAGGCTTCAATGCCCTCTAAATACACCCTTGCAAATTCTACAAAGAGACTGTTTCATAACTGCTCTATAGGAAGAAAGGTTCAACTCTGTGAGTTGAATGCAGAGATCACAACGTGGTTTCTGCGAATGATTCTTTGTAGTTTTTACATGAAGATATTTCGTTGTCAACCGTAGGCTTCAAAGCACTCAAAGTATTCACTTGGAACTTTTACAAAAAGAGTGTTAGAAAACTGCTCTTTCCAAAGTAAGGTTCAACTCTGTGAGTTGAATGCACACATAACAATCAAGAAGTTTCTGAGAATTCTTCTGTCCTGGTTTATATGAAAAAATCCCGTTTCCAACGAAGGCCTCAAAGACGTTTAAATATCCACTTGCAGACTTCACAAACAGAGTGTTTCCAAACTGCTCTATGAAAAGAAAGGTTAAACTCTGTGAGTTGAACGCACACATCACAAAGTAGCTTCTGAGAATGATACTGTCTAGTTTTTATACGAAGATATTTCCTTTCTACCATTGGCGTCAAAGCGCTAGAATTCTCCACTTGCAAATTCCACAAAAAGAGTGTTTCCAATCTGCTCTGTCTAAAGGAAGGTTCAACTCTGTGAGTTGAATACACACACACAAAGAAGCTACTGAGAATTCTTTTGTCAAGAATTATAAGAAGAAATCCCGTTTCCAACGAAGGCCTCAAAGAGTTCCAAATATCCACTTGCACACTGCACAAACTAAGTCTTTCCAAACTGCTTTATGCAAAGAAATGTTCAACTCTGTGAGTTTAATACACACATCACAAAGCAGTTTCTGAGAATGATACTGTCTAGTTTTTATACGAAGATATTTCCTTTTGTACCATTGGCCTCATACTGCTAGAATTTTCCACTTGCAAATTCCACAAAAAGAGTGTTTCCAATCCGCTCTGTCTAAAGGAAGGTTCAACTCTCTGATTTGAATACATACATCCCAAAAGAAGTTACTGAGAATTCTTCTGTCTAGCATTATGTGAAGAAATCCCGTTTCCAACGAAAGCCTCAAAGAGGTCCAAATATCCAGTTGCAGAATTTACAAACTGACTGTTTCCAAACTCATCTATGAAAAGAAAGGTTAAACTCTGTGAGTTGAATGCA
Organism: Homo sapiens; assembly: GCF_000001405.40. NCBI lineage: Eukaryota > Metazoa > Chordata > Mammalia > Primates > Hominidae > Homo > Homo sapiens. The sequence goes on along the minus strand of NC_000003.12, from coordinate 92,784,076 downwards.
CATATCACAAAGTAGTTCCTGAGAATGATTCTGTCTAGTTTTCATACGAAGATATTTCCTTTTCCACCAATGGCCTCAAAGTGCTTGAAATCTCCCCTTGCAAATTCCACAGACAAGTGTTTCAAATCTGCACTGTCTAAAGGAAGGTCCAACCCTGTGAGTTGAATACACACACACAGAAAAAAATTCACTGAGAATTCTATTGTCTATCATTACACGAAGAAATCCCGTTTACTACGAAGGCCTCAAAGAGGTCCAAATATCCAGCTGCAGACATTACAAACTGAGTGTTTCCAAAGTGCTCTATGAAAAGAAGTGTTAAACACTGTGAGTTCAATGCACACATCCCAAAGCAGTTTCTGAGAATGATTCCGTCTATTTTTTCTACGAAGATATTTCCTTTTCTACCGTGGGCCTCAAAGCGCTTGAAATCTCCACTTGCAAATTCCACAAAAAGAGAGTTTCAAATCTGCTCTGTCTAAAGGAAGGTTCAACTCTGTGAGTTGAATACACACCACAAAAAGAAGTTACTGAGAATTCTTCTGTCTAGCATTATATGAAAAATCCCGTTTCCAACGAAGGCCACAAAGAGGTCCAAATATCCACTTGCAGATTCTGCAAAAAGAGTGTTTCCAAACTGCTCTATGAAAAGAAACGTTAAACTCTGTGAGTTGAACGCAAACATCACAAAGTAGTTTCTGAGAATGACTCCGTCTAGTTTTTATACGAAGATATTTCCTTTCCTACCATTCACTTCAAAGCGCTTGAAGTCTCCCCCTGAAAATTCCACAAAAAGTGTTTCCAATCTGCTCCGCCTAAAGGAAGCTTCAACTCTGTGAGTTGAATACCCACAACCCAAAGAAGTTACTGAGAATTCTTTTGTCAAGAATTATAAGAAGAAATCCCGTTTCCAACGAAGGCCTCAAATACATCCAAATATCCAGTTGCTGACTTTACAAACTGAGTGTTTCCAAACTGCTCTATGAAAAGAAAGGTTAAACACTGTGAGTTGAACACACACGTACCAAAGTAGTTTCTGAGAATGATTCTGTCTAGTTTGCATACGAAGATATTTCCTTTTCTACCATTGGCCTCAAAGCTCTGAAATCTCCACTTGCAAATTCCACAAAAAGAGAGTTTCAAATCTGCTGTTTCTAAAGGAAAGTTCAACTCTGAGAGTTGAATACACACCAGAAAAAGCAGTTACTGAGAAGTCTTCTGTCTAGCATTATATGAAGAAATCCCATTTCCAACGAAGACTTCAAAGAGGTCCAAATATCCACTTGCAGATTCTGCAAAAAGAGTGTTTCGAAACAACTGTATGAAAAGAAAGGTTAAACACTGTGAGTTGAACGCACACATTGCAAAGCAGTTTCTGAGAATGATTCCGTCTAATTATTATACGAAGGTATTTCCTTTTCTATCATTGGCCTCAAAGCGCTTGATACCTCCACCTGAAAATTCCACAGAAAGAGTGTTTCCAATCTACTCTGTCTAAAGGAACGTTCAACTCCGTGAGTTGAATACACACACACAGAAAGAATTCACTGAGAATTCTTCTGTCTGGCATTACATGAAGAAATCCCGTTTCCAACGAAGGCCTCAAAGAGGTCCAAATATCCACTTGCAGATTCTGCAAAAAGAGTGTTTCAAAACCGCTCCATTAAAAGGAATGTTGAACTCTGTGAGTTGAATGCAAACATCACAACTCAGTTGCTGAGAATGCTTCTGACTAGATTTTATGGTAAGATATTTCCTTTTCTACCGTAGGCTTCAATGCCCTCTAAATACACCCTTGCAAATTCTACAAAGAGACTGTTTCATAACTGCTCTACAGGAAGAAAGGTTCAACTCTGTGAGTTGAATGCAGAGATCACAACGTGGTTTCTGCGAATGATTCTTTGTAGATTTTACATGAAGATATTTCGTTGTCAACCGTAGGCTTCAAAGCACTCAAAGTATTCACTTGGAACTTTTACAAAAAGAGTGTTAGAAAACTGCTCTTTCCAAAGTAAGGTTCAACTCTGTGAGTTGAATGCACACATAACAATCAAGAAGTTTCTGAGAATTCTTCTGTCCTGGTTTATATGAAGAAATCCCGTTTCCAACGAAGGCCTCAAAGACGTTTAAATATCCACTTGCAGACTTCACAAACAGAGTGTTTCCAAACTGCTCTATGAAAACAAAGGTTAAACTCTGTGAGTTGAACGCACACATCACAAAGTAGCTACTGAGAATGATACTGTCTAGTTTTTATACGAAGATATTTCCTTTCTACCATTGGCGTCAAAGCGCTAGAATTCTCCACTTGCAAATTCCACAAAAAGAGTGTTTCCAATCTGCTCTGTCTAAAGGAAGGTTCAACTCTGTGAGTTGAATACACACACACAAAGAAGCTACTGAGAATTCTTTTGTCAAGAATTATAAGAAGAAATCCCGTTTCCAACGAAGGCCTCAAAGAGTTCCAAATATCCACTTGCACACTGCACAAACTAAGTCTTTCCAAACTGCTCTATGCAAAGAAATGTTCAACTCTGTGAGTTTAATACACACATCACAAAGCAGTTTCTGAGAATGATACTGTCTAGTTTTTATACGAAGATATTTCCTTTTGTACCATTGGCCTCATACTGCTAGAATTTTCCACTTGCAAATTCCACAAAAAGAGTGTTTCCAATCCGCTCTGTCTAAAGGAAGGTTCAACTCTCTGATTTGAATACATACATCCCAAAAGAAGTTACTGAGAATTCTTCTGTCTAGCATTATGTGAAGAAATCCCGTTTCCAACGAAAGCCTCAAAGCGGTCCAAATATCCAGTTGCAGAATTTACAAACTGACTGTTTCCAAACTCATCTATGAAAAGAAAGGTTAAACTCTGTGAGTTGAATGCACATATCACAAAGTAGTTCCTGAGAATGATTCTGTCTAGTTTTTATATGAAGATATTTCCTTTTCCACCAATGGCCTCAAAGTGCTTGAAATCTCCCCTTGCAAATTCCACAGACAAGTGTTTCAAATCTGCACTGTCTAAAGGAAGGTTCAACCCTGTGAGTTGAATACACACACACAGAAAAAAATTCACTGAGAATTCTATTGTCTATCATTACACGAAGAAATCCCGTTTACTACGAAGGCCTCAAAGAGGTCCAAATATCCAGCTGCAGACATTACAAACTGAGTGTTTCCAAAGTGCTCTATGAAAAGAAGTGTTAAACACTGTGAGTTCAATGCACACATCCCAAAGCAGTTTCTGAGAATGATTCCGTCTATTTTCTCTACGAAGATATTTCCTTTTCTACCGTTGGCCTCAAAGCGCTTGAAATCTCCACTTGCAAATTCCACAAAAAGAGAGTTTCAAATCTGCTCTGTCTAAAGGAAGGTTCAACTCTGTGAGTTGAATACACACCACAAAAAGAAGTTACTGAGAATTCTTCTGTCTAGCATTATATGAAAAATCCCGTTTCCAACGAAGGCCACAAAGAGGTCCAAATATCCACTTGCAGATTCTGCAAAAAGAGTGTTTCCAAACTGCTCTATGAAAAGAAACGTTAAACTCTGTGAGTTGAACGCAAACATCACAAAGTAGTTTCTGAGAATGACTCCGTCTAGTTTTTATACGAAGATATTTCCTTTCCTACCATTCACTTCAAAGCGCTTGAAGTCTCCCCCTGAAAATTCCACAAAAAGTGTTTCCAATCTGCTCCGCCTAAAGGAAGCTTCAACTCTGTGAGTTGAATACCCACAACCCAAAGAAGTTACTGAGAATTCTTCTGTCTAGCATTATATGAAGAAATCCCGTTTCCAACGAAGGCCTCAAATACATCCAGATATCCAGTTGCTGACTTTACAAACTGAGTGTTTCCAAACTGCTCTATGAAAGGAAAGGTTGAACACTGTGAGTTGAACACACACGTACCAAAGTAGTTTCTGAGAATGATTCTGTCTAGTTTGCATACGAAGATATTTCCTTTTCTACCATTGGCCTCAAAGCTCTGAAATCTCCACTTGCAAATTCCACAAAAAGAGAGTTTCAAATCTGCTGTTTCTAAAGGAAAGTTCAACTCTGAGAGTTGAATACACACCAGAAAAAGCAGTTACTGAGAAGTCTTCTGTCTAGCATTATATGAAGAAATCCCATTTCCAACGAAGACTTCAAAGAGGTCCAAATATCCACTTGCAGATTCTGCAAAAAGAGTGTTTCGAAACAACTGTATGAAAAGAAAGGTTAAACACTGTGAGTTGAACGCACACATTGCAAAGCAGTTTCTGAGAATGATTCCGTCTAATTATTATACGAAGGTATTTCCTTTTCTATCATTGGCCTCAAAGCGCTTGATACCTCCACCTGAAAATTCCACAAAAAGAGTGTTTCCAATCTACTCTCTCTAAAGGAACGTTCAACTCTGTGAGTTGAATACACACACACAGAAAGAATTCACTGAGAATTCTTCTGTCTGGCATTACATGAAGAAATCCCGTTTCCAACGAAGGCCTCAAAGAGGTCCAAATATCCACTTGCAGATTCTGCAAAAAGAGTGTTTCAAAACCGCTCCATTAAAAGGAATGTTGAACTCTGTGAGTTGAATGCAAACATCACAACTCAGTTGCTGAGAATGCTTCTGACTAGATTTTATGGTAAGATATTTCCTTTTCTACCGTAGGCTTCAATGCCCTCTAAATACACCCTTGCAAATTCTACAAAGAGTCTGTTTCATAACTGCTCTATAGGAAGAAAGGTTCAACTCTGTGAGTTGAATGCAGAGATCACAACGTGGTTTCTGCGAATGATTCTTTGTAGTTTTTACATGAAGATATTTCGTTGTCAACCGTAGGCTTCAAAGCACTCAAAGTATTCACTTGGAACTTTTACAAAAAGAGTGTTAGAAAACTGCTCTTTCCAAAGTAAGGTTCAACTCTGTGAGTTGAATGCACACATAACAATCAAGAAGTTTCTGAGAATTCTTCTGTCCTGGTTTATATGAAGAAATCCCGTTTCCAACGAAGGCGTCAAAGACGTTCAAATATCCACTTGCAGACTTCATAAACAGAGTGTTTCCAAACTGCTCTATGAAAAGAAAGGTTAAACTCTGAGTTGAACACACACATCACAAAGTAGTTTCTGAGAATGATACTGTTTAGTTTTTATACGAAGATATTTCCTTTTCTACCATTGACCTCAAATCGTAGAATTCTCCACTTGCAAATTCCACCAAAAGGGTGTTTCCAATCTGCTCTGTCTAAAGGAAGGTTCAACTCTGTGAGTTGAATACACACACACAAAGAAGCTACTGAGAATTCTTTTGTCAAGAATTATAAGAAATCCCGTTTCCAACGAAGGCCTCAAAGAGTTCCAAATATCCACTTGCAGACTGTACAAACTAAGTCTTTCCAAACTGCTCTATGAAAAAGAAATGTTCAACTCTGTGAGTTTAATGCACACATCACAAAGCAGTTTCTGAGAATGATTCCGTCTAGTTTTTATACGAAGATAGCCTTTTCTACCATTGGCCTCAAAGCTCTTGAAATCTCCACCTGAAAATTCGGCAAAAAGAGGGTTTCCAATCTGCTCTGTCTAAAGGAAGGTTCAACTCTCTGAGTTGAATACACACAACCCATAAGAAGTTACTTAGAATTCTTCTGTCTAGAATTATGTGAAGAAATCCCGTTTCCAACGAAAGCCTCAAAGAGGTCCAAATATCCAGTTGCAGAATTACAAACTGAGTGTTTCCAAACTCCTCTATGAAAAGAAAGGTTAAACTCTGTGAGTTGAATGCACATATCACAAACTAGTTCCTGAGAATGATTCTGTCTACTTTTTATACGAACATATTTCCTTTTCCGCCACTGGCCTCAAGGTGCTTGAAATCTCCCCTTGCAAATTCCACAAAAAGTGTTTCAACTCTGCACTGTCTAAAGGAAAGTTCAACCCTGTGAGTTGAATACACACACAAAAAAAAAATTCACTGAGAATTCTACTGTCAATCATTACACGAAGAAATCCCGTTTACTGCGAAGGCCTCAAAGAGGTCCAAATATCCAGTTGCAAACCTTACAAACTGAGTGTTTCCAAAGTGCTCTATGAAAAGAAGTGTTAAACACTGTGAGTTGAACGCACACATCACAAAGTAGTTTCTGAGAATGATACTGTCTAGTTTTTATACGAAGATATTTCCTTTTGTACCATTGGCCTCATACTGCTAGAAATTTCCACTTGCAAATTCCACAAAAAGAGTGTTTCCAATCTGCTCTGTCTAAAGGAAGGTTCAACTCTGTGAGTTGAGTACACACACACAAAGAAGCTACTGAGAATTCTTTTGTCAAGAATTATAAGAAGAAATCCCGTTTCCAACGAAGGCCTCAAAGAGTTCCAAATATCCACTTGCACACTGCACAAACTAAGTCTTTCCAAACTGCTCTATGCAAAGAAATGTTCAACTCCGTGAGTTTAATACACACATCACAAAGCAGTTTCTGAGAATGATTGCTGTCTAGTTTTTATACGAAGGATATTTCCTTTTGTACCATTGGCCTCATACTGCTATAATTTTCCACTTGCAAATTCCACAAAAAGAGTGTTTCCCATCCGCTCTGTCTAAAGGAAGGTTCAACTCTCTGATTTGAATACATACATCCCAAAATAAGTTACTGAGAATTCTTCTGTCTAGCATTATGTGAAGAAATCCCGTTTCCAACGAAAGCCTCAAAGAGGCCCAAATATCCAGTTGCAGCATTTACAAACTGACTGTTTCCAAACTCATCTATGAAAAGAAAGGTTAAACTCTGTGAGTTGAATGCACATATCACAAAGTAGTTCCTGAGAATGATTCTGTCTAGTTTTTATACGAAGATATTTCCTTTTCCACCAATGGCCTCAAAGTGCTTGAAATCTCCCCTTGCAAATTCCACAGACAAGTGTCTCAAATCTGCACTGTCTAAAGGAAGGTTCAACCCTGTGAGTTGAATACACACACACAGAAAAAAATTCACTGAGAATTCTATTGTCTATCATTACACGAAGAAATCCCGTTTACTACGAAGGCCTCAAAGAGGTCCAAATATCCAGCTGCAGACATTACAAACTGAGTGTTTCCAAAGTGCTCTATGAAAAGAAGTGTTAAACACTGTGAGTTCAATGCACACATCCCAAAGCAGTTTCTGAGACTGATTCCGTCTATTTTTTCTACGAAGATATTTCCTTTTCTACCGTTGGCCTCAAAGCGCTTGAAATCTCCACTTGCAAATTCCACAAAAAGAGAGTTTCAAATCTGCTCTGTCTAAAGGAAGGTTCAACTCTGTGAGTTGAATACACACCACAAAAAGAAGTTACTGAGAATTCTTCTGTCTAGCATTATACGAAAAATCCCATTTCCAACGAAGGCCACAAAGAGGTCCAAATATCCACTTGCAGATTCTGCAAAAAGAGTGTTTCCAAACTGCTCTATGAAAAGAAACGTTAAACTCTGTGAGTTGAACGCAAACATCACAAAGTAGTTTCTGAGAATGACTCCGTCTAGTTTTTATACGAAGATATTTCCTTTCCTACCATTCACTTCAAAGCGCTTGAAGTCTCCCCCTGAAAATTCCACAAAAAGTGTTTCCAATCTGCTCCGCCTAAAGGAAGCTTCAACTCTGTGAGTTGAATACCCACAACCCAAAGAAGTTACTGAGAATTCTTCTGTCTAGCATTATATGAAGAAATCCCGTTTCCAACGAAGGCCTCAAATACATCCAAATATCCAGTTGCTGACTTTACAAACTGAGTGTTTCCAAACTGCTCTATGAAAAGAAAGGTTAAACACTGTGAGTTGAACACACACGTACCAAAGTAGTTTCTGAGAATGATTCTGTCTAGTTTGCATACGAAGATATTTCCTTTTCTACCATTGGCCTCAAAGCTCTGAAATCTCCACTTGCAAATTCCACAAAAAGAGAGTTTCAAATCTGCTGTTTCTAAAGGAAAGTTCAACTCTGAGAGTTGAATACACACCAGAAAAAGCAGTTACTGAGAAGTCTTCTGTCTAGCATTATATGAAGAAATCCCATTTCCAACGAAGACTTCAAAGAGGTCCAAATATCCACTTGCAGATTCTGCAAAAAGAGTGTTTCGAAACAACTGTATGAAAAGAAAGGTTAAACACTGTGAGTTGAACGCACACATTGCAAAGCGGTTTCTGAGAATGATTCCGTCTAATTATTATACGAAGGTATTTCCTTTTCTATCATTGGCCTCAAAGCGCTTGATACCTCCACCTGAAAATTCCACAAAAAGAGTGTTTCCAATCTACTCTGTCTAAAGGAACGTTCAACTCTGTGAGTTGAATACACACACACAGAAAGAATTCACTGAGAATTCTTCTGTCTGGCATTACATGAAGAAATCCCGTTTCCAACGAAGGCCTCAAAGAGGTCCAAATATCCACTTGCAGATTCTGCAAAAAGAGTGTTTCAAAACCGCTCCATTAAAAGGAATGTTGAACTCTGTGAGTTGAATGCAAACATCACAACTCAGTTTCTGAGAATGCTTCTGACTAGATTTTATGGTAAGATATTTCCTTTTCTACCGTAGGCTTCAATGCCCTCTAAATACACCCTTGCAAATTCTACAAAGAGACTGTTTCATAACTGCTCTATAGGAAGAAAGGTTGAACTCTGTGAGTTGAATGCAGAGATCACAACGTGGTTTCTGCGAATGATTCTTTGTAGTTTTTACATGAAGATATTTCGTTGTCAACCGTAGGCTTCAAAGCACTCAAAGTATTCACTTGGAACTTTTACAAAAAGAGTGTTAGAAAACTGCTCTTTCCAAAGTAAGGTTCAACTCTGTGAGTTGAATGCACACATAACAATCAAGAAGTTTCTGAGAATTCTTCTGTCCTGGTTTATATGAACAAATCCCGTTTCCAACGAAGGCCTCAAAGACGTTTAAATATCCACTTGCAGACTTCACAAACAGAGTGTTTCCAAACTGCTCTATGAAAAGAAATGTTAAACTCTGTGAGTTGAACGCACACATCACAAACTAGTTTCTGAGAATGATAACTGTCTAGTTTTTATACGAAGATATTTCCTTTCTACCATTGGCGTCAAAGCGCTAGAATTCTCCACTTGCAAATTCCACAAAAAGAGTGTTTCCAATCTGCTCTGTCTAAAGGAAGGTTCAACTCTGTGAGTTGAATACACACACACAAAGAAGCTACTGAGAATTCTTTTGTCAAGAATTATAAGAAGAAATCCCGTTTCCAACGAAGGCCTCAAAGAGTTCCAAATATCCACTTGCACACTGCACAAACTAAGTCTTTCCAAACTGCTCTATGCAAAGAAATGTTCAACTCTGTGAGTTTAATACACACATCACAAAGCAGTTTCTGAGAATGATACTGTCTAGTTTTTATACGAAGATATTTCCTTTTGTACCATTGGCCTCATACTGCTAGAATTTTCCACTTGCAAATTCCACAAAAAGAGTGTTTCCAATCCGCTCTGTCTAAAGGAAGGTTCAACTCTCTGATTTGAATACATACATCCCAAAAGAAGTTACTGAGAATTCTTCTGTCTAGCATTATGTGAAGAAATCCCGTTTCCAACGAAAGCCTCAAAGAGGTCCAAATATCCAGTTGCAGAATTTACAAACTGACTGTTTCCAAACTCATCTATGAAAAGAAAGGTTAAACTCTGGGAGTTGAATGCACATATCACAAAATAGTTCCTGAGAATGATTCTGTCTAGTTTTTATACGAAGATATTTCCTTTTCCACCAATGGCCTCAAAGTGCTTGAAATCTCCCCTTGCAAATTCCACAGACAAGTGTTTCAAATCTGCACTGTCTAAAGGAAGGTTCAACCCTGTGAGTTGAATACACACACACAGAAAGAAATTCACTGAGAATTCTATTGTCTATCATTACACGAAGAAATCCCGTTTACTACGAAGGCCTCAAAGAGGTCCAAATATCCAGCTGCAGACATTACAAACTGAGTGTTTCCAAAGTGCTCTATGAAAAGAAGTGTTAAACACTGTGAGTTCAATGCACACATCCCAAAGCAGTTTCTGAGAATGATTCCGTCTATTTTTTCTACGAAGATATTTCCTTTTCTGCCGTTGGCCTCAAAGCGCTTGAAATCTCCACTTGCAAATTCCACAAAAAGAGAGTTTCAAATCTGCTCTGTCTAAAGGAAGGTTCAACTCTGTGAGTTGAATACACACCACAAAAAGAAGTTACTGAGAATTCTTCTGTCTAGCATTATATGAAAAATCCCGTTTCCAACGAAGGCCACAAAGAGGTCCAAATATCCACTTGCAGATTCTGCAAAAAGAGTGTTTCCAAACTGCTCTATGAAAAGAAACGTTAAACTCTGTGAGTTGAACGCAAACATCACAAAGTAGTTTCTGAGAATGACTCCGTCTAGTTTTTATACGAAGATATTTCCTTTCCTACCATTCACTTCAAAGCGCTTGAAGTCTCCCCCTGAAAATTCCACAAAAAGTGTTTCCAATCTGCTCTGCCTAAAGGAAGCTTCAACTCTGTGACTTGAATACCCACAACCCAAAGAAGTTACTGAGAATTCTTCTGTCTAGCATTATATGAAGAAATCCCGTTTCCAACGAAGGCCTCAAATACATCCAAATATCCAGTTGCTGACTTTACAAACTGAGTGTTTCCAAACTGCTCTATGAAAAGAAAGGTTAAACACTGTGAGTTGAACACACACGTACCAAAGTAGTTTCTGAGAATGATTCTGTCTAGTTTGCATACGAAGATATTTCCTTTTCTACCATTGGCCTCAAAGCTCTGAAATCTCCACTTGCAAATTCCACAAAAAGAGAGTTTCAAATCTGCTGTTTCTAAAGGAAAGTTCAACTCTGAGAGTTGAATACACACCAGAAAAAGCAGTTACTGAGAAGTCTTCTGTCTAGCATTATATGAAGAAATCCCATTTCCAACGAAGACTTCAAAGAGGTCCAAATATCCACTTGCAGATTCTGCAAAAAGAGTGTTTCGAAACAACTGTATGAAAAGAAAGGTTAAACACTGTGAGTTGAACGCACACATTGCAAAGCGGTTTCTGAGAATGATTCCGTCTAATTATTATACGAAGGTATTTCCTTTTCTATCACTGGCCTCAAAGCGCTTGATACCTCCACCTGAAAATTCCACAAAAAGAGTGTTTCCAATCTACTCTGTCTAAAGGAACGTTCAACTCTGTGAGTTGAATACACACACACAGAAAGAATTCACTGAGAATTCTTCTGTCTGGCATTACATGAAGAAATCCCGTTTCCAACGAAGGCCTCAAAGCAGGTCCAAATATCCACTTGCAGATTCTGCAAAAAGAGTGTTTCAAAACCGCTCCATTAAAAGGAATGTTGAACTCTGTGAGTTGAATGGAAACATCACAACTCAGTTGCTGAGAATGCTTCTGACTAGATTTTATGGTAAGATATTTCCTTTTCTACCGTAGGCTTCAATGCCCTCTAAATACACCCTTGCAAATTCTACAAAGAGACTGTTTCATAACTGCTCTATAGGAAGAAAGGTTGAACTCTGTGAGTTGAATGCAGAGATCACAACGTGGTTTCTGCGAATGATTCTTTGTAGTTTTTACATGAAGATATTTCGTTGTCAACCGTAGGCTTCAAAGCACTCAAAGTATTCACTTGGAACTTTTACAAAACGAGTGTTAGGAAACTGCTCTTTCCAAAGTAAGGTTCAACTCTGTGAGTTGAATGCACACATAACAATCAAGAAGTTTCTGAGAATTCTTCTGTCCTGGTTTATATGAAAAAATCCCGTTTCCAACGAAGGCCTCAAAGACGTTTAAATATCCACTTGCAGACTTCACAAACAGAGGGTTTCCAAACTGCTCTATGAAAAGAAAGGTTAAACTCTGTGAGTTGAACGCACACATCACAAAGTAGCTTCTGAGAATGATACTGTCTAGTTTTTATACGAAGATATTTCCTTTCTACCATTGGCGTCAAAGCGCTAGAATTCTCCACTTGCAAATTCCACAAAAAGAGTGTTTCCAATCTGCTCTGTCTAAAGGAAGGTTCAACTCTGTGAGTTGAATACACACACACAAAGAAGCTACTGAGAATTCTTTTTTCAAGAAATTATAAGAAGAAATCCCGTTTCCAACGAAGGCCTCAAAGAGTTCCAAATATCCACTTGCACACTGCACAAACTAAGTCTTTCCAAACTGCTCTATGCAAAGAAATGTTCAACTCTGTGAGTTTAATACACACATCACAAAGCAGTTTCTGAGAATGATACTGTCTAGTTTTTATACGAAGATATTTCCTTTTGTACCATTGGCCTCATACTGCTAGAATTTTCCACTTGCAAATTCCACAAAAAGAGGGTTTCCAATCCGCTCTGTCTAAAGGAAGGTTCAACTCTCTGATTTGAATACATACATCCCAAAAGAAGTTACTGAGAATTCTTCTGTCTAGCATTATGTGAAGAAATCCCGTTTCCAACGAAAGCCTCAAAGAGGTCCAAATATCCAGTTGCAGAATTTACAAACTGACTGTTTCCAAACTCATCTATGAAAAGAAAGGTTAAACTCTGGGAGTTGAATGCACATATCACAAAGTAGTTCCTGAGAATGATTCTGTCTAGTTTTCATACGAAGATATTTCCTTTTCCACCAATGGCCTCAAAGTGCTTGAAATCTCCCCTTGCAAATTCCACAGACAAGTGTTTCAAATCTGCACTGTCTAAAGGAAGGTTCAACCCTGTGAGTTGAATACACACACACAGAAAAAAATTCACTGAGAATTCTATTGTCTATCATTACACGAAGAAATCCCGTTTACTACGAAGGCCTCAAAGAGGTCCAAATATCCAGCTGCAGACATTACAAACTGAGTGTTTCCAAAGTGCTCTATGAAAAGAAGTGTTAAACACTGTGAGTTCAATGCACACATCCCAAAGCAGTTTCTGAGAATGATTCCGTCTATTTTTTCTACGAAGTATATTTCCTTTTCTGCCGTTGGCCTCAAAGCGCTTGAAATCTCCACTTGCAAATTCCACAAAAAGAGAGGTTCAAATCTGCTCTGTCTAAAGGAAGGTTCAACTCTGTGAGTTGAATACACACCACAAAAAGAAGTTACTGAGAATTCTTCTGTCTAGCATTATATGAAAAATCCCGTTTCCAACGAAGGCCACAAAGAGGTCCAAATATCCACTTGCAGATTCTGCAAAAAGAGTGTTTCCAAACTGCTCTATGAAAAGAAACGTTAAACTCTGTGAGTTGAACGCAAACATCACAAAGTAGTTTCTGAGAATGACTCCGTCTAGTTTTTATACGAAGATATTTCCTTTCCTACCATTCACTTCAAAGCGCTTGAAGTCTCCCCCTGAAAATTCCACAAAAAGTGTTTCCAATCTGCTCCGCCTAAAGGAAGCTTCAACTCTGTGACTTGAATACCCACAACCCAAAGAAGTTACTGAGAATTCTTCTGTCTAGCATTATATGAAGAAATCCCGTTTCCAACGAAGGCCTCAAATACATCCAAATATCCAGTTGCTGACTTTACAAACTGAGTGTTTCCAAACTGCTCTATGAAAAGAAAGGTTAAACACTGTGAGTTGAACACACACGTACCAAAGTAGTTTCTGAGAATGATTCTGTCTAGTTTGCATACGAAGATATTTCCTTTTCTACCATTGGCCTCAAAGCTCTGAAATCTCCACTTGCAAATTCCACAAAAAGAGAGTTTCAAATCTGCTGTTTCTAAAGGAAAGTTCAACTCTGAGAGTTGAATACACACCAGAAAAAGCAGTTACTGAGAAGTCTTCTGTCTAGCATTATATGAAGAAATCCCATTTCCAACGAAGACTTCAAAGAGGTCCAAATATCCACTTGCAGATTCTGCAAAAAGAGTGTTTCGAAACAACTGTATGAAAAGAAAGGTTAAACACTGTGAGTTGAACGCACACATTGCAAAGCGGTTTCTGAGAATGATTCCGTGTAATTATTATACGAAGGTATTTCCTTTTCTATCATTGGCCTCAAAGCGCTTGATACCTCCACCTGAAAATTCCACAAAAAGAGTGTTTCCAATCTACTCTGTCTAAAGGAACGTTCAACTCTGTGAGTTGAATACACACACACAGAAAGAATTCACTGAGAATTCTTCTGTCTGGCATTACATGAAGAAATCCCGTTTCCAACGAAGACCTCAAAGAGGTCCAAATATCCACTTGCAGATTCTGCAAAAAGAGTGTTTCAAAACCGCTCCATTAAAAGGAATGTTGAACTCTGTGAGTTGAATGCAAACATCACAACTCAGTTGCTGAGAATGCTTCTGACTAGATTTTATGGTAAGATATTTCCTTTTCTACCGTAGGCTTCAATGCCCTCTAAATACACCCTTGCAAATTCTACAAAGAGACTGTTTCATAACTGCTCTATAGGAAGAAAGGTTGAACTCTGTGAGTTGAATGCAGAGATCACAACGTGGTTTCTGCGAATGATTCTTTGTAGTTTTTACATGAAGATATTTCGTTGTCAACCGTAGGCTTCAAAGCACTCAAAGTATTCACTTGGAACTTTTACAAAAAGAGTGTTAGAAAACTGCTCTTTCCAAAGTAAGGTTCAACTCTGTGAGTTGAATGCACACATAACAATCAAGAAGTTTCTGAGAATTCTTCTGTCCTGGTTTATATGAAAAAATCCCGTTTCCAACGAAGGCCTCAAAGACGTTTAAATATCCACTTGCAGACTTCACAAACAGAGGGTTTCCAAACTGCTCTATGAAAAGAAAGGTTAAACTCTGTGAGTTGAACGCACACATCACAAAGTAGCTTCTGAGAATGATACTGTCTAGTTTTTATACGAAGATATTTCCTTTCTACCATTGGCGTCAAAGCGCTAGAATTCTCCACTTGCAAATTCCACAAAAAGAGTGTTTCCAATCTGCTCTGTCTAAAGGAAGGTTCAACTCTGTGAGTTGAATACACACACACAAAGAAGCTACTGAGAATTCTTTTGTCAAGAATTATAAGAAGAAATCCCGTTTCCAACCAAGGCCTCAAAGAGTTCCAAATATCCACTTGCACACTGCACAAACTAAGTCTTTCCATACTGCTCTATGCAAAGAAATGTTCAAATCTGTGAGTTTAATACACACATCACAAAGCAGTTTCTGAGAATGATACTGTCTAGTTTTTATACGAAGACATTTCCTTTTGTACCATTGGCCTCATACTGCTAGAATTTTCCACTTGCAAATTCCACAAAAAGAGTGTTTCCAATCCGCTCTGTCTAAAGGAAGGTTCAACTCTCTGATTTGAATACATACATCCCAAAAGAAGTTACTGAGAATTCTTCTGTCTAGCATTATGTGAAGAAATCCCGTTTCCAACGAAAGCCTCAAAGAGGCCCAAATATCCAGTTGCAGCATTTACAAACTGACTGTTTCCAAACTCATCTATGAAAAGAAAGGTTAAACTCTGTGAGTTGAATGCACATATCACAAAGTAGTTCCTGAGAATGATTCTGTCTAGTTTTTATACGAAGATATTTCCTTTTCCACCAATGGCCTCAAAGTGCTTGAAATCTCCCCTTGCAAATTCCACAGACAAGTGTCTCAAATCTGCACTGTCTAAAGGAAGGTTCAACCCTGTGAGTTGAATACACACACACAGAAAAAAATTCACTGAGAATTCTATTGTCTATCATTACACGAAGAAATCCCGTTTACTACGAAGGCCTCAAAGAGGTCCAAATATCCAGCTGCAGACATTACAAACTGAGTGTTTCCAAAGTGCTCTATGAAAAGAAGTGTTAAACACTGTGAGTTCAATGCACACATCCCACAGCAGTTTCTGAGAATGATTCCGTCTATTTTTTCTACGAAGATATTTCCTTTTCTACCGTTGGCCTCAAAGCGCTTGAAATCTCCACTTGCAAATTCCACAAAAAGAGAGTTTCAAATCTGCTCTGTCTAAAGGAAGGTTCAACTCTGTGAGTTGAATACACACCACAAAAAGAAGTTACTGAGAATTCTTCTGTCTAGCATTATATGAAAAATCCCCTTTCCAACGAAGGCCACAAAGAGGTCCAAATATCCACTTGCAGATTCTGCAAAAAGAGTGTTTCCAAACTGCTCTATGAAAAGAAATGTTAAACTCTGTGAGTTGAACGCAAACATCACAAAGTAGTTTCTGAGAATGACTCCGTCTAGTTTTTATACGAAGATATTTCCTTTTCTACCATTCACTTCAAAGCGCTTGAAGTCTCCCCCTGAAAATTCCACAAAAAGTGTTTCCAATCTGCTCCGCCTAAAGGAAGCTTCAACTCTGTGAGTTGAATACCCACAACCCAAAGAAGTTACTGAGAATTCTTCTGTCTAGCACTATATGAAGAAATCCCGTTTCCAACGAAGGCCTCAAATACATCCAAATATCCAGTTGCTGACTTTACAAACTGAGTGTTTCCAAACTGCTCTATGAAAAGAAAGGTTAAACACTGTGAGTTGAACACACACGTACCAAAGTAGTTTCTGAGAATGATTCTGTCTAGTTTGCATACGAAGATATTTCCTTTTCTACCATTGGCCTCAAAGCTCTGAAATCTCCACTTGCAAATTCCACAAAAAGAGAGTTTCAAATCTGCTGTTTCTAAAGGAAAGTTCAACTCTGGGAGTTGAATACACACCAGAAAAAGCAGTTACTGAGAAGTCTTCTGTCTAGCATTATATGAAGAAATCCCATTTCCAACGAAGACTTCAAAGAGGTCCAAATATCCACTTGCAGATTCTGCAAAAAGAGTGTTTCGAAACAACTGTATGAAAAGAAAGGTTAAACACTGTGAGTTGAACGCACACATTGCAAAGCAGTTTCTGAGAATGATTCCGTCTAATTATTATACGAAGGTATTTCCTTTTCTATCATTGGCCTCAAAGCGCTTGATACCTCCACCTGAAAATTCCACAAAAAGAGTGTTTCCAATCTACTCTGTCTAAAGGAACGTTCAACTCTGTGAGTTGAATACACACACACAGAAAGAATTCACTGAGAATTCTTCTGTCTGGCATTACATGAAGAAATCCCGTTTCCAACGAAGGCCTCAAAGAGGTCCAAATATCCACTTGCAGATTCTGCAAAAAGAGTGTTTCAAAACCGCTCCATTAAAAGGAATGTTGAACTCTGTGAGTTGAATGCAAACATCACAACTCAGTTTCTGAGAATGCTTCTGACTAGATTTTATGGTAAGATATTTCCTTTTCTACCGTAGGCTTCAATGCCCTCTAAATACACCCTTGCAAATTCTACAAAGAGACTGTTTCATAACTGCTCTATAGGAAGAAAGGTTCAACTCTGTGAGTTGAATGCAGAGATCACAACGTGGTTTCTGCAAATGATTCTTTGTAGTTTTTACATGAAGATATTTCGTTGTCAACCGTAGGCTTCAAAGCACTCAAAGTATTCACTTGGAACTTTTACAAAAAGAGTGTTAGAAAACTGCTCTTTCCAAAGTAAGGTTCAACTCTGTGAGTTGAATGCACACATAACAATCAAGAAGTTTCTGAGAATTCTTCTGTCCTGGTTTATATGAAAAAATCCCGTTTCCAACGAAGGCCTCAAAGACGTTTAAATATCCACTTGCAGACTTCACAAACAGAGTGTTTCCAAACTGCTCTATGAAAAGAAAGGTTAAACTCTGTGAGTTGAACGCACACATCACAAAGTAGCTTCTGAGAATGATACTGTCTAGTGTTTATACGAAGATATTTCCTTTCTACCATTGGCGTCAAAGCGCTAGAATTCTCCACTTGCAAATTCCACAAAAAGAGTGTTTCCAATCTGCTCTGTCTAAAGGAAGGTTCAACTCTGTGAGTTGAATACACACACACAAAGAAGCTACTGAGAATTCTTTTGTCAAGAATTATAAGAAGAAATCCCGTTTCCAACCAAGGCCTCAAAGAGTTCCAAATATCCACTTGCACACTGCACAAACTAAGTCTTTCCATACTGCTCTATGCAAAGAAATGTTCAAATCTGTGAGTTTAATACACACATCACAAAGCAGTTTCTGAGAATGATACTGTCTAGTTTTTATACGAAGATATTTCCTTTTGTACCATTGGCCTCATACTGCTAGAATTTTCCACTTGCAAATTCCACAAAAAGAGTGTTTCCAATCCGCTCTGTCTAAAGGAAGGTTCAACTCTGTGAGTTGAATACACACCACAAAAAGAAGTTACTGAGAATTCTTCTGTCCAGCATTATATGAAGAAATCCCGTTTCCAATGAAGACTTCAAAGAAGTCCAAAAAAATATCCACTTGAAGATTCTGCAAAAAGAGTGTTTCGAAACAACTGTATGAAAAGAAAGTTAAACTCTGTGAGTTCAACGCACACATTGCAAAGCAGTTTCTGAGAATGATTCCGTCTAGTTTTTATACGAAGCATATTTCCTTTCCTACCATTCACTTCAAAGCGCTTGAAGTCTCCCCCTGAAAATTCCACAAAAAGTGTTTCCAATCTGCTCCGCCTAAAGGAAGCTTCAACTCTGTGACTTGAATACCCACAACCCAAAGAAGTTACTGAGAATTCTTCTGTCTAGCATTATATGAAGAAATCCCGTTTCCAACGAAGGCCTCAAATACATCCAAATATCCAGTTGCTGACTTTACAAACTGAGTGTTTCCAAACTGCTCTATGAAAAGAAAGGTTAAACACTGTGAGTTGAACACACACGTACCAAAGTAGTTTCTGAGAATGATTCTGTCTAGTTTGCATACGAAGGATATTTCCTTTTCTACCATTGGCCTCAAAGCTCTGAAATCTCCACTTGCAAATTCCACAAAAAGAGAGTTTCAACTCTGCTGTTTCTAAAGGAAAGTTCAACTCTGAGAGTTGAATACACACCAGAAAAAGCAGTTACTGAGAAGTCTTCTGTCTAGCATTATATGAAGAAATCCCATTTCCAACGAAGACTTCAAAGAGGTCCAAATATCCACTTGCAGATTCTGCAAAAAGAGTGTTTCGAAACAACTGTATGAAAAGAAAGGTTAAACACTGTGAGTTGAACGCACACATTGCAAAGCAGTTTCTGAGAATGATTCCGTCTAATTATTATACGAAGGTATTTCCTTTTCTATCATTGGTCTCAAAGCGCTTGATACCTCCACC
Organism: Homo sapiens; assembly: GCF_000001405.40. Classification (NCBI taxonomy): domain Eukaryota; kingdom Metazoa; phylum Chordata; class Mammalia; order Primates; family Hominidae; genus Homo; species Homo sapiens. Next base: position 92,764,933 of record NC_000003.12, on the reverse strand, counting down.
TGAAAATTCCACAAAAAGAGTGTTTCCAATCTACTCTGTCTAAAGGAACGTTCAACTCTGTGAGTTGAATACACACACACAGAAAGAATTCACTGAGAATTCTTCTGTCTGGCATTACATGAAGAAATCCCGTTTCCAACGAAGGCCTCAAAGAGGTCCAAATATCCACTTGCAGATTCTGCAAAAAGAGTGTTTCAAAACCGCTCCATTAAAAGGAATGTTGAACTCTGTGAGTTGAATGCAAACATCACAACTCAGTTTCTGAGAATGCTTCTGACTAGATTTTATGGTAAGATATTTCCTTTTCTACCGTAGGCTTCAATGCCCTGTAAATACACCCTTGCAAATTCTACAAAGAGACTGTTTCATAACTGCTCTACAGGAGGAAAGGTTCAACTCTGTGAGTTGAATGCAGAGATCACAACGTGGTTTCTGCGAATGATTCTTTGTAGTTTTTACATGAAGATATTTCGTTGTCTACCGTAGGCTTCAAAGCACTCAAAGTATTCACTTGGAACTTTTACAAAAAGAGTGTTAGAAAACTGCTCTTTCCAAAGTAAGGTTCAACTCTGTGAGTTGAATGCACACATAACAAACAAGAAGTTTCTGAGAATTCTTCTGTCCTGGTTTATATGAAAAAATCCCGTTTCCAATGAAGGCCTCAAAGACGTTTAAATATCCACTTGCAGACTTCACAAACAGAGGGTTTCCAAACTGCTCTATGAAAAGAAAGGTTAAACTCTGTGAGTTGAACGCACACATCACAAAGTAGCTTCTGAGAATGATACTGTCTAGTTTTTATACGAAGATATTTCCTTTCTACCATTGGCGTCAAAGCGCTAGAATTCTCCACTTGCAAATTCCACAAAAAGAGTGTTTCCAATCTGCTCTGTCTAAAGGAAGGTTCAACTCTGTGAGTTGAATACACACACACAAAGAAGCTACTGAGAATTCTTTTGTCAAGAATTATAAGAAGAAATCCCGTTTCCAACGAAGGCCTCAAAGAGTTCCAAATATCCACTTGCACACTGCACAAACTAAGTCTTTCCAAACTGCTCTATGCAAAGAAATGTTCAACTCTGTGAGTTTAATACACACATCACAAAGCAGTTTCTGAGAATGATACTGTCTAGTTTTTATACGAAGATATTTCCTTTTGTACCATTGGCCTCATACTGCTAGAATTTTCCACTTGCAAATTCCACAAAAGAGTGTTTCCAATCCGCTCTGTCTAAAGGAAGGTTCAACTCTCTGATTTGAATACATACATCCCAAAAGAAGTTCCTGAGAATTCTTCTGTCTAGCATTATGTGAAGAAATCCCGTTTCCAACGAAAGCCTCAAAGAGGTCCAAATATCCAGTTGCAGAATTTACAAACTGACTGTTTCCAAACTCATCTATGAAAAGAAAGGTTAAACTCTGTGAGTTGAATGCACATATCACAAAGTAGTTCCTGAGAATGATTCTGTCTAGTTTTTATACGAAGATATTTCCTTTTCCACCAATGGCCTCAAAGTGCTTGAAATCTCCCCTTGCAAATTCCACAGACAAGTGTTTCAAATCTGCACTGTCTAAAGGAAGGTTCAACACTGTGAGTTGAATACACACACACAGAAAAAAATTCACTGAGAATTCTATTGTCTATCATTACACGAAGAAATCCCGTTTACCACAAAGGCCTCAAAGAGGTCCAAATATCCAGCTGCAGACATTACAAACTGAGTGTTTCCAAAGTGCTCTATGAAAAGAAGTGTTAAACACTGTGAGTTCAATGCACACATCCCAAAGCAGTTTCTGAGAATGATTCCGTCTATTTTTTCTACGAAGATATTTCCTTTTCTGCCGTTGGCCTCAAAGCGCTTGAAATCTCCACTTGCAAATTCCACAAAAAGAGAGTTTCAAATCTGCTCTGTCTAAAGGAAGGTTCAACTCTGTGAGTTGAATACACACCACAAAAAGAAGTTACTGAGAATTCTTCTGTCTAGCATTATATGAAAAATCCCGTTTCCAACGAAGGCCACAAAGAGGTCCAAATATCCACTTGCAGATTCTGCAAAAAGAGTGTTTCCAAACTGCTCTATGAAAAGAAACGTTAAACTCTGTGAGTTGAACGCAAACATCACAAAGTAGTTTCTGAGAATGACTCCGTCTAGTTTTTATACGAAGATATTTCCTTTTCTACCATTCACTTCAAAGCGCTTGAAGTCTCCCCCTGAAAATTCCACAAAAAGTGTTTCCAATCTGCTCCGCCTAAAGGAAGCTTCAACTCTGTGAGTTGAATACCCACAACCCAAAGAAGTTACTGAGAATTCTTCTGTCTAGCACTATATGAAGAAATCCCGTTTCCAACGAAGGCCTCAAATACATCCAAATATCCAGTTGCTGACTTTACAAACTGAGTGTTTCCAAACTGCTCTATGAAAAGAAAGGTTAAACACTGTGAGTTGAACACACACGTACCAAAGTAGTTTCTGAGAATGATTCTGTCTAGTTTGCATACGAAGATATTTCCTTTTCTACCATTGGCCTCAAAGCTCTGAAATCTCCACTTGCAAATTCCACAAAAAGAGAGTTTCAAATCTGCTGTTTCTAAAGGAAAGTTCAACTCTGAGAGTAGAATACACACCAGAAAAAGCAGTTACTGAGAAGTCTTCTGTCTAGCATTATATGAAGAAATCCCATTTCCAACGAAGACTTCAAAGAGGTCCAAATATCCACTTGCAGATTCTGCAAAAAGAGTGTTTCGAAACAACTGTATGAAAAGAAAGGTTAAACACTGTGAGTTGAACGCACACATTGCAAAGCGGTTTCTGAGAATGATTCCGTCTAATTATTATATGAAGGTATTTCCTTTTCTATCATTGGCCTCAAAGCGCTTGATACCTCCACCTGAAAATTCCACAAAAAGAGTGTTTCCAATCTACTCTGTCTAAAGGAACGTTCAACTCTGTGAGTTGAATACACACACACAGAAAGAATTCACTGAGAATTCTTCTGTCTGGCATTACATGAAGAAATCCCGTTTCCAACGAAGGCCTCAAAGAGGTCCAAATATCCACTTGCAGATTCTGCAAAAAGAGTGTTTCAAAACCGCTCCATTAAAAGGAATGTTGAACTCTGTGAGTTGAATGCAAACATCACAACTCAGTTGCTGAGAATGCTTCTGACTAGATTTTATGGTAAGATATTTCCTTTTCTACCGTAGGCTTCAATGCCCTCTAAATACACCCTTGCAAATTCTACAAAGAGACTGTTTCATAACTGCTCTATAGGAAGAAAGGTTGAACTCTGTGAGTTGAATGCAGAGATCACAACGTGGTTTCTGCGAATGATTCTTTGTAGTTTTTACATGAAGATATTTCGTTGTCAACCGTAGGCTTCAAAGCACTCAAAGTATTCACTTGGAACTTTTACAAAAAGAGTGTTAGAAAACTGCTCTTTCCAAAGTAAGGTTCAACTCTGTGAGTTGAATGCACACATAACAATCAAGAAGTTTCTGAGAATTCTTCTGTCCTGGTTTATATGAAAAAATCCCGTTTCCAACGAAGGCCTCAAAGACGTTTAAATATCCACTTGCAGACTTCACAAACAGAGGGTTTCCAAACTGCTCTATGAAAAGAAAGGTTAAACTCTGTGAGTTGAACGCACACATCACAAAGTAGCTTCTGAGAATGATACTGTCTAGTTTTTATACGAAGATATTTCCTTTTGTACCATTGGCCTCATACTGCTAGAATTTTCCACTTGCAAATTCCACAAAAAGAGTGTTTCCAATCTGCTCTGTCTAAAGGAAGGTTCAACTCTGTGAGTTGAGTACACACACACAAAGAAGCTACTGAGAATTCTTTGTCAAGAATTATAAGAAGAAATCCCGTTTCCAACGAAGGGCCTCAAAGAGTTCCAAATATCCACTTGCACACTGCACAAACTAAGTCTTTCCAAACTGCTCTATGCAAAGAAATGTTCAACTCTGTGAGTTTAATACACACATCACAAAGCAGTTTCTGAGAATGATACTGTCTAGTTTTTATACGAAGATATTTCCTTTTGTACCATTGGCCTCATACTGCTAGAATTTTCCACTTGCAAATTCCACAAAAAGAGTGTTTCCAATCCGCTCTGTCTAAAGGAAGGTTCAACTCTCTGATTTGAATACATACATCCCAAAAGAAGTTACTGAGAATTCTTCTGTCTAGCATTATGTGAAGAAATCCCGTTTCCAACGAAAGCCTCAAAGAGGTCCAAATATCCAGTTGCAGAATTTACAAACTGACTGTTTCCAAACTCATCTATGAAAAGAAAGGTTAAACTCTGGGAGTTGAATGCACATATCACAAAGTAGTTCCTGAGAATGATTCTGTCTAGTTTTCATACGAAGATATTTCCTTTTCCACCAATGGCCTCAAAGTGCTTGAAATCTCCCCTTGCAAATTCCACAGACAAGTGTTTCAAATCTGCACTGTCTAAAGGAAGGTTCAACCCTGTGAGTTGAATACACACACACAGAAAAAAATTCACTGAGAATTCTATTGTCTATCATTACACGAAGAAATCCCGTTTACCACGAAGGCCTCAAAGAGGTCCAAATATCCAGCTGCAGACATTACAAACTGAGTGTTTCCAAAGTGCTCTATGAAAAGAAGTGTTAAACACTGTGAGTTCAATGCACACATCCCAAAGCAGTTTCTGAGAATGATTCCGTCTATTTTCTCTACGAAGATATTTCCTTTTCTGCCGTTGGCCTCAAAGCGCTTGAAATCTCCACTTGCAAATTCCACAAAAAGAGAGTTTCAAATCTGCTCTGTCTAAAGGAAGGTTCAACTCTGTGAGTTGAATACACACCACAAAAAGAAGTTACTGAGAATTCTTCTGTCTAGCATTATATGAAAAATCCCGTTTCCAACGAAGGCCACAAAGAGGTCCAAATATCCACTTGCAGATTCTGCAAAAAGAGTGTTTCCAAACTGCTCTATGAAAAGAAACGTTAAACTCTGTGAGTTGAACGCAAACATCACAAAGTAGTTTCTGAGAATGACTCCGTCTAGTTTTTATACGAAGATATTTCCTTTCCTACCATTCACTTCAAAGCGCTTGAAGTCTCCCCCTGAAAATTCCACAAAAAGTGTTTCCAATCTGCTCCGCCTAAAGGAAGCTTCAACTCTGTGACTTGAATACCCACAACCCAAAGAAGTTACTGAGAATTCTTCTGTCTAGCATTATATGAAGAAATCCCGTTTCCAACGAAGGCCTCAAATACATCCAAATATCCAGTTGCTGACTTTACAAACTGAGTGTTTCCAAACTGCTCTATGAAAAGAAAGGTTAAACACTGTGAGTTGAACACACACGTACCAAAGTAGTTTCTGAGAATGATTCTGTCTAGTTTGCATACGAAGATATTTCCTTTTCTACCATTGGCCTCAAAGCTCTGAAATCTCCACTTGCAAATTCCACAAAAAGAGAGTTTCAAATCTGCTGTTTCTAAAGGAAAGTTCAACTCTGAGAGTTGAATACACACCAGAAAAAGCAGTTACTGAGAAGTCTTCTGTCTAGCATTATATGAAGAAATCCCATTTCCAACGAAGACTTCAAAGAGGTCCAAATATCCACTTGCAGATTCTGCAAAAAGAGTGTTTCGAAACAACTGTATGAAAAGAAAGGTTAAACACTGTGAGTTGAACGCACACATTGCAAAGCGGTTTCTGAGAATGATTGTCCGTCTAATTATTATACGAAGGTATTTCCTTTTCTATCATTGGCCTCAAAGCGCTTGATACCTCCACCTGAAAATTCCACAAAAAGAGTGTTTCCAATCTACTCTGTCTAAAGGAACGTTCAACTCTGTGAGTTGAATACACACACACAGAAAGAATTCACTGAGAATTCTTCTGTCTGGCATTACATGAAGAAATCCCGTTTCCAACGAAGGCCTCAAAGAGGTCCAAATATCCACTTGCAGATTCTGCAAAAAGAGTGTTTCAAAACCGCTCCATTAAAAGGAATGTTGAACTCTGTGAGTTGAATGCAAACATCACAACTCAGTTTCTGAGAATGCTTCTGACTAGATTTTATGGTAAGATATTTCCTTTTCTACCGTAGGCTTCAATGCCCTCTAAATACACCCTTGCAAATTCTACAAAGAGACTGTTTCATAACTGCTCTATAGGAAGAAAGGTTCAACACTGTGAGTTGAATGCAGAGATCACAACGTGGTTTCTGCGAATGATTCTTTGTAGTTTTTACATGAAGATATTTCGTTGTCAACCGTAGGCTTCAAAGCACTCAAAGTATTCACTTGGAACTTTTACAAAAAGAGTGTTAGAAAACTGCTCTTTCCAAAGTAAGGTTCAACTCTGTGAGTTGAATGCACACATAACAATCAAGAAGTTTCTGAGAATTCTTCTGTCCTGGTTTATATGAAAAAATCCCGTTTCCAACGAAGGCCTCAAAGACGTTTAAATATCCACTTGCAGACTTCACAAACAGAGGGTTTCCAAACTGCTCTATGAAAAGAAAGGTTAAACTCTGTGAGTTTAATACACACATCACAAAGCAGTTTCTGAGAATGATACTGTCTAGTTTTTATACGAAGATATTTCCTTTTGTACCATTGGCCTCATACTGCTAGAATTTTCCACTTGCAAATTCCACAAAAAGAGTGTTTCCAATCCGCTCTGTCTAAAGGAAGGTTCAACTCTCTGATTTGAATACATACATCCCAAAAGAAGTTACTGAGAATTCTTCTGTCTAGCATTATGTGAAGAAATCCCGTTTCCAACGAAAGCCTCAAAGAGGTCCAAATATCCAGTTGCAGAATTTACAAACTGACTGTTTCCAAACTCATCTATGAAAAGAAAGGTTAAACTCTGGGAGTTGAATGCACATATCACAAAGTAGTTCCTGAGAATGATTCTGTCTAGTTTTTATACGAAGATATTTCCTTTTCCACCAATGGCCTCAAAGTGCTTGAAATCTCCCCTTGCAAATTCCACAGACAAGTGTTTCAAATCTGCACTGTCTAAAGGAAGGTTCAACCCTGTGAGTTGAATACACACACACAGAAAAAAATTCACTGAGAATTCTATTGTCTATCATTACACGAAGAAATCCCGTTTACTACGAAGGCCTCAAAGAGGTCCAAATATCCAGCTGCAGACATTACAAACTGAGTGTTTCCAAAGTGCTCTATGAAAAGAAGTGTTAAACACTGTGAGTTCAATGCACACATCCCAAAGCAGTTTCTGAGAATGATTCCGTCTATTTTTTCTACGAAGATATTTCCTTTTCTGCCGTTGGCCTCAAAGCGCTTGAAATCTCCACTTGCAAATTCCACAAAAAGAGAGTTTCAAATCTGCTCTGTCTAAAGGAAGGTTCAACTCTGTGAGTTGAATACACACCACAAAAAGAAGTTACTGAGAATTCTTCTGTCTAGCATTATATGAAAAATCCCGTTTCCAACGAAGGCCACAAAGAGGTCCAAATATCCACTTGCAGATTCTGCAAAAAGAGTGTTTCCAAACTGCTCTATGAAAAGAAACGTTAAACTCTGTGAGTTGAACGCAAACATCACAAAGTAGTTTCTGAGAATGACTCCGTCTAGTTTTTATACGAAGATATTTCCTTTCCTACCATTCACTTCAAAGCGCTTGAAGTCTCCCCCTGAAAATTCCACAAAAAGTGTTTCCAATCTGCTCCGCCTAAAGGAAGCTTCAACTCTGTGAGTTGAATACCCACAACCCAAAGAAGTTACTGAGAATTCTTCTGTCTAGCACTATATGAAGAAATCCCGTTTCCAACGAAGGCCTCAAATACATCCAAATATCCAGTTGCTGACTTTACAAACTGAGTGTTTCCAAACTGCTCTATGAAAAGAAAGGTTAAACACTGTGAGTTGAACACACACGTACCAAAGTAGTTTCTGAGAATGATTCTGTCTAGTTTGCATACGAAGATATTTCCTTTTCTACCATTGGCCTCAAAGCTCTGAAATCTCCACTTGCGAATTCCACAAAAAGAGAGTTTCAAATCTGCTGTTTCTAAAGGAAAGTTCAACTCTGAGAGTTGAATACACACCAGAAAAAGCAGTTACTGAGAAGTCTTCTGTCTAGCATTATATGAAGAAATCCCATTTCCAACGAAGACTTCAAAGAGGTCCAAATATCCACTTGCAGATTCTGCAAAAAGAGTGTTTCGAAACAACTGTATGAAAAGAAAGGTTAAACACTGTGAGTTGAACGCACACATTGCAAAGCAGTTTCTGAGAATGATTCCGTCTAATTATTATACGAAGGTATTTCCTTTTCTATCATTGGCCTCAAAGCGCTTGATACCTCCACCTGAAAATTCCACAAAAAGAGTGTTTCCAATCTACTCTGTCTAAAGGAACGTTCAACTCTGTGAGTTGAATACACACACACAGAAAGAATTCACTGAGAATTCTTCTGTCTGGCATTACATGAAGAAATCCCGTTTCCAACGAAGGCCTCAAAGAGGTCCAAATATCCACTTGCAGATTCTGCAAAAAGAGTGTTTCAAAACCGCTCCATTAAAAGGAATGTTGAACTCTGTGAGTTGAATGCAAACATCACAACTCAGTTGCTGAGAATGCTTCTGACTAGATTTTATGGTAAGATATTTCCTTTTCTACCGTAGGCTTCAATGCCCTCTAAATACACCCTTGCAAATTCTACAAAGAGACTGTTTCATAACTGCTCTATAGGAAGAAAGGTTGAACTCTGTGAGTTGAATGCAGAGATCACAACGTGGTTTCTGCGAATGATTCTTTGTAGTTTTTACATGAAGATATTTCGTTGTCAACCGTAGGCTTCAAAGCACTCAAAGTATTCACTTGGAACTTTTACAAAAAGAGTGTTAGAAAACTGCTCTTTCCAAAGTAAGGTTCAACTCTGTGAGTTGAATGCACACATAACAATCAAGAAGTTTCTGAGAATTCTTCTGTCCTGGTTTATATGAAAAAATCCCGTTTCCAACGAAGGCCTCAAAGACGTTTAAATATCCACTTGCAGACTTCACAAACAGAGGGTTTCCAAACTGCTCTATGAAAAGAAAGGTTAAACTCTGTGAGTTGAACGCACACATCACAAAGTAGCTTCTGAGAATGATACTGTCTAGTTTTTATACGAAGATATTTCCTTTCTACCATTGGCATCAAAGCGCTAGAATTCTCCACTTGCAAATTCCACAAAAAGAGTGTTTCCAATCTGCTCTGTCTAAAGGAAGGTTCAACTCTGTGAGTTGAATACACACACACAAAGAAGCTACTGAGAATTCTTTTGTCAAGAATTATAAGAAGAAATCCCGTTTCCAACGAAGGCCTCAAAGAGTTCCAAATATCCACTTGCACACTGCACAAACTAAGTCTTTCCAAACTGCTCTATGCAAAGAAATGTTCAACTCTGTGAGTTTAATACACACATCACAAAGCAGTTTCTGAGAATGATACTGTCTAGTTTTTATACGAAGATATTTCCTTTTGTACCATTGGCCTCATATTGCTAGAATTTTCCACTTGCAAATTCCACAAAAAGAGTGTTTCCAATCCGCTCTGTCTAAAGGAAGGTTCAACTCTCTGATTTGAATACATACATCCCAAAAGAAGTTACTGAGAATTCTTCTGTCTAGCATTATGTGAAGAAATCCCGTTTCCAACGAAAGCCTCAAAGAGGTCCAAATATCCAGTTGCAGAATTTACAAACTGACTGTTTCCAAACTCATCTATGAAAAGAAAGGTTAAACTCTGTGAGTTGAATGCACATATCACAAAGTAGTTCCTGAGAATGATTCTGTCTAGTTTTTATACGAAGATATTTCCTTTTCCACCAATGGCCTCAAAGTGCTTGAAATCTCCCCTTGCAAATTCCACAGACAAGTGTTTCAAATCTGCACTGTCTAAAGGAAGGTTCAACCCTGTGAGTTGAATACACACACACAGAAAAAAATTCACTGAGAATTCTATTGTCTATCATTACACGAAGAAATCCCGTTTACTACGAAGGCCTCAAAGAGGTCCAAATATCCAGCTGCAGACATTACAAACTGAGTGTTTCCAAAGTGCTCTATGAAAAGAAGTGTTAAACACTGTGAGTTCAATGCACACATCCCAAAGCAGTTTCTGAGAATGATTCCGTCTATTTTTTCTACGAAGATATTTCCTTTTCTGCCGTTGGCCTCAAAGCGCTTGAAATCTCCACTTGCAAATTCCACAAAAAGAGAGTTTCAAATCTGCTCTGTCTAAAGGAAGGTTCAACTCTGTGAGTTGAATACACACCACAAAAAGAAGTTACTGAGAATTCTTCTGTCTAGCATTATATGAAAAATCCCGTTTCCAACGAAGGCCACAAAGAGGTCCAAATATCCACTTGCAGATTCTGCAAAAAGAGTGTTTCCAAACTGCTCTATGAAAAGAAACGTTAAACTCTGTGAGTTGAACGCAAACATCACAAAGTAGTTTCTGAGAATGACTCCGTCTAGTTTTTATACGAAGATATTTCCTTTCCTACCATTCACTTCAAAGCGCTTGAAGTCTCCCCCTGAAAATTCCACAAAAAGTGTTTCCAATCTGCTCCGCCTAAAGGAAGCTTCAACTCTGTGACTTGAATACCCACAACCCAAAGAAGTTACTGAGAATTCTTCTGTCTAGCACTATATGAAGAAATCCCGTTTCCAACGAAGGCCTCAAATACATCCAAATATCCAGTTGCTGACTTTACAAACTGAGTGTTTCCAAACTGCTCTATGAAAAGAAAGGTTAAACACTGTGAGTTGAACACACACGTACCAAAGTAGTTTCTGAGAATGATTCTGTCTAGTTTGCATACGAAGATATTTCCTTTTCTACCATTGGCCTCAAAGCTCTGAAATCTCCACTTGCAAATTCCACAAAAAGAGAGTTTCAAATCTGCTGTTTCTAAAGGAAAGTTCAACTCTGAGAGTTGAATACACACCAGAAAAAGCAGTTACTGAGAAGTCTTCTGTCTAGCATTATATGAAGAAATCCCATTTCCAACGAAGACTTCAAAGAGGTCCAAATATCCACTTGCAGATTCTGCAAAAAGAGTGTTTCGAAACAACTGTATGAAAAGAAAGGTTAAACACTGTGAGTTGAACGCACACATTGCAAAGCGGTTTCTGAGAATGATTCCGTCTAATTATTATACGAAGGTATTTCCTTTTCTATCATTGGCCTCAAAGCGCTTGATACCTCCACCTGAAAATTCCACAAAAAGAGTGTTTCCAATCTACTCTGTCTAAAGGAACGTTCAACTCTGTGAGTTGAATACACACACACAGAAAGAATTCACTGAGAATTCTTCTGTCTGGCATTACATGAAGAAATCCCGTTTCCAACGAAGGCCTCAAAGAGGTCCAAATATCCACTTGCAGATTCTGCAAAAAGAGTGTTTCAAAACCGCTCCATTAAAAGGAATGTTGAACTCTGTGAGTTGAATGCAAACATCACAACTCAGTTTCTGAGAATGCTTCTGACTAGATTTTATGGTAAGATATTTCCTTTTCTACCGTAGGCTTCAATGCCCTCTAAATACACCCTTGCAAATTCTACAAAGAGACTGTGTCATAACTGCTCTATAGGAAGAAAGGTTCAACTCTGTGAGTTGAATGCAGAGATCACAACGTGGTTTCTGCGAATGATTCTTTGTAGTTTTTACATGAAGATATTTCGTTGTCAACCGTAGGCTTCAAAGCACTCAAAGTATTCACTTGGAACTTTTACAAAAAGAGTGTTAGAAAACTGCTCTTTCCAAAGTAAGGTTCAACTCTGTGAGTTGAATGCACACATAACAATCAAGAAGTTTCTGAGAATTCTTCTGTCCTGGTTTATATGAAAAAATCCCGTTTCCAACGAAGGCCTCAAAGACGTTTAAATATCCACTTGCAGACTTCACAAACAGAGTGTTTCCAAACTGCTCTATGAAAAGAAAGGTTAAACTCTGTGAGTTGAACTGCACACATCACAAAGTAGTTTCTGAGAATGATACTGTCTAGTTTTTATACGAAGATATTTCCTTTTGTACCATTGGCCTCATACTGCTAGAATTTTCCACTTGCAAATTCCACAAAAAGAGTGTTTCCACTCTGCTCTGTCTAAAGGAAGGTTCAACTCTGTGAGTTGAGTACACACACACAAAGAAGCTACTGAGAATTCTTTTGTCAAGAATTATAAGAAGAAATCCCGTTTCCAACCAAGGCCTCAAAGAGTTCCAAATATCCACTTGCACACTGCACAAACTAAGTCTTTCCATACTGCTCTATGCAAAGAAATGTTCAAATCTGTGAGTTTAATACACACATCACAAAGCAGTTTCTGAGAATGATTACTGTCTAGTTTTTATACGAAGATATTTCCTTTTGTACCATTGGCCTCATACTGCTAGAATTTTCCACTTGCAAATTCCACAAAAAGAGTGTTTCCAATCCGCTCTGTCTAAAGGAAGGTTCAACTCTCTGATTTGAATACATACATCCCAAAAGAAGTTACTGAGAATTCTTCTGTCTAGCATTATGTGAAGAAATCCCGTTTCCAACGAAAGCCTCAAAGAGGTCCAAATATCCAGTTGCAGAATTTACAAACTGACTGTTTCCAAACTCATCTATGAAAAGAAAGGTTAAACTCTGTGAGTTGAATGCACATATCACAAAGTAGTTCCTGAGAATGATTCTGTCTAGTTTTTATACGAAGATATTTCCTTTTCCACCAATGGCCTCAAAGTGCTTGAAATCTCCCCTTGCAAATTCCACAGACAAGTGTTTCAAATCTGCACTGTCTAAAGGAAGGTTCAACCCTGTGAGTTGAATACACACACACAGAAACAAATTCACTGAGAATTCTATTGTCTATCATTACACGAAGAAATCCCGTTTACTACGAAGGCCTCAAAGAGGTCCAAATATCCAGCTGCAGACATTACAAACTGAGTGTTTCCAAAGTGCTCTATGAAAAGAAGTGTTAAACACTGTGAGTTCAATGCACACATCCCAAAGCAGTTTCTGAGAATGATTCCGTCTATTTTTTCTACGAAGATATTTCCTTTTCTGCCGTTGGCCTCAAAGCGCTTGAAATCTCCACTTGCAAATTCCACAAAAAGAGAGTTTCAAATCTGCTCTGTCTAAAGGAAGGTTCAACTCTGTGAGTTGAATACACACCACAAAAAGAAGTTACTGAGAATTCTTCTGTCTAGCATTATATGAAAAATCCCGTTTCCAACGAAGGCCACAAAGAGGTCCAAATATCCACTTGCAGATTCTGCAAAAAGAGTGTTTCCAAACTGCTCTATGAAAAGAAACGTTAAACTCTGTGAGTTGAACGCAAACATCACAAAGTAGTTTCTGAGAATGACTCCGTCTAGTTTTTATACGAAGATATTTCCTTTCCTACCATTCACTTCAAAGCGCTTGAAGTCTCCCCCTGAAAATTCCACAAAAAGTGTTTCCAATCTGCTCCGCCTAAAGGAAGTTTCAACTCTGTGACTTGAATACCCACAACCCAAAGAAGTTACTGAGAATTCTTCTGTCTAGCATTATATGAAGAAATCCCGTTTCCAACGAAGGCCTCAAATACATCCAAATATCCAGTTGCTGACTTTACAAACTGAGTGTTTCCAAACTGCTCTATGAAAAGAAAGGTTAAACACTGTGAGTTGAACACACACGTACCAAAGTAGTTTCTGAGAATGATTCTGTCTAGTTTGCATACGAAGATATTTCCTTTTCTACCATTGGCCTCAAAGCTCTGAAATCTCCACTTGCAAATTCCACAAAAAGAGAGTTTCAAATCTGCTGTTTCTAAAGGAAAGTTCAACTCTGAGAGTTGAATACACACCAGAAAAAGCAGTTACTGAGAAGTCTTCTGTCTAGCATTATATGAAGAAATCCCATTTCCAACGAAGACTTCAAAGAGGTCCAAATATCCACTTGCAGATTCTGCAAAAAGAGTGTTTCGAAACAACTGTATGAAAAGAAAGGTTAAACACTGTGAGTTGAACGCACACATTGCAAAGCAGTTTCTGAGAATGATTCCGTCTAATTATTATACGAAGGTATTTCCTTTTCTATCATTGGCCTCAAAGCGCTTGATACCTCCACCTGAAAATTCCACAAAAAGAGTGTTTCCAATCTACTCTGTCTAAAGGAACGTTCAACTCTGTGAGTTGAATACACACACACAGAAAGAATTCACTGAGAATTCTTCTGTCTGGCATTACATGAAGAAATCCCGTTTCCAACGAAGGCCTCAAAGAGGTCCAAATATCCACTTGCAGATTCTGCAAAAAGAGTGTTTCAAAACCGCTCCATTAAAAGGAATGTTGAACTCTGTGAGTTGAATGCAAACATCACAACTCAGTTGCTGAGAATGCTTCTGACTAGATTTTATGGTAAGATATTTCCTTTTATACCGTAGGCTTCAATGCCCTCTAAATACACCCTTGCAAATTCTACAAAGAGACTGTTTCATAACTGCTCTATAGGAAGAAAGGTTCAACTCTGTGAGTTGAATGCAGAGATCACAACGTGGTTTCTGCGAATGATTCTTTGTAGTTTTTACATGAAGATATTTCGTTGTCAACCGTAGGCTTCAAAGCACTCAAAGTATTCACTTGGAACTTTTACAAAAAGAGTGTTAGAAAACTGCTCTTTCCAAAGTAAGGTTCAACTCTGTGAGTTGAATGCACACATAACAATCAAGAAGTTTCTGAGAATTCTTCTGTCCTGGTTTATATGAAAAAATCCCGTTTCCAACGAAGGCCTCAAAGACGTTTAAATATCCACTTGCAGACTTCACAAACAGAGGGTTTCCAAACTGCTCTATGAAAAGAAAGGTTAAACTCTGTGAGTTGAACGCACACATCACAAAGTAGCTTCTGAGAATGATACTGTCTAGTTTTTATACGAAGTATATTTCCTTTCTACCATTGGCGTCAAAGCGCTAGAATTCTCCACTTGCAAATTCCACAAAAAGAGTGTTTCCAATCTGCTCTGTCTAAAGGAAGGTTCAACTCTGTGAGTTGAATACACACACACAAAGAAGCTACTGAGAATTCTTTTTTCAAGAAATTATAAGAAGAAATCCCGTTTCCAACGAAGGCCTCAAAGAGTTCCAAATATCCACTTGCACACTGCACAAACTAAGTCTTTCCAAACTGCTCTATGCAAAGAAATGTTCAACTCTGTGAGTTTAATACACACATCACAAAGCAGTTTCTGAGAATGATACTGTCTAGTTTTTATACGAAGATATTTCCTTTTGTACCATTGGCCTCATACTGCTAGAATTTTCCACTTGCAAATTCCACAAAAAGAGTGTTTCCAATCCGCTCTGTCTAAAGGAAGGTTCAACTCTCTGATTTGAATACATACATCCCAAAAGAAGTTACTGAGAATTCTTCTGTCTAGCATTATGTGAAGAAATCCCGTTTCCAACGAAAGCCTCAAAGAGGTCCAAATATCCAGTTGCAGAATTTACAAACTGACTGTTTCCAAACTCATCTATGAAAAGAAAGGTTAAACTCTGGGAGTTGAATGCACATATCACAAAGTAGTTCCTGAGAATGATTCTGTCTAGTTTTTATACGAAGATATTTCCTTTTCCACCAATGGCCTCAAAGTGCTTGAAATCTCCCCTTGCAAATTCCACAGACAAGTGTTTCAAATCTGCACTGTCTAAAGGAAGGTTCAACCCTGTGAGTTGAATACACACACACAGAAAGAAATTCACTGAGAATTCTATTGTCTATCATTACACGAAGAAATCCCGTTTACTATGAAGGCCTCAAAGAGGTCCAAATATCCAGCTGCAGACATTACAAACTGAGTGTTTCCAAAGTGCTCTATGAAAAGAAGTGTTAAACACTGTGAGTTCAATGCACACATCCCAAAGCAGTTTCTGAGAATGATTCCGTCTCTTTTCTCTACGAAGATATTTCCTTTTCTACCGTTGGCCTCAAAGCGCTTGAAATCTCCACTTGCAAATTCCACAAAAAGAGAGTTTCAAATCTGCTCTGTCTAAAGGAAGGTTCAACTCTGTGAGTTGAATACACACCACAAAAAGAAGTTACTGAGAATTCTTCTGTCTAGCATTATATGAAAAATCCCGTTTCCAACGAAGGCCACAAAGAGGTCCAAATATCCACTTGCAGATTCTGCAAAAAGAGTGTTTCCAAACTGCTCTATGAAAAGAAACGTTAAACTCTGTGAGTTGAACGCAAACATCACAAAGTAGTTTCTGAGAATGACTCCGTCTAGTTTTTATACGAAGATATTTCCTTTCCTACCATTCACTTCAAAGCGCTTGAAGTCTCCCCCTGAAAATTCCACAAAAAGTGTTTCCAATCTGCTCCGCCTAAAGGAAGCTTCAACTCTGTGACTTGAATACCCACAACCCAAAGAAGTTACTGAGAATTCTTCTGTCTAGCATTATATGAAGAAATCCCGTTTCCAACGAAGGCCTCAAATACATCCAAATATCCAGTTGCTGACTTTACAAACTGAGTGTTTCCAAACTGCTCTATGAAAAGAAAGGTTAAACACTGTGAGTTGAACACACACGTACCAAAGTAGTTTCTGAGAATGATTCTGTCTAGTTTGCATACGAAGATATTTCCTTTTCTACCATTGGCCTCAAAGCTCTGAAATCTCCACTTGCAAATTCCACAAAAAGAGAGTTTCAAATCTGCTGTTTCTAAAGGAAAGTTCAACTCTGAGAGTTGAATACACACCAGAAAAAGCAGTTACTGAGAAGTCTTCTGTCTAGCATTATATGAAGAAATCCCATTTCCAACGAAGACTTCAAAGAGGTCCAAATATCCACTTGCAGATTCTGCAAAAAGAGTGTTTCGAAACAACTGTATGAAAAGAAAGGTTAAACACTGTGAGTTGAACGCACACATTGCAAAGCGGTTTCTGAGAATGATTCCGTCTAATTATTATACGAAGGTATTTCCTTTTCTATCATTGGCCTCAAAGCGCTTGATACCTCCACCTGAAAATTCCACAAAAAGAGTGTTTCCAATCTACTCTGTCTAAAGGAACGTTCAACTCTGTGAGTTGAATACACACACACAGAAAGAATTCACTGAGAATTCTTCTGTCTGGCATTACATGAAGAAATCCCGTTTCCAACGAAGGCCTCAAAGAGGTCCAAATATCCACTTGCAGATTCTGCAAAAAGAGTGTTTCAAAACCGCTCCATTAAAAGGAATGTTGAACTCTGTGAGTTGAATGCAAACATCACAACTCAGTTTCTGAGAATGCTTCTGACTAGATTTTATGGTAAGATATTTCCTTTTCTACCGTAGGCTTCAATGCCCTCTAAATACACCCTTGCAAATTCTACAAAGAGACTGTTTCATAACTGCTCTATAGGAAGAAAGGTTGAACTCTGTGAGTTGACTGCAGAGATCACAACGTGGTTTCTGCGAATGATTCTTTGTAGTTTTTACATGAAGATATTTCGTTGTCAACCGTAGGCTTCAAAGCACTCAAAGTATTCACTTGGAACTTTTACAAAAAGAGTGTTAGAAAACTGCTCTTTCCAAAGTAAGGTTCAACTCTGTGAGTTGAATGCACACATAACAATCAAGAAGTTTCTGAGAATTCTTCTGTCCTGGTTTATATGAAAAAATCCCGTTTCCAACGAAGGCCTCAAAGACGTTTAAATATCCACTTGCAGACTTCACAAACAGAGGGTTTCCAAACTGCTCTATGAAAAGAAAGGTTAAACTCTGTGAGTTGAACGCACACATCACAAAGTAGCTTCTGAGAATGATACTGTCTAGTTTTTATACGAAGATATTTCCTTTCTACCATTGGCGTCAAAGCGCTAGAATTCTCCACTTGCAAATTCCACAAAAAGAGTGTTTCCAATCTGCTCTGTCTAAAGGAAGGTTCAACTCTGTGAGTTGAATACACATACACAAAGAAGCTACTGAGAATTCTTTTGTCAAGAATTATAAGAAGAAATCCCGTTTCCAACGAAGGCCTCAAAGAGTTCCAAATATCCACTTGCACACTGCACAAACTAAGTCTTTCCAAACTGCTCTATGCAAAGAAATGTTCAACTCTGTGAGTTTAATACACACATCACAAAGCAGTTTCTGAGAATGATACTGTCTAGTTTTTATACGAAGATATTTCCTTTTGTACCATTGGCCTCATACTGCTAGGAATTTTCCACTTGCAAATTCCACAAAAAGAGTGTTTCCAATCCGCTCTGTCTAAAGGAAGGTTCAACTCTCTGATTTGAATACATACATCCCAAAAGAAGTTACTGAGAATTCTTCTGTCTAGCATTATGTGAAGAAATCCCGTTTCCAACGAAAGCCTCAAAGAGGTCCAAATATCCAGTTGCAGAATTTACAAACTGACTGTTTCCAAACTCATCTATGAAAAGAAAGGTTAAACTCTGTGAGTTGAATGCACATATCACAAAGTAGTTCCTGAGAATGATTCTGTCTAGTTTTTTTACGAAGATATTTCCTTTTCCACCAATGGCCTCAAAGTGCTTGAAATCTCCCCTTGCAAATTCCACAGACAAGTGTTTCAAATCTGCACTGTCTAAAGGAAGGTTCAACCCTGTGAGTTGAATACACACACACAGAAAAAAATTCACTGAGAATTCTATTGTCTATCATTACACGAAGAAATCCCGTTTACTACGAAGGCCTCAAAGAGGTCCAAATATCCAGCTGCAGACATTACAAACTGAGTGTTTCCAAAGTGCTCTATGAAAAGAAGTGTTAAACACTGTGAGTTCAATGCACACATCCCAAAGCAGTTTCTGAGAATGATTCCGTCTATTTTTTCTACGAAGATATTTCCTTTTCTGCCGTTGGCCTCAAAGCGCTTGAAATCTCCACTTGCAAATTCCACAAAAAGAGAGTTTCAAATCTGCTCTGTCTAAAGGAAGGTTCAACTCTGTGAGTTGAATTCACACCACAAAAAGGAGTTACTGAGAATTCTTCTGTCTAGCATTATATGAAAAATCCCGTTTCCAACGAAGGCCACAAAGAGGTCCAAATATCCACTTGCAGATTCTGCAAAAAGAGTGTTTCCAAACTGCTCTATGAAAAGAAACGTTAAACTCTGTGAGTTGAACGCAAACATCACAAAGTAGTTTCTGAGAATGACTCCGTCTAGTTTTTATACGAAGATATTTCCTTTTCTACCGTTGGCCTCAAAGCGCTTGAAGTCTCCCCCTGAAAATTCCACAAAAAGTGTTTCCAATCTGCTCCGCCTAAAGGAAGCTTCAACTCTGTGAGTTGAATACCCACAACACAAAGAAGTTACTGAGAATTCTTCTGTCTCGCATTATATGAAGAAATCCCGTTTCCAACGAAGGCCTCAAATACATCCACATATCCAGTTGCTGACTTTACAAACTGAGTGTTTCCAAACTGCTCTATGAAAAGAAAGGTTAAACACTGTGAGTTGAACACACACGTACCAAAGTAGTTTCTGAGAATGATTCTGTCTAGTTTGCATACAAAGATATTTCCTTTTCTACCACTGGCCTCAAAGCTTTGAAATCTCCACTTGCAAATTCCACAAAAAGAGAGTTTCAAATCTGCTGTTTCTAAAGGAAAGTTCAACTCTGAGAGTTGAATACACACCAGAAAAAGCAGTTACTGAGAAGTCTTCTGTCTAGCATTATGTGAAGAAATCCCATTTCCAACGAAGACTTCAAAGAGGTCCGAATATCCACTTGCAGATTCTGCAAAAAGAGTGTTTCGAAACAACTGTATGAAAAGAAAGGTTAAACACTGTGAGTTGAACGCACACATTGCAAAGCAGTTTCTGAGAATGATTCCGTCTAATTATTATACGAAGGTATTTCCTTTTCTATCATGGGCCTCAAAGCGCTTGATACCTCCACCTGAAAATTCCACAAAAAGAGTGTTTCCAATCTACTCTGTCTAAAGGAACGTTCAACTCTGTGAGTTGAATACACACACACAGAAAGAATTCACTGAGAATTCTTCTGTCTGGCATTACATGAAGAAATCCCGTTTCCAATGAAGGCCTCAAAGAGGTCCAAATATCCACTTGCAGATTCTGCAAAAAGAGTGTTTCAAAACCGCTCTATTAAAAGGAATGTTGAACTCTGTGAGTTGAATGCAAACATCACAACTCAGTTTCTGAGGATGCTTCTGACTAGATTTTATGGTAAGATATTTCCTTTTCTACCGTAGGCTTCAATGCCCTCTAAATACACCCTTGCAAATTCTACAAAGAGACTGTTTAATAACTGCTCTATAGGAAGAAAGGTTGAACTCTGTGAGTTGAATGCAGAGATCACAACGTGGTTTCTGCGAATGATTCTTTGTAGTTTTTACATGAAGATATTTCGTTGTCTACCGTAGGCTTCAAAGCACTCAAAGTATTCACTTGGAACTTTTAAAATAAGAGTGTTAGAAAACTGCTCTTTCCAAAGTAAGGTTCAACTCTGTGAGTTGAATGCACACATAACAAACAAGAAGTTTCTGAGAATCCTTCTGTCCTGGTTTATAGGAAAAAATCCCGTTTCCAACGAAGGCCTCAAAGACGTTTAAATATCCACTTGCAGACTTCACAAACAGAGTGTTTCCAAACTGCTCTATGAAAAGAAAGGTTAAACTCTGTGAGTTGAACGCACACATCACAAAGTAGTTTCTGAGAATGATACTGTCTAGTTTATATAGGAAGATATTTCCTTTCTACCATTGGCGTCAAAGCGCTAGAATTCTCCACTTGCAAATTCCACAAAAAGAGTGTT
This sequence comes from Homo sapiens, assembly GCF_000001405.40. Lineage (NCBI taxonomy): Eukaryota > Metazoa > Chordata > Mammalia > Primates > Hominidae > Homo > Homo sapiens. Next base: position 92,744,148 of record NC_000003.12, on the reverse strand, counting down.
TCCAATCTGCTCTGTCTAAAGGAAGGTTCAACTCTGTGAGTTGAATACACACACACAAAGAAGCTACTGAGAATTCTTTTGTCAAGAATTATAAGAAGAAATCCCGTTTCCAACGAAGGCCTCAAAGAGTTCCAAATATCCACTTGCACACTGCACAAACTAAGTCTTTCCAAACTGCTCTATGCAAAGAAATGTTCAACTCTGTGAGTTTAATACACACATCACAAAGCAGTTTCTGAGAATGATACTGTCTAGTTTTTATACGAAGATATTTCCTTTTGTACCATTGGCCTCATACTGCTAGAATTTTCCACTTGCAAATTCCACAAAAAGAGTGTTTCCAATCCGCTCTGTCTAAAGGAAGGTTCAACTCTCTGATTTGAATACATACATCCCAAAAGAAGTTACTGAGAATTCTTCTGTCTAGCATTATGTGAAGAAATCCCGTTTCCAACGAAAGCCTCAAAGAGGTCCAAATATCCAGTTGCAGAATTTACAAACTGACTGTTTCCAAACTCATCTATGAAAAGAAAGGTTAAACTCTGTGAGTTGAATGCACATATCACAAAGTAGTTCCTGAGAATGATTCTGTCTAGTTTTTATACGAAGATATTTCCTTTTCCACCAATGGCCTCAAAGTGCTTGAAATCTCCCCTTGCAAATTCCACAGACAAGTGTTTCAAATCTGCACTGTCTAAAGGAAGGTTCAACCCTGTGAGTTGAATACACACACACAGAAAAAAATTCACTGAGAATTCTATTGTCTATCATTACACGAAGAAATCCCGTTTACTACGAAGGCCTCAAAGAGGTCCAAATATCCAGCTGCAGACATTACAAACTGAGTGTTTCCAAAGTGCTCTATGAAAAGAAGTGTTAAACACTGTGAGTTCAATGCACACATCCCAAAGCAGTTTCTGAGAATGATTCCGTCTATTTTTTCTACGAAGATATTTCCTTTTCTGCCGTTGGCCTCAAAGCGCTTGAAATCTCCACTTGCAAATTCCACAAAAAGAGAGTTTCAAATCTGCTCTGTCTAAAGGAAGGTTCAACTCTGTGAGTTGAATACACACCACAAAAAGAAGTTACTGAGAATTCTTCTGTCTAGCATTATATGAAAAATCCCGTTTCCAACGAAGGCCACAAAGAGGTCCAAATATCCACTTGCAGATTCTGCAAAAAGAGTGTTTCCAAACTGCTCTATGAAAAGAAACGTTAAACTCTGTGAGTTGAACGCAAACATCACAAAGTAGTTTCTGAGAATGACTCCGTCTAGTTTTTATACGAAGATATTTCCTTTTCTACCATTCACTTCAAAGCGCTTGAAGTCTCCCCCTGAAAATTCCACAAAAAGTGTTTCCAATCTGCTCCGCCTAAAGGAAGCTTCAACTCTGTGAGTTGAATACCCACAACCCAAAGAAGTTACTGAGAATTCTTCTGTCTAGCACTATATGAAGAAATCCCGTTTCCAACGAAGGCCTCAAATACATCCAAATATCCAGTTGCTGACTTTACAAACTGAGTGTTTCCAAACTGCTCTATGAAAAGAAAGGTTAAACACTGTGAGTTGAACACACACGTACCAAAGTAGTTTCTGAGAATGATTCTGTCTAGTTTGCATACGAAGATATTTCCTTTTCTACCATTGGCCTCAAAGCTCTGAAATCTCCACTTGCAAATTCCACAAAAAGAGAGTTTCAAATCTGCTGTTTCTAAAGGAAAGTTCAACTCTGAGAGTTGAATACACACCAGAAAAAGCAGTTACTGAGAAGTCTTCTGTCTAGCATTATATGAAGAAATCCCATTTCCAACGAAGACTTCAAAGAGGTCCAAATATCCACTTGCAGATTCTGCAAAAAGAGTGTTTCGAAACAACTGTATGAAAAGAAAGGTTAAACACTGTGAGTTGAACGCACACATTGCAAAGCGGTTTCTGAGAATGATTCCGTCTAATTATTATACGAAGGTATTTCCTTTTCTATCATTGGCCTCAAAGCGCTTGATACCTCCACCTGAAAATTCCACAAAAAGAGTGTTTCCAATCTACTCTGTCTAAAGGAACGTTCAACTCTGTGAGTTGAATACACACACACAGAAAGAATTCACTGAGAATTCTTCTGTCTGGCATTACATGAAGAAATCCCGTTTCCAACGAAGGCCTCAAAGAGGTCCAAATATCCACTTGCAGATTCTGCAAAAAGAGTGTTTCAAAACCGCTCCATTAAAAGGAATGTTGAACTCTGTGAGTTGAATGCAAACATCACAACTCAGTTGCTGAGAATGCTTCTGACTAGATTTTATGGTAAGATATTTCCTTTTCTACCGTAGGCTTCAATGCCCTCTAAATACACCCTTGCAAATTCTACAAAGAGACTGTTTCATAACTGCTCTATAGGAAGAAAGGTTCAACTCTGTGAGTTGAATGCAGAGATCACAACGTGGTTTCTGCGAATGATTCTTTGTAGTTTTTACATGAAGATATTTCGTTGTCAACCGTAGGCTTCAAAGCACTCAAAGTATTCACTTGGAACTTTTACAAAAAGAGTATTAGAAAACTGCTCTTTCCAAAGTAAGGTTCAACTCTGTGAGTTGAATGCACACATAACAATCAAGACGTTTCTGAGAATTCTTCTGTCCTGGTTTATATGAAGAAATCCCGTTTCCAACGAAGGCCTCAAAGAACGTTTAAATATCCACTTGCAGACGTCACAAACAGAGTGTTTCCAAACTGCTCTATGAAAAGAAAGGGTAAACACTGTGAGTTGAACGCACACATCACAAAGTAGTTTCTGAGAATGATACTGTCTAGTTTTTATACGAAGATATTTCCTTTTGTACCACTGGCCTCAAATCGCTAGAATTCTCCACTTGCAAATTCCACAAAAAGAGTGTTTCCAATCTGCTCTGTCTAAAGGAAGGTTCAACTCTGTGAGTTGAACACACACATACACAAAGAAGCTACTGAGAATTCTTTTGTCAAGAATTATAAGAAGAAATCCCGTTTCCAACGAAGGCCTCAAAGAGTTCCAAATATCCACTTGCACACTGCACAAACTAAGTCTTTCCAAACTGCTCTATGCAAAGAAATGTTCAACTCTGTGAGTTTAATACACACATCACAAAGCAGTTTCTGAGAATGATACTGTCTAGTTTTTATACGAAGATATTTCCTTTTGTACCATTGGCCTCATACTGCTAGAATTTTCCACTTGCAAATTCCACAAAAAGAGTGTTTCCAATCCGCTCTGTCTAAAGGAAGGTTCAACTCTCTGATTTGAATACATACATCCCAAAAGAAGTTCCTGAGAATTCTTCTGTCTAGCATTATGTGAAGAAATCCCGTTTCCAACGAAAGCCTCAAAGAGGTCCAAATATCCAGTTGCAGAATTTACAAACTGACTGTTTCCAAACTCATCTATGAAAAGAAAGGTTAAACTCTGGGAGTTGAATGCACATATCACAAAGTAGTTCCTGAGAATGATTCTGTCTAGTTTTCATACGAAGATATTTCCTTTTCCACCAATGGCCTCAAAGTGCTTGAAATCTCCCCTTGCAAATTCCACAGACAAGTGTTTCAAATCTGCACTGTCTAAAGGAAGGTTCAACCCTGTGAGTTGAATACACACACACAGAAAAAAATTCACTGAGAATTCTATTGTCTATCATTACACGAAGAAATCCCGTTTACCACGAAGGCCTCAAAGAGGTCCAAATATCCAGCTGCAGACATTACAAACTGAGTGTTTCCAAAGTGCTCTATGAAAAGAAGTGTTAAACACTGTGAGTTCAATGCACACATCCCAAAGCAGTTTCTGAGAATGATTCCGTCTATTTTCTCTACGAAGATATTTCCTTTTCTGCCGTTGGCCTCAAAGCGCTTGAAATCTCCACTTGCAAATTCCACAAAAAGAGAGTTTCAAATCTGCTCTGTCTAAAGGAAGGTTCAACTCTGTGAGTTGAATACACACCACAAAAAGAAGTTACTGAGAATTCTTCTGTCTAGCATTATATGAAAAATCCCGTTTCCAACGAAGGCCACAAAGAGGTCCAAATATCCACTTGCAGATTCTGCAAAAAGAGTGTTTCCAAACTGCTCTATGAAAAGAAACGTTAAACTCTGTGAGTTGAACGCAAACATCACAAAGTAGTTTCTGAGAATGACTCCGTCTAGTTTTTATACGAAGATATTTCCTTTCCTACCATTCACTTCAAAGCGCTTGAAGTCTCCCCCTGAAAATTCCACAAAAAGTGTTTCCAATCTGCTCCGCCTAAAGGAAGCTTCAACTCTGTGACTTGAATACCCACAACCCAAAGAAGTTACTGAGAATTCTTCTGTCTAGCATTATATGAAGAAATCCCGTTTCCAACGAAGGCCTCAAATACATCCAAATATCCAGTTGCTGACTTTACAAACTGAGTGTTTCCAAACTGCTCTATGAAAAGAAAGGTTAAACACTGTGAGTTGAACACACACGTACCAAAGTAGTTTCTGAGAATGATTCTGTCTAGTTTGCATACGAAGATATTTCCTTTTCTACCATTGGCCTCAAAGCTCTGAAATCTCCACTTGCAAATTCCACAAAAAGAGAGTTTCAAATCTGCTGTTTCTAAAGGAAAGTTCAACTCTGAGAGTTGAATACACACCAGAAAAAGCAGTTACTGAGAAGTCTTCTGTCTAGCATTATATGAAGAAATCCCATTTCCAACGAAGACTTCAAAGAAGTCCAAATATCCACTTGCAGATTCTGCAAAAAGAGTGTTTCGAAACAACTGTATGAAAAGAAAGGTTAAACACTGTGAGTTGAACGCACACATTGCAAAGCAGTTTCTGAGAATGATTCCGTCTAATTATTATACGAAGGTATTTCCTTTTCTATCATTGGCCTCAAAGCGCTTGATACCTCCACCTGAAAATTCCACAAAAAGAGTGTTTCCAATCTACTCTGTCTAAAGGAACGTTCAACTCTGTGAGTTGAATACACACACACAGAAAGAATTCACTGAGAATTCTTCTGTCTGGCATTACATGAAGAAATCCCGTTTCCAACGAAGGCCTCAAAGAGGTCCAAATATCCACTTGCAGATTCTGCAAAAAGAGTGTTTCAAAACCGCTCCATTAAAAGGAATGTTGAACTCTGTGAGTTGAATGCAAACATCACAACTCAGTTGCTGAGAATGCTTCTGACTAGATTTTATGGTAAGATATTTCCTTTTCTACCGTAGGCTTCAATGCCCTCTAAATACACCCTTGCAAATTCTACAAAGAGACTGTTTCATAACTGCTCTATAGGAAGAAAGGTTCAACTCTGTGAGTTGAATGCAGAGATCACAACGTGGTTTCTGCGAATGATTCTTTGTAGTTTTTACATGAAGATATTTCGTTGTCAACCGTAGGCTTCAAAGCACTCAAAGTATTCACTTGGAAATTTTACAAAAAGAGTGTTAGAAAACTGCTCTTTCCAAAGTAAGGTTCAACTCTGTGAGTTGAATGCACCCATAACAATCAAGAAGTTTCTGAGAATTCTTCTGTCCTGGTTTATATGAAAAAATCCCGTTTCCAACGAAGGCCTCAAAGACGTTTAAATATCCACATGCAGACTTCACAAACAGAGTGTTTCCAAACTGCTCTATGAAAAGAAAGGTTAAACTCTGTGAGTTGAACGCACACATCACAAATAGTTTCTGAGAATGATACTGTCTAGTTTTTATACGAAGATATTTCCTTTCTACCATTGGCGTCAAAGCGCTAGAATTCTCCACTTGCAAATTCCACAAAAAGTGTGTTTCCAATCTGCTCTGTCTAAAGGAAGGTTCAACTCTGTGAGTTGAATACACACACACAAAGAAGCTACTGAGAATTCTTTTGTCAAGAATTATAAGAAGAAATCCCGTTTCCAACGAAGGCCTCAAAGAGTTCCAAATATCCACTTGCACACTGCACAAACTAAGTCTTTCCAAACTGCTCTATGCAAAGAAATGTTCAACTCTGTGAGTTTAATACACACATCACAAAGCAGTTTCTGAGAATGATACTGTCTAGTTTTTATACGAAGATATTTCCTTTTGTACCATTGGCCTCATACTGCTAGAATTTTCCACTTGCAAATTCCACAAAGAGAGTGTTTCCAATCCGCTCTGTCTAAAGGAAGGTTCAACTCTCTGATTTGAATACATACATCCCAAAAGAAGTTACTGAGAATTCTTCTGTCTAGCATTATGTGAAGAAATCCCGTTTCCAACGAAAGCCTCAAAGAGGTCCAAATATCCAGTTGCAGAATTTACAAACTGACTGTTTCCAAACTCATCTATGAAAAGAAAGGTTAAACTCTGTGAGTTGAATGCACATATCACAAAGTAGTTCCTGAGAATGATTCTGTCTAGTTTTTATACGAAGATATTTCCTTTTCCACCAATGGCCTCAAAGTGCTTGAAATCTCCCCTTGCAAATTCCACAGACAAGTGTTTCAAATCTGCACTGTCTAAAGGAAGGTTCAACCCTGTGAGTTGAATACACACACACAGAAAAAAATTCACTGAGAATTCTATTGTCTATCATTACACGAAGAAATCCCGTTTACTACGAAGGCCTCAAAGAGGTCCAAATATCCAGCTGCAGACATTACAAACTGAGTGTTTCCAAAGTGCTCTATGAAAAGAAGTGTTAAACACTGTGAGTTCAATGCACACATCCCAAAGCAGTTTCTGAGAATGATTCCGTCTATTTTTTCAACGAAGATATTTCCTTTTCTACCGTTGGCCTCAAAGCGCTTGAAATCTCCACTTGCAAATTCCACAAAAAGAGAGTTTCAAATCTGCTCTGTCTAAAGGAAGGTTCAACTCTGTGAGTTGAATACACACCACAAAAAGAAGTTACTGAGAATTCTTCTGTCTAGCATTATATGAAAAATCCCGTTTCCAACGAAGGCCACAAAGAGGTCCAAATATCCACTTGCAGATTCTGCAAAAAGAGTGTTTCCAAACTGCTCTATGAAAAGAAACGTCAAACTCTGTGAGTTGAACGCAAACATCACAAAGTAGTTTCTGAGAATGACTCCGTCTAGTTTTTATACGAAGATATTTCCTTTTCTACCGTTGGCCTCAAAGCGCTTGAAGTCTCCCCCTGAAAATTCCACAAAAAGTGTTTCCAATCTGCTCCGCCTAAAGGAAGCTTCAACTCTGTGAGTTGAATACCCACAACACAAAGAAGTTACTGAGAATTCTTCTGTCTCGCATTATATGAAGAAATCCCGTTTCCAACGAAGGCCTCAAATACATCAAAATATCCAGTTGCTGACTTTACAAACTGAGTGTTTCCAAAGTGCTCTAGGAAAAGAAGTGTTAAACACTGTGAGTTCAATGCACACATCCCAAAGAAGTTTCTGAGAATGATTCCGTCTAGTTTTTATACGAAGATAGCCTTTTCTACCATTGGCCTCAAGGCTCTTGAAATCTCCACCTGAAAATTCCGCAAAAAGCATGTTTCCAATCCGCTCTGTCTAAAGGAAGGTTCAACTCTCTGAGTTGAATACATACATCCCAAAAGAAGTTACTGCGAATTCTTCTGTCTAGCATTATGTGAAGAAATCCCGTTTCCAACGAAAGCCTCCAAGAGGTCCAAATATCCAGTTGCAGAATTTACAAACTGACTGTTTCCAAACTCATCTATGAAAAGAAAGGTTAAACTCTGTGAGTTGAATGCACATATCACAAAGTAGTTCCTGAGAATGATTCTGTCTAGTTTTTATACGAAGATATTTCCTTTTCCACCAATGGCCTCAAAGTGCTTGAAATCTCCCCTTGCAAATTCCACAGAAACGTGTTTCAAATCTGCACTGTCTAAAGGAAGGTTCAACCCTGTGAGTTGAATACACACACACAGAAAAAAATTCACTGAGAATTCTATTGTCTATCATTACACGAAGAAATCCCGTTTACTACGAAGGCCTCAAAGAGGTCCAAATATCCAGCTGCAGACATTACAAACTGAGTGTTTCCAAAGTGCTCTATGAAAAGAAGTGTTAAACACTGTGAGTTCAATGCACACATCCCAAAGCAGTTTCTGAGAATGATTCCGTCTATTTTTTCTAAGAAGATATTTCCTTTTCTGCCGTTGGCCTCAAAGCGCTTGAAATCTCCACTTGCAAATTCCACAAAAAGAGAGTTTCAAATCTGCTCTGTCTAAAGGAAGGTTCAACTCTGTGAGTTGAATACACACCACAAAAAGAAGTTACTGAGAATTCTTCTGTCTAGCATTATATGAAAAATCCCGTTTCCAACGAAGGCCACAAAGAGGTCCAAATATCCACTTGCAGATTCTGCAAAAAGAGTGTTTCCAAACTGCTCTATGAAAAGAAACGTTAAACTCTGTGAGTTGAACGCAAACATCACAAAGTAGTTTCTGAGAATGACTCCGTCTAGTTTTTATACGAAGATATTTCCTTTCCTACCATTCACTTTCAAAGCGCTTGAAGTCTCCCCCTGAAAATTCCACAAAAAGTGTTTCCAATCTGCTCCGCCTAAAGGAAGCTTCAACTCTGTGAGTTGAATACCCACAACCCAAAGAAGTTACTGAGAATTCTTCTGTCTAGCATTATATGAAGAAATCCCGTTTCCAACGAAGGCCTCAAATACATCCAAATATCCAGTTGCTGACTTTACAAACTGAGTGTTTCCAAACTGCTCTATGAAAAGAAAGGTTAAACACTGTGAGTTGAACACACACGTACCAAAGTAGTTTCTGAGAATGATTCTGTCTAGTTTGCATACGAAGATATTTCCTTTTCTACCATTGGCCTCAAAGCTCTGAAATCTCCACTTGCAAATTCCACAAAAAGAGAGTTTCAACTCTGCTGTTTCTAAAGGAAAGTTCAACTCTGAGAGTTGAATACACACCAGAAAAAGCAGTTACTGAGAAGTCTTCTGTCTAGCATTATATGAAGAAATCCCATTTCCAACGAAGACTTCAAAGAGGTCCAAATATCCACTTGCAGATTCTGCAAAAAGAGTGTTTCGAAACAACTGTATGAAAAGAAAGGTTAAACACTGTGAGTTGAACGCACACATTGCAAAGCGGTTTCTGAGAATGATTCCGTCTAATTATTATACGAAGGTATTTCCTTTTCTATCATTGGCCTCAAAGCGCTTGATACCTCCAACTGAAAATTCCACAAAAAGAGTGTTTCCAATCTACTCTGTCTAAAGGAAGGTTCAACTCTGTGAGTTGAATACACACACACAGAAAGAATTCACTGAGAATTCTTCTGTCTGGCATTACATGAAGAAATCCCGTTTCCAACGAAGGCCTCAAAGCAGGTCCAAATATCCACTTGCAGATTCTGCAAAAAGAGTGTTTCAAAACCGCTCCATTAAAAGGAATGTTGAACTCTGTGAGTTGAATGGAAACATCACAACTCAGTTGCTGAGAATGCTTCTGACTAGATTTTATGGTAAGATATTTCCTTTTCTACCGTAGGCTTCAATGCCCTCTAAATACACCCTTGCAAATTCTACAAAGAGACTGTTTCATAACTGCTCTATAGGAAGAAAGGTTCAACACTGTGAGTTGAATGCAGAGATCACAACGTGGTTTCTGCGAATGATTCTTTGTAGTTTTTACATGAAGATATTTCGTTGTCAACCGTAGGCTTCAAAGCACTCAAAGTATTCACTTGGAACTTTTACAAAAAGAGTGTTAGAAAACTGCTCTTTCCAAAGTAAGGTTCAACTCTGTGAGTTGAATGCACACATAACAATCAAGAAGTTTCTGAGAATTCTTCTGTCCTGGTTTATATGAAAAAATCCCGTTTCCAACGAAGGCCTCAAAGACGTTTAAATATCCACTTGCAGACTTCACAAACAGAGGGTTTCCAAACTGCTCTATGAAAAGAAAGGTTAAACTCTGTGAGTTGAACGCACACATCACAAAGTAGCTTCTGAGAATGATACTGTCTAGTTTTTATACGAAGATATTTCCTTTCTACCATTGGCGTCAAAGCGCTAGAATTCTCCACTTGCAAATTCCACAAAAAGAGTGTTTCCAATCTGCTCTGTCTAAAGGAAGGTTCAACTCTGTGAGTTGAATACACACACACAAAGAAGCTACTGAGAATTCTTTGTCAAGAATTATAAGAAGAAATCCCGTTTCCAACGAAGGCCTCAAAGAGTTCCAAATATCCACTTGCACACTTCACAAACTAAGTCTTTCCAAACTGCTCTATGCAAAGAAATGTTCAACTCTGTGAGTTTAATACACACATCACAAAGCAGTTTCTGAGAATGATACTGTCTAGTTTTTATACGAAGATATTTCCTTTTGTACCATTGGCCTCATACTGCTAGAATTTTCCACTTGCAAATTCCACAAAAAGAGTGTTTCCAATCCGCTCTGTCTAAAGGAAGGTTCAACTCTCTGATTTGAATACATACATCCCAAAAGAAGTTACTGAGAATTCTTCTGTCTAGCATTATGTGAAGAAATCCCGTTTCCAACGAAAGCCTCAAAGAGGTCCAAATATCCAGTTGCAGAATTTACAAACTGACTGTTTCCAAACTCATCTATGAAAAGAAAGGTTAAACTCTGGGAGTTGAATGCACATATCACAAAATAGTTCCTGAGAATGATTCTGTCTAGTTTTTATACGAAGATATTTCCTTTTCCACCAATGGCCTCAAAGTGCTTGAAATCTCCCCTTGCAAATTCCACAGACAAGTGTTTCAAATCTGCACTGTCTAAAGGAAGGTTCAACCCTGTGAGTTGAATACACACACACAGAAAGAAATTCACTGAGAATTCTATTGTCTATCATTACACGAAGAAATCCCGTTTACTACGAAGGCCTCAAAGAGGTCCAAATATCCAGCTGCAGACATTACAAACTGAGTGTTTCCAAAGTGCTCTATGAAAAGAAGTGTTAAACACTGTGAGTTCAATGCACACATCCCAAAGCAGTTTCTGAGAATGATTCCGTCTATTTTTTCTACGAAGATATTTCCTTTTCTGCCGTTGGCCTCAAAGCGCTTGAAATCTCCACTTGCAAATTCCACAAAAAGAGAGTTTCAAATCTGCTCTGTCTAAAGGAAGGTTCAACTCTGTGAGTTGAATACACACCACAAAAAGAAGTTACTGAGAATTCTTCTGTCTAGCATTATATGAAAAATCCCGTTTCCAACGAAGGCCACAAAGAGGTCCAAATATCCACTTGCAGATTCTGCAAAAAGAGTGTTTCCAAACTGCTCTATGAAAAGAAACGTTAAACTCTGTGAGTTGAACGCAAACATCACAAAGTAGTTTCTGAGAATGACTCCGTCTAGTTTTTATACGAAGATATTTCCTTTCCTCCCATTCACTTCAAAGCGCTTGAAGTCTCCCCCTGAAAATTCCACAAAAAGTGTTTCCAATCTGCTCCGCCTAAAGGAAGCTTCAACTCTGTGAGTTGAATACCCACAACCCAAAGAAGTTACTGAGAATTCTTCTGTCTAGCACTATATGAAGAAATCCCGTTTCCAACGAAGGCCTCAAATACATCCAAATATCCAGTTGCTGACTTTACAAACTGAGTGTTTCCAAACTGCTCTATGAAAAGAAAGGTTAAACACTGTGAGTTGAACACACACGTACCAAAGTAGTTTCTGAGAATGATTCTGTCTAGTTTGCATACGAAGATATTTCCTTTTCTACCATTGGCCTCAAAGCTCTGAAATCTCCACTTGCAAATTCCACAAAAAGAGAGTTTCAAATCTGCTGTTTCTAAAGGAAAGTTCAACTCTGAGAGTTGAATACACACCAGAAAAAAGCAGTTACTGAGAAGTCTTCTGTCTAGCATTATATGAAGAAATCCCATTTCCAACGAAGACTTCAAAGAGGTCCAAATATCCACTTGCAGATTCTGCAAAAAGAGTGTTTCGAAACAACTGTATGAAAAGAAAGGTTAAACACTGTGAGTTGAACGCACACATTGCAAAGCAGTTTCTGAGAATGATTCCGTCTAATTATTATACGAAGGTATTTCCTTTTCTATCATTGGCCTCAAAGCGCTTGATACCTCCACCTGAAAATTCCACAAAAAGAGTGTTTCCAATCTACTCTGTCTAAAGGAACGTTCAACTCTGTGAGTTGAATACACACACACAGAAAGAATTCACTGAGAATTCTTCTGTCTGGCATTACATGAAGAAATCCCGTTTCCAACGAAGGCCTCAAAGAGGTCCAAATATCCACTTGCAGATTCTGCAAAAAGAGTGTTTCAAAACCGCTCCATTAAAAGGAATGTTGAACTCTGTGAGTTGAATGCAAACATCACAACTCAGTTTCTGAGAATGCTCTGACTAGATTTTATCGTAAGATATTTCCTTTTCTACCGTAGGCTTCAATGCCCTCTAAATACACCCTTGCAAATTCTACAAAGAGACTGTTTCATAACTGCTCTATAGGAAGAAAGGTTGAACTCTGTGAGTTGAATGCAGAGATCACAACGTGGTTTCTGCGAATGATTCTTTGTAGTTTTTACATGAAGATATTTCGTTGTCAACCGTAGGCTTCAAAGCACTCAAAGTATTCACTTGGAACTTTTACAAATAGAGTGTTAGAAAACTGCTCTTTCCAAAGTAAGGTTCAACTCTGTGAGTTGAATGCACACATAACAATCAAGAAGTTTCTGAGAATTCTTCTGTCCTGGTTTATATGAAAAAATCCCGTTTCCAACGAAGGCCTCAAAGACGTTTAAATATCCACTTGCAGACTTCACAAACAGAGGGTTTCCAAACTGCTCTATGAAAAGAAAGGTTAAACTCTGTGAGTTGAACGCACACATCACAAAGTAGCTTCTGAGAATGATACTGTCTAGTTTTTATACGAAGATATTTCCTTTTGTACCATTGGCCTCATACTGCTAGAATTTTCCACTTGCAAATTCCACAAAAAGAGTGTTTCCAATCTGCTCTGTCTAAAGGAAGGTTCAACTCTGTGAGTTGAGTACACACACACAAAGAAGCTACTGAGAATTCTTTGTCAAGAATTATAAGAAGAAATCCCGTTTCCAACGAAGGGCCTCAAAGAGTTCCAAATATCCACTTGCACACTGCACAAACTAAGTCTTTCCAAACTGCTCTATGCAAAGAAATGTTCAACTCTGTGAGTTTAATACACACATCACAAAGCAGTTTCTGAGAATGATACTGTCTAGTTTTTGTACGAAGATATTTCCTTTTGTACCATTGGCCTCATACTGCTAGAATTTTCCACTTGCAAATTCCACAAAAAGAGTGTTTCCAATCCGCTCTGTCTAAAGGAAGGTTCAACTCTCTGATTTGAATACATACATCCCAAAAGAATTTACTGAGAATTCTTCTGTCTAGCATTATGTGAAGAAATCCCGTTTCCAACGAAAGCCTCAAAGAGGTCCAAATATCCAGTTGCAGAATTTACAAACTGACTGTTTCCAAACTCATCTATGAAAAGAAAGGTTAAACTCTGTGAGTTGAATGCACATATCACAAAGTAGTTCCTGAGAATGATTCTGTCTAGTTTTCATACGAAGATATTTCCTTTTCCACCAATGGCCTCAAAGTGCTTGAAATCTCCCCTTGCAAATTCCACAGACAAGTGTTTCAAATCTGCACTGTCTAAAGGATGGTTCAACCCTGTGAGTTGAATACACACACACAGAAAAAAATTCACTGAGAATTCATTGTCTATCATTACCCGAAGGAAATCCCGTTTACTACGAAGGCCTCAAAGAGGTCCAAATATCCAGCTGCAGACATTCCAAACTGACTGTTTCCAAAGTGCTCTATGAAAAGAAGTGTTAAACACTGTGAGTTCAATGCACACATCCCAAAGCAGTTTCTGAGAATGATTCCGTCTATTTTTTCTACGAAGATATTTCCTTTTCTACCGTTGGCCTCAAAGCGCTTGAAATCTCCACTTGCAAATTCCACAAAAAGAGAGTTTCAAATCTGCTCTGTCTAAAGGAAGGTTCAACTCTGTGAGTTGAATACACACCACAAAAAGAAGTTACTGAGAATTCTTCTGTCTAGCATTATATGAAAAATCCCGTTTCCAACGAAGGCCACAAAGAGGTCCAAATATCCACTTGCAGATTCTGCAAAAAGAGTGTCTCCAAACTGCTCTATGAAAAGAAACGTTAAACTCTGTGAGTTGAACGCAAACATCACAAAGTAGTTTCTGAGAATGACTCCGTCTAGTTTTTATACGAAGATATTTCCTTTTCTACCGTTGGCCTCAAAGCGCTTGAAGTCTCCCCCTGAAAATTCCACAAAAAGTGTTTCCAATCTGCTCCGCCTAAAGGAAGCTTCAACTCTGTGAGTTGAATACCCACAACACAAAGAAGTTACTGAGAATTCTTCTGTCTAGCATTATATGAAGAAATCCCGTTTCCAACGAAGGCCTCAAATACATCCAAATATCCAGTGGCTGACTTTACAAACTGAGTGTTTCCAAACTGCTCTATGAAAGGAAAGGTTAAACACTGTGAGTTGAACACACACGTACCAAAGTAGTTTCTGAGAATGATTCTGTCTAGTTGGCATACGAAGATATTTCCTTTTCTACCATTGGCCTCAATGCTTTGAAATCTCCACTTGCAAATTCCACAAAAAGAGAGTTTCATATCTGCTGTTTCTAAAGGAAAGTTCAACTCTGAGAGTTGAATACACACCAGAAAAACCAGTTACTGAGAAGTCTTCTGTCTAGCATTATATGAAGAAATCCCATTTCCAACGAAGACTTCAAAGAGGTCCAAATATCCACTTCCAGATTCCGCAAAAAGGGTGTTTCGAAACAACTGTATGAAAAGAAAGGTTAAACACTGTGAGTTGAAGGCACACATTGCAAAGCAGTTTCTGAGAATGATTCCATCTAATTATTATACGAAGGTATTTCCTTTTCTATCATGGGCCTCAAAGCGCTTGATACCTCCACGTGAACATTCCACAAAAAGAGTGTTTCCAATCTACTCTGTCTAAGGGAACGTTCAACTCTGTGAGTTGAGTACACACACACAGAAAGAATTCACTGAGAGTTCTTCTGTCTGGGATTACATGAAGAAATCCCGTTTCCAACGAAGGCCTCAAAGAGGTCCAAATATCCACTTGCAGATTCTGGAAAAAGAGTGTTTCAAAACCGCTCTATGAAAAGGAATGTTGAACTCTGTGAGTTGAATGCAAACATCACAACTCAGTTTCTGAGAATGCTTCTGACTAGATTTTATGGTCAGATATTTCCTTTTCTACCGTAGGCCTCAATGCCCTCTAAATACACCCTTGCAAATTCTACAAAGAGACTGTTTCATAACTGCTCTATAGGAAGAAAGGTTGAACTCTGTGAGTTGAATGCAGAGATCACAACGTGGTTTCGGCGAATGATTCTTTGCAGTTTTTACATGAAGATATTTCGTTGTCTACCGTAGGCTTCAAAGCACTCAAAGTATTCACTTGGAACTTTTACAAAAAGAGTGTTAGAAAACTGCTCTTTCCGAAGTAAGGTTCAACTCTGTGAGTTGAATGCACACATAACAAACAAGAAGTTTCTGAGAATTCTTCTGTCCTGGTTTATATGAAAAAATCCCGTTTCCAACGAAGGCCTCAAAGACGTTTAAATATCCTCTTGCAGACTTCACAAACAGAGTGTTTCCAAACTGCTCTATGAAAAGAAAGGTTAAACTCTGTGAGTTGAACGCACACATCACAAAGTAGTTTCTGAGAATGATTACTGTCTAGTTTTTATACGGAGATATTTCCTTTCCTACCATTGGCGTCAAAGCGCTAGAATTCTCCACTTGCCAATTCCACAAAAAGTGGGTTTCCAATCTGCTCTGCCTAAAGGAAGGTTCAACTCTGTGAGTTGAATACACACACACAAAGAAGCTACTGAGAATTCTTTTGTCAAGAATTATAAGAAGAAATCCCGTTTCCAACGAAGGCCTCAAAGAGTTCCAAATATCCACTTGCACACTGTACAAACTAAGTCTTTCCAAACTGCTCTATGCAAAGAAATGTTCAACTCTGTGAGTTTAATGCACACATCACAAAGCAGTTTCTGAGAATGATTCCCTCTAGTTTTTATACGAAGATAGCCTTTTCTACCATTGGCCTCAAGGCTCTTGGAATCTCTACCTGAAAATTCCGCAAAAAGCGTGTTTCCAATCCGCTCTGTCTAAAGGAAGGTTCAACTCTCTGAGTTGAATACATACATCCCAAAAGAAGTTACTGAGAATTCTTCTGTCTAGCATTATGTGAAGAAATCCCGTTTCCAACGAAAGCCTCCAAGAGGTCCAAATATCCAGTTGCAGAATTTACAAACTGACTGTTTCCAAACTCATCTATGAAAAGAAAGGTTAAACTCTGTGATTTGAATGCACATATCACAAAGTAGTTCCTGAGAATGATTCTGTCTAGTTTTTATACGAAGATATTTCCTTTTCCACCAATGGCCTCAAAGTGTTTGAAATCTCCCCTTGCAAATTCCACAGAAAAGTGTTTCAAATCTGCACTGTCTAAAGGAAGGTTCAACCCTGTGAGTTGAATACACACACACAGAAAAAAATTCACTGAGAATTCTATTGTCTATCATTACACGAAGAAATCCCGTTTACTACGAAGGCCTCAAAGAGGTCCAAATATCCAGCTGCAGACATTACAAACTGAGTGTTTCCAAAGTGCTCTATGAAAAGAAGTGTTAAACACTGTGAGTTCAATGCACACATCCCAAAGCAGTTTCTGAGAATGATTGCCGTCTATTTTTTCTACGAAGATATTTCCTTTTCTGCCGTTGGCCTCAAAGCGCTTGAAATCTCCACTTGCAAATTCCACAAAAAGAGAGTTTCAAATCTGCTCTGTCTAAAGGAAGGTTCAACTCTGTGAGTTGAATACACACCACAAAAAGAAGTTACTGAGAATTCTTCTGTCTAGCATTATATGAAAAATCCCGTTTCCAACGAAGGCCACAAAGAGGTCCAAATATCCACTTGCAGATTCTGCAAAAAGAGTGTTTCCAAACTGCTCTATGAAAAGAAACGTTAAACTCTGTGAGTTGAACGCAAACATCACAAAGTAGTTTCTGAGAATGACTCCGTCTAGTTTTTATACGAAGATATTTCCTTTCCTACCATTCACTTCAAAGCGCTTGAAGTCTCCCCCTGAAAATTCCACAAAAAGTGTTTCCAATCTGCTCCGCCTAAAGGAAGCTTCAACTCTGTGACTTGAATACCCACAACCCAAAGAAGTTACTGAGAATTCTTCTGTCTAGCATTATATGAAGAAATCCCGTTTCCAACGAAGGCCTCAAATACATCCAAATATCCAGTTGCTGACTTTACAAACTGAGTGTTTCCAAACTGCTCTATGAAAAGAAAGGTTAAACACTGTGAGTTGAACACACACGTACCAAAGTAGTTTCTGAGAATGATTCTGTCTAGTTTGCATACGAAGATATTTCCTTTTCTACCATTGGCCTCAAAGTTCTGAAATCTCCACTTGCAAATTCCACAAAAAGAGAGTTTCAAATCTGCTGTTTCTAAAGGAAAGTTCAACTCTGAGAGTTGAATACACACCAGAAAAAGCAGTTACTGAGAAGTCTTCTGTCTAGCATTATATGAAGAAATCCCATTTCCAACGAAGACTTCAAAGAGGTCCAAATATCCACTTGCAGATTCTGCAAAAAGAGTGTTTCGAAACAACTGTATGAAAAGAAAGGTTAAACACTGTGAGTTGAACGCACACATTGCAAAGCAGTTTCTGAGAATGATTCCGTCTAATTATTATACGAAGGTATTTCCTTTTCTATCATTGGCCTCAAAGCGCTTGATACCTCCACCTGAAAATTCCACAAAAAGAGTGTTTCCAATCTACTCTGTCTAAAGGAACGTTCAACTCTGTGAGTTGAATACACACACACAGAAAGAATTCACTGAGAATTCTTCTGTCTGGCATTACATGAAGAAATCCCGTTTCCAACGAAGGCCTCAAAGAGGTCCAAATATCCACTTGCAGATTCTGCAAAAAGAGTGTTTCAAAACCGCTCCATGAAAAGGAATGTTGAACTCTGTGAGTTGAATGCAAACATCACAACTCAGTTGCTGAGAATGCTTCTGACTAGATTTTATGGTAAGATATTTCCTTTTCTACCGTAGGCTTCAATGCCCTCTAAATACACCCTTGCAAATTCTACAAAGAGACTGTTTCATAACTGCTCTATAGGAAGAAAGGTTCAACTCTGTGAGTTGAATGCAGAGATCACAACGTGGTTTCTGCGAATGATTCTTTGTAGTTTTTACATGAAGATATTTCGTTGTCAACCGTAGGCTTCAAAGCACTCAAAGTATTCACTTGGAACTTTTACAAAAAGAGTGTTAGAAAACTGCTCTTTCCAAAGTAAGGTTCAACTCTGTGAGTTGAATGCACACATAACAATCAAGAAGTTTCTGAGAATTCTTCTGTCCTGGTTTATATGAACAAATCCCGTTTCCAACGAAGGCCTCAAAGACGTTTAAATATCCACTTGCAGACTTCACAAACAGAGTGTTTCCAAACTGCTCTATGAAAAGAAAGGTTAAACTCTGTGAGTTGAACGCACACATCACAAAGTAGTTTCTGAGAATGATACTGTCTAGTTTTTATACGAAGATATTTCCTTTCTACCATTGGCGTCAAAGCGCTAGAATTCTCCACTTGCAAATTCCACAAAAAGAGTGTTTCCAATCTGCTCTGTCTAAAGGAAGGTTCAACTCTGTGAGTTGAATACACACACACAAAGAAGCTACTGAGAATTCTTTTGTCAAGAATTATAAGAAGAAATCCCGTTTCCAACGAAGGCCTCAAAGAGTTCCAAATATCCACTTGCACACTGCACAAACTAAGTCTTTCCAAACTGCTCTATGCAAAGAAATGTTCAACTCTGTGAGTTTAATACACACATCACAAAGCAGTTTCTGAGAATGATACTGTCTAGTTTTTATACGAAGATATTTCCTTTTGTACCATTGGCCTCATACTGCTAGAATTTTCCACTTGCAAATTCCACAAAAAGAGTGTTTCCAATCCGCTCTGTCTAAAGGAAGGTTCAACTCTCTGATTTGAATACATACATCCCAAAAGAAGTTACTGAGAATTCTTCTGTCTAGCATTATGTGAAGAAATCCCGTTTCCAACAAAAGCCTCAAAGAGGCCCAAATATCCAGTTGCAGCATTTACAAACTGACTGTTTCCAACTCATCTATGAAAAGAAATGTTAAACTCTGTGAGTTGAATGCGCATATCACAAAGTAGTTCCTGAGAATGATTCTGTATAGTTTTCATACGAAGATATTTCCTTTTCCACCAATGGCCTCAAAGTGCTTGAAATCTCCCCTTGCAAATTCCACAGACAAGTGTTTCAAATCTGCACTGTCTAAAGGATGGTTCAACCCTGTGAGTTGAATACACACACACAGAAAAAAATTCACTGAGAATTCTATTGTCTATCATTACACGAAGAAATCCCGTTTACTACGAAGGCCTCAAAGAGGTCCAAATATCCAGCTGCAGACATTACAAACTGAGTGTTTCCAAAGTGCTCTATGAAAAGAAGTGTTAAACACTGTGAGTTCAATGCACACATCCCAAAGCAGTTTCTGAGAATGATTCCGTCTATTTTTTCTACGAAGATATTTCCTTTTCTGCCGTTGGCCTCAAAGCGCTTGAAATCTCCACTTGCAAATTCCACAAAAAGAGAGTTTCAAATCTGCTCTGTCTAAAGGAAGGTTCAACTCTGTGAGTTGAATACACACCACAAAAAGAAGTTACTGAGAATTCTTCTGTCTAGCATTATATGAAAAATCCCGTTTCCAACGAAGGCCACAAAGAGGTCCAAATATCCACTTGCAGATTCTGCAAAAAGAGTGTTTCCAAACTGCTCTATGAAAAGAAACGTTAAACTCTGTGAGTTGAACGCAAACATCACAAAGTAGTTTCTGAGAATGACTCCGTCTAGTTTTTATACGAAGATATTTCCTTTCCTACCATTCACTTCAAAGCGCTTGAAGTCTCCCCCTGAAAATTCCACAAAAAGTGTTTCCAATCTGCTCCGCCTAAAGGAAGCTTCAACTCTGTGACTTGAATACCCACAACCCAAAGAAGTTACTGAGAATTCTTCTGTCTAGCATTATATGAAGAAATCCCGTTTCCAACGAAGGCCTCAAATACATCCAAATATCCAGTTGCTGACTTTACAAACTGAGTGTTTCCAAACTGCTCTATGAAAAGAAAGGTTAAACACTGTGAGTTGAACACACACGTACCAAAGTAGTTTCTGAGAATGATTCTGTCTAGTTTGCATACGAAGATATTTCCTTTTCTACCATTGGCCTCAAAGCTCTGAAATCTCCACTTGCAAATTCCACAAAAAGAGAGTTTCAAATCTGCTGTTTCTAAAGGAAAGTTCAACTCTGAGAATTGAATACACACCAGAAAAAGCAGTTACTGAGAAGTCTTCTGTCTAGCATTATATGAAGAAATCCCATTTCCAACGAAGACTTCAAAGAGGTCCAAATATCCACTTGCAGATTCTGCAAAAAGAGTGTTTCGAAACAACTGTATGAAAAGAAAGGTTAAACACTGTGAGTTGAACGCACACATTGCAAAGCAGTTTCTGAGAATGATTCCGTCTAATTATTATACGAAGGTATTTCCTTTTCTATCATTGGCCTCAAAGCGCTTGATACCTCCACCTGAAAATTCCACAAAAAGAGTGTTTCCAATCTACTCTGTCTAAAGGAACGTTCAACTCTGTGAGTTGAATACACACACACAGAAAGAATTCACTGAGAATTCTTCTGTCTGGCATTACATGAAGAAATCCCGTTTCCAACGAAGGCCTCAAAGAGGTCCAAATATCCACTTGCAGATTCTGCAAAAAGAGTGTTTCAAAACCGCTCCATTAAAAGGAATGTTGAACTCTGTGAGTTGAATGCAAACATCACAACTCAGTTTCTGAGAATGCTTCTGACTAGATTTTATGGTAAGATATTTCCTTTTCTACCGTAGGCTTCAATGCCCTCTAAATACACCCTTGCAAATTCTACAAAGAGACTGTTTCATAACTGCTCTATAGGAAGAAAGGTTGAACTCTGTGAGTTGACTGCAGAGATCACAACGTGGTTTCTGCGAATGATTCTTTGTAGTTTTTACATGAAGATATTTCGTTGTCAACCGTAGGCTTCAAAGCACTCAAAGTATTCACTTGGAACTTTTACAAAAAGAGTGTTAGAAAACTGCTCTTTCCAAAGTAAGGTTCAACTCTGTGAGTTGAATGCACACATAACAATCAAGAAGTTTCTGAGAATTCTTCTGTCCTGGTTTATATGAAAAAATCCCGTTTCCAACGAAGGCCTCAAAGACGTTTAAATATCCACTTGCAGACTTCACAAACAGAGGGTTTCCAAACCGCTCTATGAAAAGAAAGGTTAAACTCTGTGAGTTGAACGCACACATCACAAAGTAGCTTCTGAGAATGATACTGTCTAGTTTTTATACGAAGATATTTCCTTTCTACCATTGGCGTCAAAGCGCTAGAATTCTCCACGTGCAAATTCCACAAAAAGAGTGTTTCCAATCTGCTCTGTCTAAAGGAAGGTTCAACTCTGTGAGTTGAATACACACACACAAAGAAGCTATTGAGAATTCTTTTGTCAAGAATTATAAGAAGAAATCCCGTTTCCAACGAAGGCCTCAAAGAGTTCCAAATATCCACTTGCACACTGCACAAACTAAGTCTTTCCAAACTGCTCTATGCAAAGAAATGTTCAACTCTGTGAGTTTAATACGCACATCACAAAGCAGTTTCTGAGAATGATACTGTCTAGTTTTTATACGAAGATATTTCCTTTTGTACCATTGGCCTCATACTGCTAGAATTTTCCACTTGCAAATTCCACAAAAAGAGTGTTTCCAATCCGCTCTGTCTAAAGGAAGGTTCAACTCTCTGATTTGAATACATACATCCCAAAAGAAGTTACTGAGAATTCTTCTGTCTAGCATTATGTGAAGAAATCCCGTTTCCAACGAAAGCCTCAAAGAGGCCCAAATATCCAGTTGCAGAATTTACAAACTGACTGTTTCCAAACTCATCTATGAAAAGAAAGGTTAAACTCTGTGAGTTGAATGCACATATCACAAAGTAGTTCCTGAGAATGATTCTGTCTAGTTTTTATACGAAGATATTTCCTTTTCCACCAATGGCCTCAAAGTGCTTGAAATCTCCCCTTGCAAATTCCACAGACAAGTGTCTCAAATCTGCACTGTCTAAAGGAAGGTTCAACCCTGTGAGTTGAATACACACACACAGAAAAAAATTCACTGAGAATTCTATTGTCTCTCATTACACGAAGAAATCCCGTTTACTACGAAGGCCTCAAAGAGGTCCAAATATCCAGCTGCAGACATTACAAACTGAGTGTTTCCAAAGTGCTCTATGAAAAGAAGTGTTAAACACTGTGAGTTCAATGCACACATCCCAAAGCAGTTTCTGAGAATGATTCCGTCTATTTTTTCTACGAAGATATTTCCTTTTCTACCGTTGGCCTCAAAGCGCTTGAAATCTCCACTTGCTAATTCCACGAAAAGAGAGTTTCAAATCTGCTCTGTCTAAAGGAAGGTTCAACTCTGTGAGTTGAATACACACCACAAAAAGAAGTTACTGAGAATTCTTCTGTCTAGCATTATATGAAAAATCCCGTTTCCAACGAAGGCCACAAAGAGGTCCAAATATCCACTTGCAGATTCTGCAAAAAGAGTGTTTCCAAACTGCTCTATGAAAAGAAACGTTAAACTCTGTGAGTTGAACGCAAACATCACAAAGTAGTTTCTGAGAATGACTCCGTCTAGTTTTTATACGAAGATATTTCCTTTCCTACCATTCACTTCAAAGCGCTTGAAGTCTCCCCCTGAAAATTCCACAAAAAGTGTTTCCAATCTGCTCCACCTAAAGGAAGCTTCAACTCTGTGAGTTGAATACCCACAACCCAAAGAAGTTACTGAGAATTCTTCTGTCTAGCATTATATGAAGAAATCCCGTTTCCAACGAAGGCCTCAAATACATCCAAATATCCAGTTGCTGACTTTACAAACTGAGTGTTTCCAAACTGCTCTATGAAAAGAAAGGTTAAACACTGTGAGTTGAACACACACGTACCAAAGTAGTTTCTGAGAATGATTCTGTCTAGTTTGCATACGAAGATATTTCCTTTTCTACCATTGGCCTCAAAGCTCTGAAATCTCCACTTGCAAATTCCACAAAAAGAGAGTTTCAAATCTGCTGTTTCTAAAGGAAAGTTCAACTCTGAGAGTTGAATACACACCAGAAAAAGCAGTTACTGAGAAGTCTTCTGTCTAGCATTATATGAAGAAATCCCATTTCCAACGAAGACTTCAAAGAGGTCCAAATATCCACTTGCAGATTCTGCAAAAAGAGTGTTTCGAAACAACTGTATGAAAAGAAAGGTTAAACACTGTGAGTTGAACGCACACATTGCAAAGCAGTTTCTGAGAATGATTCCGTCTAATTATTATACGAAGGTATTTCCTTTTCTATCATTGGTCTCAAAGCGCTTGATACCTCCACCTGAAAATTCCACAAAAAGAGTGTTTCCAATCTACTCTGTCTAAAGGAACGTTCAACTCTGTGAGTTGAATACACACACACAGAAAGAATTCACTGAGAATTCTTCTGTCTGGCATTACATGAAGAAATCCCGTTTCCAACGAAGGCCTCAAAGAGGTCCAAATATCCACTTGCAGATTCTGCAAAAAGAGTGTTTCAAAACCGCTCCATTAAAAGGAATGTTGAACTCTGTGAGTTGAATGCAAACATCACAACTCAGTTTCTGAGAATGCTTCTGACTAGATTTTATGGTAAGATATTTCCTTTTCTACCGTAGGCTTCAATGCCCTCTAAATACACCCTTGCAAATTCTACAAAGAGACTGTTTCATAACTGCTCTATAGGAAGAAAGGTTCAACACTGTGAGTTGAATGCAGAGATCACAACGTGGTTTCTGCGAATGATTCTTTGTAGTTTTTACATGAAGATATTTCGTTGTCAACCGTAGGCTTCAAAGCACTCAAAGTATTCACTTGGAACTTTTACAAAAAGAGTGTTAGAAAACTGCTCTTTCCAAAGTAAGGTTCAACTCTGTGAGTTGAATGCACACATAACAATCAAGAAGTTTCTGAGAATTCTTCTGTCCTGGTTTATATGAAAAAATCCCGTTTCCAACGAAGGCCTCAAAGACGTTTAAATATCCACTTGCAGACTTCACAAACAGAGGGTTTCCAAACTGCTCTATGAAAAGAAAGGTTAAACTCTGTGAGTTTAATACACACATCACAAAGCAGTTTCTGAGAATGATACTGTCTAGTTTTTATACGAAGATATTTCCTTTTGTACCATTGGCCTCATACTGCTAGAATTTTCCACTTGCAAATTCCACAAAAAGAGTGTTTCCAATCCGCTCTGTCTAAAGGAAGGTTCAACTCTCTGATTTGAATACATACATCCCAAAAGAAGTTACTGAGAATTCTTCTGTCTAGCATTATGTGAAGAAATCCCGTTTCCAACGAAAGCCTCAAAGAGGTCCAAATATCCAGTTGCAGAATTTACAAACTGACTGTTTCCAAACTCATCTATGAAAAGAAAGGTTAAACTCTGGGAGTTGAATGCACATATCACAAAGTAGTTCCTGAGAATGATTCTGTCTAGTTTTCATACGAAGATATTTCCTTTTCCACCAATGGCCTCAAAGTGCTTGAAATCTCCCCTTGCAAATTCCACAGACAAGTGTCTCAAATCTGCACTGTCTAAAGGAAGGTTCAACCCTGTGAGTTGAATACACACACACAGAAAAAAATTCACTGAGAATTCTATTGTCTATCATTACACGAAGAAATCCCGTTTACTACGAAGGCCTCAAAGAGGTCCAAATATCCAGCTGCAGACATTACAACCTGAGTGTTTCCAAAGTGCTCTATGAAAAGAAGTGTTAAACACTGTGAGTTCAATGCACACATCCCAAAGCAGTTTCTGAGAATGATTCCGTCTATTTTTTCTACGAAGATATTTCCTTTTCTGCCGTTGGCCTCAAAGCGCTTGAAATCTCCACTTGCAAATTCCACAAAAAGAGAGTTTCAAATCTGCTCTGTCTAAAGGAAGGTTCAACTCTGTGAGTTGAATACACACCACAAAAAGAAGTTACTGAGAATTCTTCTGTCTAGCATTATATGAAAAATCCCGTTTCCAACGAAGGCCACAAAGAGGTCCAAATATCCACTTGCAGATTCTGCAAAAAGAGTGTTTCCAAACTGCTCTATGAAAAGAAACGTTAAACTCTGTGAGTTGAACGCAAACATCACAAAGTAGTTTCTGAGAATGACTCCGTCTAGTTTTTATACGAAGATATTTCCTTTCCTACCATTCACTTCAAAGCGCTTGAAGTCTCCCCCTGAAAATTCCACAAAAAGTGTTTCCAATCTGCTCCGCCTAAAGGAAGCTTCAACTCTGTGACTTGAATACCCACAACCCAAAGAAGTTACTGAGAATTCTTCTGTCTAGCATTATATGAAGAAATCCCGTTTCCAACGAAGGCCTCAAATACATCCAAATATCCAGTTGCTGACTTTACAAACTGAGTGTTTCCAAACTGCTCTATGAAAAGAAAGGTTAAACACTGTGAGTTGAACACACACGTACCAAAGTAGTTTCTGAGAATGATTCTGTCTAGTTTGCATACGAAGATATTTCCTTTTCTACCATTGGCCTCAAAGCTCTGAAATCTCCACTTGCAAATTCCACAAAAAGAGAGTTTCAAATCTGCTGTTTCTAAAGGAAAGTTCAACTCTGAGAGTTGAATACACACCAGAAAAAGCAGTTACTGAGAAGTCTTCTGTCTAGCATTATATGAAGAAATCCCATTTCCAACGAAGACTTCAAAGAGGTCCAAATATCCACTTGCAGATTCTGCAAAAAGAGTGTTTCGAAACAACTGTATGAAAAGAAAGGTTAAACACTGTGAGTTGAACGCACACATTGCAAAGCAGTTTCTGAGAATGATTCCGTCTAATTATTATACGAAGGTATTTCCTTTTCTATCATTGGCCTCAAAGCGCTTGATACCTCCACCTGAAAATTCCACAAAAAGAGTGTTTCCAATCTACTCTGTCTAAAGGAACGTTCAACTCTGTGAGTTGAATACACACACACAGTAAAGAATTCACTGAGAATTCTTCTGTCTGGCATTTACATGAAGAAATCCCGTTTCCAACGAAGGCCTCAAAGAGGTCCAAATATCCACTTGCAGATTCTGCAAATAGAGTGTTTCAAAACCGCTCTATTAAAAGGAATGTTGAACTCTGTGAGTTGAACGCAAACATCACAACTCAGTTTCTGAGAATGCTTCTGTCTAGTTTTTATGGTAAGATATATCTTTTTCTACCGTAGGCTTCAACGCCCTCTAAATACACCCTTGCAAATTCTACAAAGAGAGTGTTTCATAACTGCTCTATAGAAATAAAGGTTGAACACTGTGAGTTGAATGCACAGATCACAACGTGGTTTCTGCGAATGATTCTTTGTAGTTTTTACATGAAGATATTTCGTTGTCAACCGTAGGCTTCAAAGCACTCAAAGTATTCACTTGGAACTTTTACAAAACGAGTGTTAGGAAACTGCTCTTTCCAAAGTAAGGTTCAACTCTGTGAGTTGAATGCACACATAACAATCAAGAAGTTTCTGAGAATTCTTCTGTCCTGGTTTATATGAAAAAATCCCGTTTCCAACGAAGGCCTCAAAGACGTTTAAATATCCACTTGCAGACTTCACAAACAGAGGGTTTCCAAACTGCTCTATGAAAAGAAAGGTTAAACTCTGTGAGTTGAACGCACACTTCACAAAGTAGCTTCTGAGAATGATACTGTCTAGTTTTTATACGAAGATATTTCCTTTCTACCATTGGCGTCAAAGCGCTAGAATTCTCCACTTGCAAATTCCACAAAAAGAGTGTTTCCAATCTGCTCTGTCTAAAGGAAGGTTCAACTCTGTGAGTTGAATACACACACACAAAG
This sequence comes from Homo sapiens, assembly GCF_000001405.40. NCBI lineage: Eukaryota > Metazoa > Chordata > Mammalia > Primates > Hominidae > Homo > Homo sapiens. Next base: position 92,717,043 of record NC_000003.12, on the reverse strand, counting down.
AAGCTACTGAGAATTCTTTTGTCAAGAATTATAAGAAGAAATCCCGTTTCCAACGAAGGCCTCAAAGAGTTCCAAATATCCACTTGCACACTGTACAAACTAAGTCTTTCCAAACTGCTCTATGCAAAGAAATGTTCAACCCTGTGAGTTTAATGCACACATCAGAAAGCAGTTTCTGAGAATGATTCCCTCTAGTTTTTATATGAAGATATCCTTTTCTACCATTGGTCTCAAGGCTCTTGGAATCTCCACCTGAAAATTCCGCAAAAAGCGTGTTTCCAATGCGCTCTGTCTAAAGGAAGGTTCAACTCTCCGAGTTGAATACATACATCCCAAAAGAAGTTACTGCGAATTCTTCTGTCTAGCATTATGTGAAGAAATCCCGTTTCCAACGAACGCCTCAAAGAGGTCCTAATATCCAGTTGCAGAATTTACAAACTGACTGTTTCCAAACTCATCTATGAAAAGAAAGGTTAAACCCTGTGAGTTGAACGCACATATCACAAAGTAGTTCCTGAGAATGATTCTGTCTAGTTTTTATACGAAGATATTTCCTTTTCCACCAATGGCCTCAAAGTGCTTGAAATCTCCCCTTGCAAATTCCACAGAAAAGTGTTTCAAATCTGCACTGTCTGAAGGAAGGTTCAACCCTGTGAGTTGAATACACACACACAGAAAAAAATTCACTGAGAATTCTATTGTCTCTCATTACACGAAGAAATCCCGTTTACTACGAAGGCCTCAAAGAGGTCCAAATATCCAGCTGCAGACATTACAAACTGAGTGTTTCCAAAGTGCTCTATGAAAAGAAGTGTTAAACACTGTGAGTTCAATGCACACATCCCAAAGCAGTTTCTGAGAATGATTCCGTCTATTTTTTCTACGAAGATATTTCCTTTTCTACCGTTGGCCTCAAAGCGCTTGAAATCTCCACTTGCTAATTCCACGAAAAGAGAGTTTCAAATCTGCTCTGTCTAAAGGAAGGTTCAACTCTGTGAGTTGAATACACACCACAAAAAGAAGTTACTGAGAATTCTTCTGTCTAGCATTATATGAAAAATCCCGTTTCCAACGAAGGCCACAAAGAGGTCCAAATATCCACTTGCAGATTCTGCAAAAAGAGTGTTTCCAAACTGCTCTATGAAAAGAAAGGTTAAACTCTGTGAGTTGAACGCAAACATCACAAAGTAGTTTCTGAGAATGACTCCGTCTAGTTTTTATACGAAGATATTTCCTTTTCTAACGTTGGCCTCAAAGCGCTTGAAGTCTCCCCCTGAAAATTCCACAAAAAGTGTTTCCAATCTGCTCCGCCTAAAGGAAGCTTCAGCTCTGTGAGTTGAATACCCACAACCCAAAGAAGTTACTGAGAATTCTTCTGTCTAGCATTACATGAAGAAATCCCGTTTCCAACGAAGGCCTCAAATACATCCAGATATCCAGTTGCTGACTTTACAAACTGAGTGTTTCCAAACTGCTCTATGAAAGGAAAGGTTAAACACTGTGAGTTGAACACACACGTACCAAAGTAGTTTCTGAGAATGATTCTGTCTACTTTGCATACGAAGATATTTCCTTTTCTACCATTGGCCTCAAAGCTTTGAAATCTCCACTTGCAAATTCCACAAAAAGAGAGTTTCAAATCTGCTGTTTCTAAAGGAAAGTTCAACTCTGAGAGTTGAATACACACCAGAAAAAGCAGTAACTGAGAAGTCTTCTGTCTAGCATTATATGAAGAAATCCCATTTCCAACGAAGACTTCAAAGAGGTCCAAATATCCACTTGCAGATTCTGCAAAAAGAGTGTTTCGAAACAACTGTATGAAAAGAAAGATTAAACGCTGTGAGTTGAAGGCACACATTGCAAAGCAGTTTCTGAGAATGATTCCGTCTAATTATTATACGAAGGTATTTCCTTTTCTATCATGGGCCTCAAAGCGCTTGATACCTCCACCTGAAAATTCCACAAAAAGAGTGTTTCCAATCTACTCTGTCTAAAGGAACGTTCAACTCTGTGAGTTGAATACACACACACAGAAAGAATTCACTGAGAGTTCTTCTGTCTGGCATTACATGAAGAAATCCCGTTTCCAACGAAGGCCTCAAAGAGGTCCAAATATTCACTTGCAGATTCTGCAAAAAGAGTGTTTCAAAACCGCTCCATGAAAAGGAGTGTTGAACTCTGTGAGTTGAATGCAAACATCACAACTCAGTTTCTGAGAATGCTTCTGACTAGATTTTATGGTCAGATATTTCCTTTTCTACCGTAGGCTTCAATGCCCTCTAAATACACCCTTGCAAATTCTACAAAGAGACTGTTTAATAACTGCTCTATAGGAAGAAAGGTTGAACTCTGTGAGTTGAATGCAGAGATCACAACGTGGTTTCTGCGAATGATTCTTTGCAGTTTTTGCATGAAGATATTTCGTTGTCTACCGTAGGCTTCAAAGCACTCAAAGTATTCACTTGGAACTTTTACAAAAAGAGTGTTAGAAAACTGCTCTTTCTGAAGTAAGGTTCAACTCTGTGAGTTGAATGCACACATAACAAACAAGAAGTTTCTGAGAATTCTTCTGTCCTGGTTTATATGAAAAAATCCCGTTTCCAACGAAGGCCTCAAAGACGTTTAAATATCCTCTTGCAGACTTCACAAACAGAGTGTTTCCAAACTGCTCTATGAAAAGAAAGGTTAAACTCTGTGAGTTGAACGCACACATCACAAAGTAGTTTCTGAGAATGATACTGTCTAGTTTTTATACGGAGATATTTCCTTTCCTACCATTGGCGTCAAAGCGCTAGAATTCTCCACTTGCAAATTCCACAAAAAGTGGGTTTCCAATCTGCTCTGCCTAAAGGAAGGTTCAACTCTGTGAGTTGAATACACACACACAAAGAAGCTACTGAGAATTCTTTTGTCAAGAATTATAAGAAGAAATCCCGTTTCCAACGAAGGCCTCAAAGAGTTCCAAATATCCACTTGCACACTGTACAAACTAAGTCTTTCCAAACTGCTCTATGCAAAGAAATGTTCAACTCTGTGAGTTTAATGCACACATCACAAAGCAGTTTCTGAGAATGATACTGTCTAGTTTTTATACGAAGATATTTCCTTTTGTACCATTGGCCTTATACTGCTAGAATTTTCCACTTGCAAATTCCACAAAAAGAGTGTTTCCAATCGGCTCTGTCTAAAGGAAGGTTCAACTCTCTGATTTGAATACATACATCCCAAAAGAAGTTACTGAGAATTCTTCTGTCTAGCATTATGTGAAGAAATCCCGTTTCCAACGAAAGCCTCAAAGAGGTCCAAATATCCAGTTGCAGAATTTACAAACTGACTGTTTCCAAACTCATCTATGAAAAGAAAGGTTAAACTCTGGGAGTTGAATGCACATATCACAAAGTAGTTCCTGAGAATGATTCTGTCTAGTTTTCATACGAAGATATTTCCTTTTCCACCAATGGCCTCAAAGTGCTTGAAATCTCCCCTTGCAAATTCCACAGACAAGTGTCTCAAATCTGCACTGTCTAAAGGAAGGTTCAACCCTGTGAGTTGAATACACACACACAGAAAAAAATTCACTGAGAATTCTATTGTCTATCATTACACGAAGAAATCCCGTTTACTACGAAGGCCTCAAAGAGGTCCAAATATCCAGCTGCAGACATTACAACCTGAGTGTTTCCAAAGTGCTCTATGAAAAGAAGTGTTAAACACTGTGAGTTCAATGCACACATCCCAAAGCAGTTTCTGAGAATGATTCCGTCTATTTTTTCTACGAAGATATTTCCTTTTCTGCCGTTGGCCTCAAAGCGCTTGAAATCTCCACTTGCAAATTCCACAAAAAGAGAGTTTCAAATCTGCTCTGTCTAAAGGAAGGTTCAACTCTGTGAGTTGAATACACACCACAAAAAGAAGTTACTGAGAATTCTTCTGTCTAGCATTATATGAAAAATCCCGTTTCCAACGAAGGCCACAAAGAGGTCCAAATATCCACTTGCAGATTCTGCAAAAAGAGTGTTTCCAAACTGCTCTATGAAAAGAAACGTTAAACTCTGTGAGTTGAACGCAAACATCACAAAGTAGTTTCTGAGAATGACTCCGTCTAGTTTTTATACGAAGATATTTCCTTTCCTACCATTCACTTCAAAGCGCTTGAAGTCTCCCCCTGAAAATTCCACAAAAAGTGTTTCCAATCTGCTCCGCCTAAAGGAAGCTTCAACTCTGTGACTTGAATACCCACAACCCAAAGAAGTTACTGAGAATTCTTCTGTCTAGCATTATATGAAGAAATCCCGTTTCCAACGAAGGCCTCAAATACATCCAAATATCCAGTTGCTGACTTTACAAACTGAGTGTTTCCAAACTGCTCTATGAAAAGAAAGGTTAAACACTGTGAGTTGAACACACACGTACCAAAGTAGTTTCTGAGAATGATTCTGTCTAGTTTGCATACGAAGATATTTCCTTTTCTACCATTGGCCTCAAAGCTCTGAAATCTCCACTTGCAAATTCCACAAAAAGAGAGTTTCAAATCTGCTGTTTCTAAAGGAAAGTTCAACTCTGAGAGTTGAATACACACCAGAAAAAGCAGTTACTGAGAAGTCTTCTGTCTAGCATTATATGAAGAAATCCCATTTCCAACGAAGACTTCAAAGAGGTCCAAATATCCACTTGCAGATTCTGCAAAAAGAGTGTTTCGAAACAACTGTATGAAAAGAAAGGTTAAACACTGTGAGTTGAACGCACACATTGCAAAGCGGTTTCTGAGAATGATTCCGTCTAATTCTTATACGAAGGTATTTCCTTTTCTATCATTGGCCTCAAAGCGCTTGATACCTCCACCTGAAAATTCCACAAAAAGAGTGTTTCCAATCTACTCTGTCTAAAGGAACGTTCAACTCTGTGAGTTGAATACACACACACAGAAAGAATTCACTGAGAATTCTTCTGTCTGGCATTACATGAAGAAATCCCGTTTCCAACGAAGGCCTCAAAGAGGTCCAAATATCCACTTGCAGATTCTGCAAAAAGAGTGTTTCAAAACCGCTCCATTAAAAGGAATGTTGAACTCTGTGAGTTGAATGCAAACATCACAACTCAGTTTCTGAGAATGCTTCTGACTAGATTTTATGGTAAGATATTTCCTTTTATACCGTAGGCTTCAATGCCCTCTAAATACACCCTTGCAAATTCTACAAAGAGACTGTTTCATAACTGCTCTATAGGAAGAAAGGTTCAACTCTGTGAGTTGAATGCAGAGATCACAACGTGGTTTCTGCGAATGATTCTTTGTAGTTTTTACATGAAGATATTTCGTTGTCAACCGTAGGCTTCAAAGCACTCAAAGTATTCACTTGGAACTTTTACAAAAAGAGTGTTAGAAAACTGCTCTTTCCAAAGTAAGGTTCAACTCTGTGAGTTGAATGCACACATAACAATCAAGAAGTTTCTGAGAATTCTTCTGTCCTGGTTTATATGAAAAAATCCCGTTTCCAACGAAGGCCTCAAAGACGTTTAAATATCCACTTGCAGACTTCACAAACAGAGGGTTTCCAAACTGCTCTATGAAAAGAAAGGTTAAACTCTGTGAGTTTAATACACACATCACAAAGCAGTTTCTGAGAATGATACTGTCTAGTTTTTATACGAAGATATTTCCTTTTGTACCATTGGCCTCATACTGCTAGAATTTTCCACTTGCAAATTCCACAAAAAGAGTGTTTCCAATCCGCTCTGTCTAAAGGAAGGTTCAACTCTCTGATTTGAATACATACATCCCAAAAGAAGTTACTGAGAATTCTTCTGTCTAGCATTATGTGAAGAAATCCCGTTTCCAATGAAAGCCTCAAAGAGGTCCAAATATCCAGTTGCAGAATTTACAAACTGACTGTTTCCAAACTCATCTATGAAAAGAAAGGTTAAACTCTGTGAGTTGAATGCACATATCACAAAGTAGTTCCTGAGAATGATTTCTGTCTAGTTTTCATACGAAGATATTTCCTTTTCCACCAATGGCCTCAAAGTGCTTGAAATCTCCCCTTGCAAATTCCACAGACAAGTGTTTCAAATCTGCACTGTCTAAAGGAAGGTTCAACCCTGTGAGTTGAATATACACACACAGAAAAAAATTCACTGAGAATTCTATTGTCTATCATTACACGAAGAAATCCCGTTTACCACGAAGGCCTCAAAGAGGTCCAAATATCCAGCTGCAGACATTACAACCTGAGTGTTTCCAAAGTGCTCTATGAAAAGAAGTGTTAAACACTGTGAGTTCAATGCACACATCCCAAAGCAGTTTCTGAGAATGATTCCGTCTATTTTTTCTACGAAGATATTTCCTTTTCTGCCGTTGGCCTCAAAGCGCTTGAAATCTCCACTTGCAAATTCCACAAAAAGAGAGTTTCAAATCTGCTCTGTCTAAAGGAAGGTTCAACTCTGTGAGTTGAATACACACCACAAAAAGAAGTTACTGAGAATTCTTCTGTCTAGCATTATATGAAAAATCCCGTTTCCAACGAAGGCCACAAAGAGGTCCAAATATCCACTTGCAGATTCTGCAAAAAGAGTGTTTCCAAACTGCTCTATGAAAAGAAACGTTAAACTCTGTGAGTTGAACGCAAACATCACAAAGTAGTTTCTGAGAATGACTCCGTCTAGTTTTTATACGAAGATATTTCCTTTTCTACCATTCACTTCAAAGCGCTTGAAGTCTCCCCCTGAAAATTCCACAAAAAGTGTTTCCAATCTGCTCCGCCTAAAGGAAGCTTCAACTCTGTGAGTTGAATACCCACAACCCAAAGAAGTTACTGAGAATTCTTCTGTCTAGCACTATATGAAGAAATCCCGTTTCCAACGAAGGCCTCAAATACATCCAAATATCCAGTTGCTGACTTTACAAACTGAGTGTTTCCAAACTGCTCTATGAAAAGAAAGGTTAAACACTGTGAGTTGAACACACACGTACCAAAGTAGTTTCTGAGAATGATTCTGTCTAGTTTGCATACGAAGATATTTCCTTTTCTACCATTGGCCTCAAAGCTCTGAAATCTCCACTTGCAAATTCCACAAAAAGAGAGTTTCAAATCTGCTGTTTCTAAAGGAAAGTTCAACTCTGAGAGTTGAATACACACCAGAAAAAGCAGTTACTGAGAAGTCTTCTGTCTAGCATTATATGAAGAAATCCCATTTCCAACGAAGACTTCAAAGAGGTCCAAATATCCACTTGCAGATTCTGCAAAAAGAGTGTTTCGAAACAACTGTATGAAAAGAAAGGTTAAACACTGTGAGTTGAACGCACACATTGCAAAGCAGTTTCTGAGAATGATTCCGTCTAATTATTATACGAAGGTATTTCCTTTTCTATCATTGGCCTCAAAGCGCTTGATACCTCCACCTGAAAATTCCACAAAAAGAGTGTTTCCAATCTACTCTGTCTAAAGGAACGTTCAACTCTGTGAGTTGAATACACACACACAGAAAGAATTCACTGAGAATTCTTCTGTCTGGCATTACATGAAGAAATCCCGTTTCCAACGAAGGCCTCAAAGAGGTCCAAATATCCACTTGCAGATTCTGCAAAAAGAGTGTTTCAAAACCGCTCCATTAAAAGGAATGTTGAACTCTGTGAGTTGAATGGAAACATCACAACTCAGTTGCTGAGAATGCTTCTGACTAGATTTTATGGTAAGATATTTCCTTTTCTACCGTAGGCTTCAATGCCCTCTAAATACACCCTTGCAAATTCTACAAAGAGACTGTTTCATAACTGCTCTATAGGAAGAAAGGTTCAACTCTGTGAGTTGAATGCAGAGATCACAACGTGGTTTCTGCGAATGATTCTTTGTAGTTTTTACATGAAGATATTTCGTTGTCAACCGTAGGCTTCAAAGCACTCAAAGTATTCACTTGGAACTTTTACAAAAAGAGTGTTAGGAAACTGCTCTTTCCAAAGTAAGGTTCAACTCTGTGAGTTGAATGCACACATAACAATCAAGAAGTTTCTGAGAATTCTTCTGTCCTGGTTTATATGAACAAATCCCGTTTCCAACGAAGGCCTCAAAGACGTTTAAATATCCACTTGCAGACTTCACAAACAGAGTGTTTCCAAACTGCTCTATGAAAAGAAAGGTTAAACTCTGTGAGTTGAATGCACACATCACAAAGTAGTTTCTGAGAATGATACTGTCTAGTTTTTATACGAAGATATTTCCTTTCTACCATTGGCGTCAAAGCGCTAGAATTCTCCACTTGCAAATTCCACAAAAAGAGTGTTTCCAATCTGCTCTGTCTAAAGGAAGGTTCAACTCTGTGAGTTGAATACACACACACAAAGAAGCTACTGAGAATTCTTTTGTCAAGAATTATAAGAAGAAATCCCGTTTCCAACGAAGGCCTCAAAGAGTTCCAAATATCCACTTGCACACTGCACAAACTAAGTCTTTCCAAACTGCTCTATGCAAAGAAATGTTCAACTCTGTGAGTTTAATACACACATCACAAAGCAGTTTCTGAGAATGATACTGTCTAGTTTTTATACGAAGATATTTCCTTTTGTACCATTGGCCTCATACTGCTAGAATTTTCCACTTGCAAATTCCACAAAAAGAGTGTTTCCAATCCGCTCTGTCTAAAGGAAGGTTCAACTCTCTGATTTGAATACATACATCCCAAAAGAAGTTACTGAGAATTCTTCTGTCTAGCATTATGTGAAGAAATCCCGTTTCCAACGAAAGCCTCAAAGAGGTCCAAATATCCAGTTGCAGAATTTACAAACTGACTGTTTCCAAACTCATCTATGAAAAGAAAGGTTAAACTCTGTGAGTTGAATGCACATATCACAAAGTAGTTCCTGAGAATGATTCTGTCTAGTTTTTATACGAAGATATTTCCTTTTCCACCAATGGCCTCAAAGTGCTTGAAATCTCCCCTTGCAAATTCCACAGACAAGTGTTTCAAATCTGCACTGTCTAAAGGAAGGTTCAACCCTGTGAGTTGAATACACACACACAGAAAAAAATTCACTGAGAATTCTATTGTCTATCATTACACGAAGAAATCCCGTTTACTACGAAGGCCTCAAAGAGGTCCAAATATCCAGCTGCAGACATTACAAACTGAGTGTTTCCAAAGTGCTCTATGAAAAGAAGTGTTAAACACTGTGAGTTCAATGCACACATCCCAAAGCAGTTTCTGAGAATGATTCCGTCTATTTTTTCTACGAAGATATTTACTTTTCTACCGTTGGCCTCAAAGCGCTTGAAATCTCCACTTGCAAATTCCACAAAAAGAGAGTTTCAAATCTGCTCTGTCTAAAGGAAGGTTCAACTCTGTGAGTTGAATACACACCACAAAAAGAAGTTACTGAGAATTCTTCTGTCTAGCATTATATGAAAAATCCCGTTTCTAACGAAGGCCACAAAGAGGTCCAAATATCCACTTGCAGATTCTGCAAAAAGAGTGTTTCCAAACTGCTCTATGAAAAGAAACGTTAAACTCTGTGAGTTGAACGCAAACATCACAAAGTAGTTTCTGAGAATGACTCCGTCTAGTTTTTATACGAAGATATTTCCTTTCCTACCATTCACTTCAAAGCGCTTGAAGTCTCCCCCTGAAAATTCCACAAAAAGTGTTTCCAATCTGCTCCGCCTAAAGGAAGCTTCAACTCTGTGAGTTGAATACCCACAACCCAAAGAAGTTACTGAGAATTCTTCTGTCTAGCATTATATGAAGAAATCCCGTTTCCAACGAAGGCCTCAAATACATCCAAATATCCAGTTGCTGACTTTACAAACTGAGTGTTTCCAAACTGCTCTATGAAAAGAAAGGTTAAACACTGTGAGTTGAACACACACGTACCAAAGTAGTTTCTGAGAATGATTCTGTCTAGTTTGCATACGAAGATATTTCCTTTTCTACCATTGGCCTCAAAGCTCTGAAATCTCCACTTGCAAATTCCACAAAAAGAGAGTTTCAAATCTGCTGTTTCTAAAGGAAAGTTCAACTCTGGGAGTTGAATACACACCAGAAAAAGCAGTTACTGAGAAGTCTTCTGTCTAGCATTATATGAAGAAATCCCATTTCCAACGAAGACTTCAAAGAGGTCCAAATATCCACTTGCAGATTCTGCAAAAAGAGTGTTTCGAAACAACTGTATGAAAAGAAAGGTTAAACACTGTGAGTTGAACGCACACATTGCAAAGCAGTTTCTGAGAATGATTCCGTCTAATTATTATACGAAGGTATTTCCTTTTCTATCATTGGCCTCAAAGCGCTTGATACCTCCACCTGAAAATTCCACAAAAAGAGTGTTTCCAATCTACTCTGTCTAAAGGAACGTTCAACTCTGTGAGTTGAATACACACACACAGAAAGAATTCACTGAGAATTCTTCTGTCTGGCATTACATGAAGAAATCCCGTTTCCAACGAAGGCCTCAAAGAGGTCCAAATATCCACTTGCAGATTCTGCAAAAAGAGTGTTTCAAAACCGCTCCATTAAAAGGAATGTTGAACTCTGTGAGTTGAATGCAAACATCACAACTCAGTTTCTGAGAATGCTTCTGACTAGATTTTATGGTAAGATATTTCCTTTTCTACCGTAGGCTTCAATGCCCTCTAAATACACCCTTGCAAATTCTACAAAGAGACTGTTTCATAACTGCTCTATAGGAAGAAAGGTTGAACTCTGTGAGTTGAATGCAGAGATCACAACGTGGTTTCTGCGAATGATTCTTCGCAGTTTTTACATGAAGATATTTCGTTGTCTACCGTAGGCTTCAAAGCACTCAAAGTATTCTCTTGGAACTTTTACAAAAAGAGTGTTAGAAAACTGCTCTTTCCAAAGTAAGGTTCAACTCTGTGAGTTGAATGCACACATAACAAACAAGAAGTTTCTGAGAATTCTTCTGTCCTGGTTTATATGAAAAAATCCCGTTTCCAACGAAGGCCTCAAAGACGTTTAAATATCCACTTGCAGACTTCACAAACAGAGTGTTTCCAAACTGCTCTATGAAAAGAAAGGTTAAACTCTGTGAGTTGAACGCACACATCACAAAGTAGTTTCTGAGAATGATACTGTCCTGTTTTTATACGAAGATATTTCCTTTCCTACCATTGGCGTCAAAGCGCTAGAATTCTCCACTTGCAAATTCCACAAAAAGAGTGTTTCCAATCTGCTCTGTCTAAAGGAAGGTTCAACTCTGTGAGTTGAATACACACACACAAAGAAGCTACTGAGAATTCTTTTGTCAAGAAGTATAAGAAGAAATCCTGTTTCCAACGAAGGCCTCAAAGAGTTCCAAATATCCACTTGCACGCTGTACAAACTAAGTCTTTCCAAACTGCTCTATGCAAAGAAATGTTCAACCCTGTGAGATTAATGCACACATCACAAAGCAGTCTCTGAGAATGATTCCCTCTACTTTGTATACGAAGATAGCCTTTTCTACCATTGGCCTCAAGGCTCTTGGAATCGCCACCTGAAAATTCCGCAAAAAGCGTGTTTCCAATCGGCTCTGTCTAAAGGAAGGTTCAACTCTCTGAGTTGAATACATACATCCCAAAGGAAGTTACTGCGAATTCTTCTGTCTAGCATTATGTGAAGAAATCCCGTTTCCAACGAAAGCCTCAAAGAGGTCCAAATATCCAGTTGCAGAATTTACAAACTGACTGTTTCCAAACTCATCTATGAAAAGAAAGGTTAAACTCTGTGAGTTGAATGCACATATCACAAAGTAGTTCCTGACAATGATTCTGTCTAGTTTTTATACGAAGATATTTCCTTTTCCACCAATGGCCTCAAAGTGCTTGAAATCTCCCCTTGCAAATTCCACAGAAAAGTGTTTCAAATCTGCACTGTCTGAAGGAAGGTTCAAACCTGTGAGTTGAATACACACACACAGAAAAAAATTCACTGAGAATTCTATTGTCTATCATTACACGAAGAAATGCCGTTTACAACGAAGGCCTCAAAGAGGTCCAAATATCCAGCTGCAGACATTACAAACTGAGTGTTTCCAAAGTGCTCTATGAAAAGAAGTGTTAAACACTGTGAGTTCAATGCACACATCCCAAAGCAGTTTCTGAGAATGATTCCGTCTATTTTTTCTACGAAGATATTTCCTTTTCTGCCGTTGGCCTCAAAGCGCTTGAAATCTCCACTTGCAAATTACACAAAAAGAGAGTTTCAAATCTGCTCTGTCTAAAGGAAGGTTCAACTCTGTGAGTTGAATACACACCACAAAAAGAAGTTACTGAGAATTCTTCTCTCTAGCATTATATGAAAAATCCCGTTTCCAACGAAGGCCACAAAGAGGTCCAAATATCCACTTGCAGATTCTGCAAAAAGAGTGTTTCCAAACTGCTCTATGAAAAGAAACGTTAAACTCTGTGAGTTGAACGCAAACATCACAAAGTAGTTTCTGAGAATGACTCCGTCTAGTTTTTATACGAAGATATTTCCTTTCCTACCATTCACTTCAAAGCGCTTGAAGTCTCCCCCTGAAAATTCCACAAAAAGTGTTTCCAATCTGCTCCGCCTAAAGGTAGCTTCAACTCTGTGAGTTGAATACCCACAACCCAAAGAAGTTACTGAGAATTCTTCTGTCTAGCATTATATGAAGAAATCCCGTTTCCAACGAAGGCCTCAAATACATCCAAATATCCAGTTGCTGACTTTACAAACTGAGTGTTTCCAAACTGCTCTATGAAAAGAAAGGTTAAACACTGTGAGTTGAACACACACGTACCAAAGTAGTTTCTGAGAATGATTCTGTCTAGTTTGCATACGAAGATATTTCCTTTTCTACCATTGGCCTCAAAGCTCTGAAATCTCCACTTGCAAATTCCACAAAAAGAGAGTTTCAAATCTGCTGTTTCTAAAGGAAAGTTCAACTCTGAGAGTTGAATACACACCAGAAAAAGCAGTTACTGAGAAGTCTTCTGTCTAGCATTATATGAAGAAATCCCATTTCCAACGAAGACTTCAAAGAGGTCCAAATATCCACTTGCAGATTCTGCAAAAAGAGTGTTTCGAAACAACTGTATGAAAAGAAAGGTTAAACACTGTGAGTTGAACGCACACATTGCAAAGCGGTTTCTGAGAATGATTCCGTCTAATTATTATACGAAGGGTATTTCCTTTTCTATCATTGGCCTCAAAGCGCTTGATACCTCCACCTGAAAATTCCACAAAAAGAGTGTTTCCAATCTACTCTGTCTAAAGGAACGTTCAACTCCGTGAGTTGAATACACACACACAGAAAGAATTCACTGAGAATTCTTCTGTCTGGCATTACATGAAGAAATCCCGTTTCCAACGAAGGCCTCAAAGAGGTCCAAATATCCACTTGCAGATTCTGCAAAAAGAGTGTTTCAAAACCGCTCCATTAAAAGGAATGTTGAACTCTGTGAGTTGAATGCAAACATCACAACTCAGTTTCTGAGAATGCTTCTGACTAGATTTTATGGTAAGATATTTCCTTTTCTACCGTAGGCTTCAATGCCCTGTAAATACACCCTTGCAAATTCTACAAAGAGACTGTTTCATAACTGCTCTATTGGAGGAAAGGTTCAACTCTGTGAGTTGAATGCAGAGATCACAACGTGGTTTCTGCGAATGATTCTTTGTAGTTTTTACATGAAGATATTTCGTTGTCTACCGTAGGCTTCAAAGCACTCAAAGTATTCACTTGGAACTTTTACAAAAAGAGTGTTAGAAAACTGCTCTTTCCAAAGTAAGGTTCAACTCTGTGAGTTGAATGCACACATAACAAACAAGAAGTTTCTGAGAATTCTTCTGTCCTGGTTTATAGGAAGAAATCCCGTTTCCAACGAAGGCCTCAAAGACGTTTAAATATCCACTTGCAGACTTCACAAACAGAGTGTTTCCAAACTGCTCTATGAAAAGAAAGGGTAAACACTGTGAGTTGAACGCACACATCACAAAGTAGTTTCTGAGAATGATACTGTCTAGTTTTTATACGAAGATATTTCCTTTTGTACCATTGGCCTCATACTGCTAGAATTTTCCACTTGCAAATTCCACAAAAAGAGTGTTTCCAATCCGCTCTGTCTAAAGGAAGGTTCAACTCTCTGATTTGAATACATACATCCCAAAAGAAGTTACTGAGAATTCTTCTGTCTAGCATTATGTGAAGAAATCCCGTTTCCAACGAAAGCCTCAAAGAGGCCCAAATATCCAGTTGCAGCATTTACAAACTGACTGTTTCCAAACTCATCTATGAAAAGAAAGGTTAAACTCTGTGAGTTGAATGCACATATCACAAAGTAGTTCCTGAGAATGATTCTGTCTAGTTTTTATACGAAGATATTTCCTTTTCCACCAATGGCCTCAAAGTGCTTGAAATCTCCCCTTGCAAATTCCACAGACAAGTGTCTCAAATCTGCACTGTCTAAAGGAAGGTTCAACCCTGTGAGTTGAATACACACACACAGAAAAAAATTCACTGAGAATTCTATTGTCTATCATTACACGAAGAAATCCCGTTTACTACGAAGGCCTCAAAGAGGTCCAAATATCCAGCTGCAGACATTACAAACTGAGTGTTTCCAAAGTGCTCTATGAAAAGAAGTGTTAAACACTGTGAGTTCAATGCACACATCCCAAAGCAGTTTCTGAGAATGATTCCGTCTATTTTCTCTACGAAGATATTTCCTTTTCTGCCGTTGGCCTCAAAGCGCTTGAAATCTCCACTTGCAAATTCCACAAAAAGAGAGTTTCAAATCTGCTCTGTCTAAAGGAAGGTTCAACTCTGTGAGTTGAATACACACCACAAAAAGAAGTTACTGAGAATTCTTCTGTCTAGCATTATATGAAAAATCCCGTTTCCAACGAAGGCCACAAAGAGGTCCAAATATCCACTTGCAGATTCTGCAAAAAGAGTGTTTCCAAACTGCTCTATGAAAAGAAACGTTAAACTCTGTGAGTTGAACGCAAACATCACAAAGTAGTTTCTGAGAATGACTCCGTCTAGTTTTTATACGAAGATATTTCCTTTCCTACCATTCACTTCAAAGCGCTTGAAGTCTCCCCCTGAAAATTCCACAAAAAGTGTTTCCAATCTGCTCCGCCTAAAGGAAGCTTCAACTCTGTGACTTGAATACCCACAACCCAAAGAAAGAAGTTACTGAGAATTCTTCTGTCTAGCATTATATGAAGAAATCCCGTTTCCAACGAAGGCCTCAAATACATCCAAATATCCAGTTGCTGACTTTACAAACTGAGTGTTTCCAAACTGCTCTATGAAAAGAAAGGTTAAACACTGTGAGTTGAACACACACGTACCAAAGTAGTTTCTGAGAATGATTCTGTCTAGTTTGCATACGAAGATATTTCCTTTTCTACCATTGGCCTCAAAGCTCTGAAATCTCCACTTGCGAATTCCACAAAAAGAGAGTTTCAAATCTGCTGTTTCTAAAGGAAAGTTCAACTCTGAGAGTTGAATACACACCAGAAAAAGCAGTTACTGAGAAGTCTTCTGTCTAGCATTATATGAAGAAATCCCATTTCCAACGAAGACTTCAAAGAGGTCCAAATATCCACTTGCAGATTCTGCAAAAAGAGTGTTTCGAAACAACTGTATGAAAAGAAAGGTTAAACACTGTGAGTTGAACGCACACATTGCAAAGCAGTTTCTGAGAATGATTCCGTCTAATTATTATACGAAGGTATTTCCTTTTCTATCATTGGCCTCAAAGCGCTTGATACCTCCACCTGAAAATTCCACAAAAAGAGTGTTTCCAATCTACTCTGTCTAAAGGAACGTTCAACTCTGTGAGTTGAATACACACACACAGAAAGAATTCACTGAGAATTACTCTGTCTGGCATTACATGAAGAAATCCCGTTTCCAACGAAGGCCTCAAAGAGGTCCAAATATCCACTTGCAGATTCTGCAAAAAGAGTGTTTCAAAACCGCTCCATTAAAAGGAATGTTGAACTCTGTGAGTTGAATGCAAACATCACAACTCAGTTACTGAGAATGCTTCTGAGTAGATTTTATGGTAAGATATTTCCTTTTCTACCGTAGGCTTCAATGCCCTCTAAATACACCCTTGCAAATTCTACAAAGAGACTGTTTCATAACTGCTCTACAGGAAGAAAGGTTCAACTCTGTGAGTTGAATGCAGAGATCACAACGTGGTTTCTGCGAATGATTCTTTGTAGTTTTTACATGAAGATATTTCGTTGTCAACCGTAGGCTTCAAAGCACTCAAAGTATTCACTTGGAACTTTTACAAAAAGAGTGTTAGAAAACTGCTCTTTCCAAAGTAAGGTTCAACTCTGTGAGTTGAATGCACACATAACAATCAAGAAGTTTCTGAGAATTCTTCTGTCCTGGTTTATATGAAAAAATCCCGTTTCCAACGAAGGCCTCAAAGACGTTTAAATATCCACTTGCAGACTTCACAAACAGAGGGTTTCCAAACTGCTCTATGAAAAGAAAGGTTAAACTCTGTGAGTTGAACGCACACATCACAAAGTAGCTTCTGAGAATGATACTGTCTAGTTTTTATACGAAGATATTTCCTTTCTACCATTGGCGTCAAAGCGCTAGAATTCTCCACTTGCAAATTCCACAAAAAGAGTGTTTCCAATCTGCTCTGTCTAAAGGAAGGTTCAACTCTGTGAGTTGAATACACACACACAAAGAAGCTACTGAGAATTCTTTTGTCAAGAATTATAAGAAGAAATCCCGTTTCCAACGAAGGCCTCAAAGTAGTTCCAAATATCCACTTGCACACTGCACAAACTAAGTCTTTCCAAACTGCTCTATGCAAAGAAATGTTCAACTCTGTGAGTTTAATACACACATCGCAAAGCAGTTTCTGAGAATGATACTGTCTAGTTTTTATACGAAGATATTTCCTTTTGTACCATTGGCCTCATACTGCTAGAATTTTCCACTTGCAAATTCCACAAAAAGAGTGTTTCCAATCCGCTCTGTCTAAAGGAAGGTTCAACTCTCTGATTTGAATACATACATCCCAAAAGAAGTTACTGAGAATTCTTCTGTCTAGCATTATGTGAAGAAATCCCGTTTCCAACGAAAGCCTCAAAGAGGTCCAAATATCCAGTTGCAGAATTTACAAACTGACTGTTTCCAAACTCATCTATGAAAAGAAAGGTTAAACTCTGTGAGTTGAATGCACATATCACAAAATAGTTCCTGAGAATGATTCTGTCTAGTTTTCATACGAAGATATTTCCTTTTCCACCAATGGCCTCAAAGTGCTTGAAATCTCCCCTTGCAAATTCCACAGACAAGTGTTTCAAATCTGCACTGTCTAAAGGAAGGTTCAACCCTGTGAGTTGAATACACACACACAGAAACAAATTCACTGAGAATTCTATTGTCTATCATTACACGAAGAAATCCCGTTTACTACGAAGGCCTCAAAGAGGTCCAAATATCCAGCTGCAGACATTACAAACTGAGTGTTTCCAAAGTGCTCTATGAAAAGAAGTGTTAAACACTGTGAGTTCAATGCACACATCCCAAAGCAGTTTCTGAGAATGATTCCGTCTATTTTTTCTACGAAGATATTTCCTTTTCTGCCGTTGGCCTCAAAGCGCTTGAAATCTCCACTTGCAAATTCCACAAAAAGAGAGTTTCAAATCTGCTCTGTCTAAAGGAAGGTTCAACTCTGTGAGTTGAATACACACCACAAAAAGAAGTTACTGAGAATTCTTCTGTCTAGCATTATATGAAAAATCCCGTTTCCAACGACAGGCCACAAAGAGGTCCAAATATCCACTTGCAGATTCTGCAAAAAGAGTGTTTCCAAACTGCTCTATGAAAAGAAACGTTAAACTCTGTGAGTTGAACGCAAACATCACAAAGTAGTTTCTGAGAATGACTCCGTCTAGTTTTTATACGAAGATATTTCCTTTCCTACCATTCACTTCAAAGCGCTTGAAGTCTCCCCCTGAAAATTCCACAAAAAGTGTTTCCAATCTGCTCCGCCTAAAGGAAGCTTCAACTCTGTGAGTTGAATACCCACAACCCAAAGAAGTTACTGAGAATTCTTCTGTCTAGCATTATATGAAGAAATCCCGTTTCCAACGAAGGCCTCAAATACATCCAAATATCCAGTTGCTGACTTTGCAAACTGAGTGTTTCCAAACTGCTCTATGAAAAGAAAGGTTAAACACTGTGAGTTGAACACACACGTACCAAAGTAGTTTCTGAGAATGATTCTGTCTAGTTTGCATACGAAGATATTTCCTTTTCTACCATTGGCCTCAAAGCTCTGAAATCTCCACTTGCAAATTCCACAAAAAGAGAGTTTCAACTCTGCTGTTTCTAAAGGAAAGTTCAACTCTGAGAGTTGAATACACACCAGAAAAAGCAGTTACTGAGAAGTCTTCTGTCTAGCATTATATGAAGAAATCCCATTTCCAACGAAGACTTCAAAGAGGTCCAAATATCCACTTGCAGATTCTGCAAAAAGAGTGTTTCGAAACAACTGTATGAAAAGAAAGGTTAAACACTGTGAGTTGAACGCACACATTGCAAAGCGGTTTCTGAGAATGATTCCGTCTAATTATTATACGAAGGTATTTCCTTTTCTATCATTGGCCTCAAAGCGCTTGATACCTCCACCTGAAAATTCCACAAAAAGAGTGTTTCCAATCTACTCTGTCTAAAGGAACGTTCAACTCTGTGAGTTGAATACACACACACAGAAAGAATTCACTGAGAATTCTTCTGTCTGGCATTACATGAAGAAATCCCGTTTCCAACGAAGGCCTCAAAGAGGTCCAAATATCCACTTGCAGATTCTGCAAAAAGAGTGTTTCAAAACCGCTCCATGAAAAGGAATGTTGAACTCTGTGAGTTGAATGCAAACATCACAACTCAGTTGCTGAGAATGCTTCTGACTAGATTTTATGGTAAGATATTTCCTTTTCTACCGTAGGCTTCAATGCCCTCTAAATACACCCTTGCAAATTCTACAAAGAGACTGTTTCATAACTGCTCTATAGGGAGAAAGGTTCAACTCTGTGAGTTGAATGCAGAGATCACAACGTGGTTTCTGCGAATGATTCTTTGTAGTTTTTACATGAAGATATTTCGTTGTCAACCGTAGGCTTCAAAGCACTCAAAGTATTCACTTGGAACTTTTACAAAAAGAGTGTTAGAAAACTGCTCTTTCCAAAGTAAGGTTCAACTCTGTGAGTTGAATGCACACATAACAATCAAGAAGTTTCTGAGAATTCTTCTGTCCTGGTTTATATGAAAAAATCCCGTTTCCAACGAAGGCCTCAAAGACGTTTAAATATCCACTTGCAGACTTCACAAACAGAGTGTTTCCAAACTGCTCTATGAAAAGAAAGGTTAAACTCTGTGAGTTGAACGCACACATCACAAAGTAGCTTCTGAGAATGATACTGTCTAGTTTTTATACGAAGATATTTCCTTTTGTACCATTGGCCTCATACTGCTAGAATTTTCCACTTGCAAATTCCACAAAAAGAGTGTTTCCAATCTGCTCTGTCTAAAGGAAGGTTCAACTCTGTGAGTTGGGTACACACACACAAAGAAGCTACTGAGAATTCTTTTGTCAAGAATTATAAGAAGAAATCCCGTTTCCAACCAAGGCCTCAAAGAGTTCCAAATATCCACTTGCACACTGCACAAACTAAGTCTTTCCATACTGCTCTATGCAAAGAAATGTTCAAATCTGTGAGTTTAATACACACATCACAAAGCAGTTTCTGAGAATGATACTGTCTAGTTTTTATACGAAGATATTTCCTTTTGTACCATTGGCCTCATACTGCTAGAATTTTCCACTTGCAAATTCCACAAAAAGAGTGTTTCCAATCCGCTCTGTCTAAAGGAAGGTTCAACTCTCTGATTTGAATACATACATCCCAAAAGAAGTTACTGAGAATTCTTCTGTCTAGCATTATGTGAAGAAATCCCGTTTCCAACGAAAGCCTCAAAGAGGCCCAAATATCCAGTTGCAGCATTTACAAACTGACTGTTTCCAAACTCATCTATGAAAAGAAAGGTTAAACTCTGTGAGTTGAATGCACATATCACAAAGTAGTTCCTGAGAATGATTCTGTCTAGTTTTTATACGAAGATATTTCCTTTTCCACCAATGGCCTCAAAGTGCTTGAAATCTCCCCTTGCAAATTCCACAGACAAGTGTCTCAAATCTGCACTGTCTAAAGGAAGGTTCAACCCTGTGAGTTGAATACACACACACAGAAAAAAATTCACTGAGAATTCTATTGTCTATCATTACCCGAAGAAATCCCGTTTACTACGAAGGCCTCAAAGAGGTCCAAATATCCAGCTGCAGACATTACAAACTGAGTGTTTCCAAAGTGCTCTATGAAAAGAAGTGTTAAACACTGTGAGTTCAATGCACACATCCCAAAGCAGTTTCTGAGAATGATTCCGTCTATTTTTTCTACGAAGATATTTCCTTTTCTACCGTTGGCCTCAAAGCGCTTGAAATCTCCACTTGCAAATTCCACAAAAAGAGAGTTTCAAATCTGCTCTGTCTAAAGGAAGGTTCAACTCTGTGAGTTGAATACACACCACAAAAAGAAGTTACTGAGAATTCTTCTGTCTAGCATTATATGAAAAATCCCGTTTCCAACGAAGGCCACAAAGAGGTCCAAATATCCACTTGTAGATTCTGCAAAAAGAGTGTTTCCAAACTGCTCTATGAAAAGAAACGTTAAACTCTGTGAGTTGAACGCAAACATCACAAAGTAGTTTCTGAGAATGACTCCGTCTAGTTTTTATACGAAGATATTTCCTTTCCTACCATTCACTTCAAAGCGCTTGAAGTCTCCCCCTGAAAATTCCACAAAAAGTGTTTCCAATCTGCTCCGCCTAAAGGAAGCTTCAACTCTGTGAGTTGAATACCCACAACCCAAAGAAGTTACTGAGAATTCTTCTGTCTAGCATTATATGAAGAAATCCCGTTTCCAACGAAGGCCTCAAATACATCCAAATATCCAGTTGCTGACTTTACAAACTGAGTGTTTCCAAACTGCTCTATGAAAAGAAAGGTTAAACACTGTGACTTGAACACACACGTACCAAAGTAGTTTCTGAGAATGATTCTGTCTAGTTTGCATACGAAGATATTTCCTTTTCTACCATTGGCCTCAAAGCTTTGAAATCTCCACTTGCAAATTCCACAAAAAGAGAGTTTCAACTCTGCTGTTTCTAAAGGAAAGTTCAACTCTGAGAGTTGAATACACACCAGAAAAAGCAGTTACTGAGAAGTCTTCTGTCTAGCATTATATGAAGAAATCCCATTTCCAACGAAGACTTCAAAGAGGTCCAAATATCCACTTGCAGATTCTGCAAAAAGAGTGTTTCGAAACAACTGTATGAAAAGAAAGGTTAAACACTGTGAGTTGAACGCACACATTGCAAAGCAGTTTCTGAGAATGATTCCGTCTAATTATTATACGAAGGTATTTCCTTTTCTATCATTGGCCTCAAAGCGCTTGATACCTCCACCTGAAAATTCCACAAAAAGAGTGTTTCCAATCTACTCTGTCTAAAGGAACGTTCAACTCCGTGAGTTGAATACACACACACAGAAAGAATTCACTGAGAATTCTTCTGTCTGGCATTACATGAAGAAATCCCGTTTCCAACGAAGGCCTCAAAGAGGTCCAAATATCCACTTGCAGATTCTGCAAAAAGAGTGTTTAAAAACCGCTCCATTAAAAGGAATGTTGAACTCTGTGAGTTGAATGCAAACATCACAACTCAGTTTCTGAGAATGCTTCTGACTAGATTTTATGGTAAGATATTTCCTTTTCTACCGTAGGCTTCAATGCCCTGTAAATACACCCTTGCAAATTCTACAAAGAGACTGTTTCATAACTGCTCTATAGGAGGAAAGGTTCAACTCTGTGAGTTGAATGCAGAGATCACAACGTGGTTTCTGCGAATGATTCTTTGTAGTTTTTACATGAAGATATTTCGTTGTCTACCGTAGGCTTCAAAGCATTCAAAGTATTCACTTGGAACTTTTACAAAAAGAGTGTTAGAAAACTGCTCTTTCCAAAGTAAGGTTCAACTCTGTGAGTTGAATGCACACATAACAAACAAGAAGTTTCTGAGAATTCTTCTGTCCTGGTTTATATGAAGAAATCCCGTTTCCAACGAAGGCCTCAAAGACGTTTAAATATCCACTTGCAGACTTCACAAACAGAGTGTTTCCAAACTGCTCTATGAAAAGAAAGGGTAAACACTGTGAGTTGAACGCACACCTCACAAAGTAGTTTCTGAGAATGATACTGTCTAGTTTTTATACGAAGATATTTCCTTTTGTACCATTGGCCTCATACTGCTAGAATTTTCCACTTGCAAATTCCACAAAAAGAGTGTTTCCAATCTGCTCTGTCTAAAGGAAGGTTCAACTCTGTGAGTTGAGTACACACACACAAAGAAGCTACTGAGAATTCTTTTGTCAAGAATTATAAGAAGAAATCCCGTTTCCAACCAAGGCCTCAAAGAGTTCCAAATATCCACTTGCACACTGCACAAACTAAGTCTTTCCATACTGCTCTATGCAAAGAAATGTTCAACTCTGTGAGTTTAATACACACATCACAAAGCAGTTTCTGAGAATGATACTGTCTAGTTTTTATACGAAGATATTTCCTTTTGTACCATTGGCCTCATACTGCTAGAATTTTCCACTTGCAAATTCCACAAAAAGAGTGTTTCCAATCCGCTCTGTCTAAAGGAAGGTTCAACTCTCTGATTTGAATACATACATCCCAAAAGAAGTTACTGAGAATTCTTCTGTCTAGCATTATGTGAAGAAATCCCGTTTCCAACGAAAGCCTCAAAGAGGCCCAAATATCCAGTTGCAGCATTTACAAACTGACTGTTTCCAAACTCATCTATGAAAAGAAAGGTTAAACTCTGTGAGTTGAATGCGCATATCACAAAGTAGTTCCTGAGAATGATTCTGTCTAGTTTTTATACGAAGATATTTCCTTTTCCACCAATGGCCTCAAAGTGCTTGAAATCTCCCCTTGCAAATTCCACAGACAAGTGTCTCAAATCTGCACTGTCTAAAGGAAGGTTCAACCCTGTGTGTTGAATACACACACACAGAAAAAAATTCACTGAGAATTCTATTGTCTATCATTACACGAAGAAATCCCGTTTACTACGAAGGCCTCAAAGAGGTCCAAATATCCAGCTGCAGACATTACAAACTGAGTGTTTCCAAAGTGCTCTATGAAAAGAAGTGTTAAACACTGTGAGTTCAATGCACACATCCCAAAGCAGTTTCTGAGAATGATTCCGTCTATTTTTTCTACGAAGATATTTCCTTTTCTACCGTTGGCCTCAAAGCGCTTGAAATCTCCACTTGCAAATTCCACAAAAAGAGAGTTTCAAATCTGCTCTGTCTAAAGGAAGGTTCAACTCTGTGAGTTGAATACACACCACAAAAAGAAGTTACTGAGAATTCTTCTGTCTAGCATTATATGAAAAATCCCGTTTCCAACGAAGGCCACAAAGAGGTCCAAATATCCACTTGCAGATTCTGCAAAAAGAGTGTTTCCAAACTGCTCTATGAAAAGAAACGTTAAACTCTGTGAGTTGAACGCAAACATCACAAAGTAGTTTCTGAGAATGACTCCGTCTAGTTTTTATACGAAGATATTTCCTTTTCTACCATTCACTTCAAAGCGCTTGAAGTCTCCCCCTGAAAATTCCACAAAAAGTGTTTCCAATCTGCTCCGCCTAAAGGAAGCTTCAACTCTGTGAGTTGAATACCCACAACCCAAAGAAGTTACTGAGAATTCTTCTGTCTAGCACTATATGAAGAAATCCCGTTTCCAACGAAGGCCTCAAATACATCCAAATATCCAGTTGCTGACTTTACAAACTGAGTGTTTCCAAACTGCTCTATGAAAAGAAAGGTTAAACACTGTGAGTTGAACACACACGTACCAAAGTAGTTTCTGAGAATGATTCTGTCTAGTTTGCATACGAAGATATTTCCTTTTCTACCATTGGCCTCAAAGCTCTGAAATCTCCACTTGCAAATTCCACAAAAAGAGAGTTTCAAATCTGCTGTTTCTAAAGGAAAGTTCAACTCTGAGAGTTGAATACACACCAGAAAAAGCAGTTACTGAGAAGTCTTCTGTCTAGCATTATATGAAGAAATCCCATTTCCAACGAAGACTTCAAAGAGGTCCAAATATCCACTTGCAGATTCTGCAAAAAGAGTGTTTCGAAACAACTGTATGAAAAGAAAGGTTAAACACTGTGAGTTGAACGCACACATTGCAAAGCGGTTTCTGAGAATGATTCCGTCTAATTATTATACGAAGGTATTTCCTTTTCTATCATTGGCCTCAAAGCGCTTGATACCTCCACCTGAAAATTCCACAAAAAGAGTGTTTCCAATCTACTCTGTCTAAAGGAACGTTCAACTCTGTGAGTTGAATACACACACACAGAAAGAATTCACTGAGAATTCTTCTGTCTGGCATTACATGAAGAAATCCCGTTTCCAACGAAGGCCTCAAAGAGGTCCAAATATCCACTTGCAGATTCTGCAAAAAGAGTGTTTCAAAACCGCTCCATTAAAAGGAATGTTGAACTCTGTGAGTTGAATGCAAACATCACAACTCAGTTTCTGAGAATGCTTCTGACTAGATTTTATGGTAAGATATTTCCTTTTCTACCGTAGGCTTCAATGCCCTCTAAATACACCCTTGCAAATTCTACAAAGAGACTGTTTCATAACTGCTCTATAGGAAGAAAGGTTCAACTCTGTGAGTTGAATGCAGAGATCACAACGTGGTTTCTGCGAATGATTCTTTGTAGTTTTTACATGAAGATATTTCGTTGTCAACCGTAGGCTTCAAAGCACTCAAAGTATTCACTTGGAACTTTTACAAAAAGAGTGTTAGAAAACTGCTCTTTCCAAAGTAAGGTTCAACTCTGTGAGTTGAATGCACACATAACAATCAAGAAGTTTCTGAGAATTCTTCTGTCCTGGTTTATATGAAAAAATCCCGTTTCCAACGAAGGCCTCAAAGACGTTTAAATATCCACTTGCAGACTTCACAAACAGAGGGTTTCCAAACTGCTCTATGAAAAGAAAGGTTAAACTCTGTGAGTTGAACGCACACATCACAAAGTAGCTTCTGAGAATGATACTGTCTAGTTTTTATACGAAGATATTTCCTTTCTACCATTGGCGTCAAAGCGCTAGAATTCTCCACTTGCAAATTCCACAAAAAGAGTGTTTCCAATCTGCTCTGTCTAAAGGAAGGTTCAACTCTGTGAGTTGAATACACACACACAAAGAAGCTACTGAGAATTCTTTTTTCAAGAAATTATAAGAAGAAATCCCGTTTCCAACGAAGGCCTCAAAGAGTTCCAAATATCCACTTGCACACTGCACAAACTAAGTCTTTCCAAACTGCTCTATGCAAAGAAATGTTCAACTCTGTGAGTTTAATACACACATCACAAAGCAGTTTCTGAGAATGATTACTGTCTAGTTTTTATACGAAGAATATTTCCTTTTGTACCATTGGCCTCATACTGCTAGAATTTTCCACTTGCAAATTCCACAAAAAGAGTGTTTCCAATCCGCTCTGTCTAAAGGAAGGTTCAACTCTCTGATTTGAATACATACATCCCAAAAGAAGTTACTGAGAATTCTTCTGTCTAGCATTATGTGAAGAAATCCCGTTTCCAACGAAAGCCTCAAAGAGGTCCAAATATCCAGTTGCAGAATTTACAAACTGACTGTTTCCAAACTCATCTATGAAAAGAAAGGTTAAACTCTGTGAGTTGAATGCACATATCACAAAGTAGTTCCTGAGAATGATTCTGTCTAGTTTTTATACGAAGATATTTCCTTTTCCACCAATGGCCTCAAAGTGCTTGAAATCTCCCCTTGCAAATTCCACAGACAAGTGTTTCAAATCTGCACTGTCTAAAGGAAGGTTCAACACTGTGAGTTGAATACACACACACAGAAAAAAATTCACTGAGAATTCTATTGTCTATCATTACACGAAGAAATCCCGTTTACTACGAAGGCCTCAAAGAGGTCCAAATATCCAGCTGCAGACATTACAAACTGAGTGTTTCCAAAGTGCTCTATGAAAAGAAGTGTTAAACACTGTGAGTTCAATGCACACATCCCAAAGCAGTTTCTGAGAATGATTCCGTCTATTTTTTCTACGAAGATATTTCCTTTTCTGCCGTTGGCCTCAAAGCGCTTGAAATCTCCACTTGCAAATTCCACAAAAAGAGAGTTTCAAATCTGCTCTGTCTAAAGGAAGGTTCAACTCTGTGAGTTGAATACACACCACAAAAAGAAGTTACTGAGAATTCTTCTGTCTAGCATTATATGAAAAATCCCGTTTCCAACGAAGGCCACAAAGAGGTCCAAATATCCACTTGCAGATTCTGCAAAAAGAGTGTTTCCAAACTGCTCTATGAAAAGAAACGTTAAACTCTGTGAGTTGAACGCAAACATCACAAAGTAGTTTCTGAGAATGACTCCGTCTAGTTTTTATACGACGATATTTCCTTTCCTACCATTCACTTCAAAGCGCTTGAAGTCTCCCCCTGAAAATTCCACAAAAAGTGTTTCCAATCTGCTCCGCCTAAAGGAAGCTTCAACTCTGTGACTTGAATACCCACAACCCAAAGAAGTTACTGAGAATTCTTCTGTCTAGCATTATATGAAGAAATCCCGTTTCCAACGAAGGCCTCAAATACATCCAAATATCCAGTTGCTGACTTTACAAACTGAGTGTTTCCAAACTGCTCTATGAAAAGAAAGGTTAAACACTGTGAGTTGAACACACACGTACCAAAGTAGTTTCTGAGAATGATTCTGTCTAGTTTGCATACGAAGATATTTCCTTTTCTACCATTGGCCTCAAAGCTCTGAAATCTCCACTTGCAAATTCCACAAAAAGAGAGTTTCAAATCTGCTGTTTCTAAAGGAAAGTTCAACTCTGAGAGTTGAATACACACCAGAAAAAGCAGTTACTGAGAAGTCTTCTGTCTAGCATTATATGAAGAAATCCCATTTCCAACGAAGACTTCAAAGAGGTCCAAATATCCACTTGCAGATTCTGCAAAAAGAGTGTTTCGAAACAACTGTATGAAAAGAAAGGTTAAACACTGTGAGTTGAACGCACACATTGCAAAGCGGTTTCTGAGAATGATTCCGTCTAATTATTATACGAAGGTATTTCCTTTTCTATCATTGGCCTCAAAGCGCTTGATACCTCCACCTGAAAATTCCACAAAAAGAGTGTTTCCAATCTACTCTGTCTAAAGGAACGTTCAACTCTGTGAGTTGAATACACACACACAGAAAGAATTCACTGAGAATTCTTCTGTCTGGCATTACATGAAGAAATCCCGTTTCCAACGAAGGCCTCAAAGAGGTCCAAATATCCACTTGCAGATTCTGCAAAAAGAGTGTTTCAAAACCGCTCCATTAAAAGGAATGTTGAACTCTGTGAGTTGAATGCAAACATCACAACTCAGTTGCTGAGAATGCTTCTGACTAGATTTTATGGTAAGATATTTCCTTTTCTACCGTAGGCTTCAATGCCCTCTAAATACACCCTTGCAAATTCTACAAAGAGACTGTTTCATAACTGCTCTATAGGAAGAAAGGTTGAACTCTGTGAGTTGAATGCAGAGATCACAACGTGGTTTCTGCGAATGATTCTTTGTAGTTTTTACATGAAGATATTTCGTTGTCAACCGTAGGCTTCAAAGCACTCAAAGTATTCACTTGGAACTTTTACAAAACGAGTGTTAGGAAACTGCTCTTTCCAAAGTAAGGTTCAACTCTGTGAGTTGAATGCACACATAACAATCAAGAAGTTTCTGAGAATTCTTCTGTCCTGGTTTATATGAAAAAATCCCGTTTCCAACGAAGGCCTCAAAGACGTTTAAATATCCACTTGCAGACTTCACAAACAGAGGGTTTCCAAACTGCTCTATGAAAAGAAAGGTTAAACTCTGTGAGTTGAACGCACACATCACAAAGTAGCTTCTGAGAATGATACTGTCTAGTTTTTATACGAAGATATTTCCTTTCTACCATTGGCGTCAAAGCGCTAGAATTCTCCACTTGCAAATTCCACAAAAAGAGTGTTTCCAATCTGCTCTGTCTAAAGGAAGGTTCAACTCTGTGAGTTGAATACACACACACACAAAGAAGCTACTGAGAATTCTTTTGTCAAGAATTATAAGAAGAAATCCCGTTTCCAACGAAGGCCTCAAAGAGTTCCAAATATCCACTTGCACACTGCACAAACTAAGTCTTTCCAAACTGCTCTATGCAAAGAAATGTTCAACTCTGTGAGTTTAATACACACATCACAAAGCAGTTTCTGAGAATGATACTGTCTAGTTTTTATACGAAGATATTTCCTTTTGTACCATTGGCCTCATACTGCTAGAATTTTCCACTTGCAAATTCCACAAAAAGAGTGTTTCCAATCCGCTCTGTCTAAAGGAAGGTTCAACTCTCTGATTTGAATACATACATCCCAAAAGAAGTTCCTGAGAATTCTTCTGTCTAGCATTATGTGAAGAAATCCCGTTTCCAACGAAAGCCTCAAAGAGGTCCAAATATCCAGTTGCAGAATTTACAAACTGACTGTTTCCAAACTCATCTATGAAAAGAAAGGTTAAACTCTGTGAGTTGAATGCACATATCACAAAGTAGTTCCTGAGAATGATTCTGTCTAGTTTTTATACGAAGATATTTCCTTTTCCACCAATGGCCTCAAAGTGCTTGAAATCTCCCCTTGCAAATTCCACAGACAAGTGTCTCAAATCTGCACTGTCTAAAGGAAGGTTCAACCCTGTGAGTTGAATACACACACACAGAAAAAAATTCACTGAGAATTCTATTGTCTATCATTACACGAAGAAATCCCGTTTACTACGAAGGCCTCAAAGAGGTCCAAATATCCAGCTGCAGACATTTCAAACTGAGTGTTTCCAAAGTGCTCTATGAAAAGAAGTGTTAAACACTGTGAGTTCAATGCACACATCCCAAAGCAGTTTCTGAGAATGATTCCGTCTATTTTTTCTACGAAGATATTTCCTTTTCTGCCGTTGGCCTCAAAGCGCTTGAAATCTCCACTTGCAAATTCCACAAAAAGAGAGTTTCAAATCTGCTCTGTCTAAAGGAAGGTTCAACTCTGTGAGTTGAATACACACCACAAAAAGAAGTTACTGAGAATTCTTCTGTCTAGCATTATATGAAAAATCCCGTTTCCAACGAAGGCCACAAAGAGGTCCAAATATCCACTTGCAGATTCTGCAAAAAGAGTGTTTCCAAACTGCTCTATGAAAAGAAACGTTAAACTCTGTGAGTTGAACGCAAACATCACAAAGTAGTTTCTGAGAATGACTCCGTCTAGATTTTATACGAAGATATTTCCTTTCCTACCATTCACTTCAAAGCGCTTGAAGTCTCCCCCTGAAAATTCCACAAAAAGTGTTTCCAATCTGCTCCGCCTAAAGGAAGCTTCAACTCTGTGACTTGAATACCCACAACCCAAAGAAGTTACTGAGAATTCTTCTGTCTAGCATTATATGAAGAAATCCCGTTTCCAACGAAGGCCTCAAATACATCCAAATATCCAGTTGCTGACTTTACAAACTGAGTGTTTCCAAACTGCTCTATGAAAAGAAAGGTTAAACACTGTGAGTTGAACACACACGTACCAAAGTAGTTTCTGAGAATGATTCTGTCTAGTTTGCATACGAAGATATTTCCTTTTCTACCATTGGCCTCAAAGCTCTGAAATCTCCACTTGCAAATTCCACAAAAAGAGAGTTTCAAATCTGCTGTTTCTAAAGGAAAGTTCAACTCTGAGAGTTGAATACACACCAGAAAAAGCAGTTACTGAGAAGTCTTCTGTCTAGCATTATATGAAGAAATCCCATTTCCAACGAAGACTTCAAAGAGGTCCAAATATCCACTTGCAGATTCTGCAAAAAGAGTGTTTCGAAACAACTGTATGAAAAGAAAGGTTAAACACTGTGAGTTGAACGCACACATTGCAAAGCGGTTTCTGAGAATGATTCCGTCTAATTATTATACGAAGGTATTTCCTTTTCTATCATTGGCCTCAAAGCGCTTGATACCTCCACCTGAAAATTCCACAAAAAGAGTGTTTCCAATCTACTCTGTCTAAAGGAACGTTCAACTCTGTGAGTTGAATACACACACACAGAAAGAATTCACTGAGAATTCTTCTGTCTGGCATTACATGAAGAAATCCCGTTTCCAACGAAGGCCTCAAAGAGGTCCAAATATCCACTTGCAGATTCTGCAAAAAGAGTGTTTCAAAACCGCTCTATTAAAAGGAATGTTGAACTCTGTGAGTTGAATGCAAACATCACAACTCAGTTTCTGAGAATGCTTCTGACTAGATTTTATGGTAAGATATTTCCTTTTCTACCGTAGGCTTCAATGCCCTCTAAATACACCCTTGCAAATTCTACAAAGAGACTGTTTAATAACTGCTCTATAGGAAGAAAGGTTGAACTCTGTGAGTTGAATGCAGAGATCACAACGTGGTTTCGGCGAATGATTCTTTGTAGTTTTTACATGAAGATATTTCGTTGTCTACCGTAGGCTTCAAAGCACTCAAAGTATTCACTTGGAACTTTTACAAAAAGAGTGTTAGAAAACTGCTCTTTCCAAAGTAAGGTTCAACTCTGTGAGTTGAATGCACACATAACAAACAAGAAGTTTCTGAGAATTCTTCTGTCCTGGTTTATATGAAGAAATCCCGTTTCCAACGAAGGCCTCAAAGACGTTTAAATATCCACTTGCAGACTTCACAAACAGAGTGTTTCCAAACTGCTCTATGAAAAGAAAGGGTAAACACTGTGAGTTGAACGCACACCTCACAAAGTAGGTTCTGAGAATGATACTGTCTAGTTTTTATACGAAGATATTTCCTTTTGTACCATTGGCCTCATACTGCTAGAATTTTCCACTTGCAAATTCCACAAAAAGAGTGTTTCCAATCTGCTCTGTCTAAAGGAAGGTTCAACTCTGTGAGTTGAGTACACACACACAAAGAAGCTACTGAGAATTCTTTTGTCAAGAATTATAAGAAGAAATCCCGTTTCCAACCAAGGCCTCAAAGAGTTCCAAATATCCACTTGCACACTGCACAAACTAAGTCTTTCCATACTGCTCTATGCAAAGAAATGTTCAACTCTGTGAGTTTAATACACACATCACAAAGCAGTTTCTGAGAATGATACTGTCTAGTTTTTATACGAAGATATTTCCTTTTGTACCATTGGCCTCATACTGCTAGAATTTTCCACTTGCAAATTCCACAAAAAGAGTGTTTCCAATCCGCTCTGTCTAAAGGAAGGTTCAACTCTCTGATTTGAATACATACATCCCAAAAGAAGTTACTGAGAATTCTTCTGTCTAGCATTATGTGAAGAAATCCCGTTTCCAACGAAAGCCTCAAAGAGGCCCAAATATCCAGTTGCAGCATTTACAAACTGACTGTTTCCAAACTCATCTATGAAAAGAAAGGTTAAACTCTGTGAGTTGAATGCGCATATCACAAAGTAGTTCCTGAGAATGATTCTGTCTAGTTTTTATACGAAGATATTTCCTTTTCCACCAATGGCCTCAAAGTGCTTGAAATCTCCCCTTGCAAATTCCACAGACAAGTGTCTCAAATCTGCACTGTCTAAAGGAAGGTTCAACCCTGTGAGTTGAATACACACACACAGAAAAAAATTCACTGAGAATTCTATTGTCTATCATTACACGAAGAAATCCCGTTTACTACGAAGGCCTCAAAGAGGTCCAAATATCCAGCTGCAGACATTACAAACTGAGTGTTTCCAAAGTGCTCTATGAAAAGAAGTGTTAAACACTGTGAGTTCAATGCACACATCCCAAAGCAGTTTCTGAGAATGATTCCGTCTATTTTTTCTACGAAGATATTTCCTTTTCTACCGTTGGCCTCAAAGCGCTTGAAATCTCCACTTGCAAATTCCACAAAAAGAGAGTTTCAAATCTGCTCTGTCTAAAGGAAGGTTCAACTCTGTGAGTTGAATACACACCACAAAAGAAGTTACTGAGAATTCTTCTGTCTAGCATTATATGAAAAATCCCGTTTCCAACGAAGGCCACAAAGAGGTCCAAATATCCACTTGCAGATTCTGCAAAAAGAGTGTTTCCAAACTGCTCTATGAAAAGAAACGTTAAATTCTGTGAGTTGAACGCAAACATCACAAAGTAGTTTCTGAGAATGACTCCGTCTAGTTTTTATACGAAGATATTTCCTTTTCTACCATTCACTTCAAAGCGCTTGAAGTCTCCCCCTGAAAATTCCACAAAAAGTGTTTCCAATCTGCTCCGCCTAAAGGAAGCTTCAACTCTGTGAGTTGAATACCCACAACCCAAAGAAGTTACTGAGAATTCTTCTGTCTAGCATTATATGAAGAAATCCCGTTTCCAACGAAGGCCTCAAATACATCCAAATATCCAGTTGCTGACTTTACAAACTGAGTGTTTCCAAACTGCTCTATGAAAAGAAAGGTTAAACACTGTGAGTTGAACACACACGTACCAAAGTAGTTTCTGAGAATGATTCTGTCTAGTTTGCATACGAAGATATTTCCTTTTCTACCATTGGCCTCAAAGTTTTGAAATCTCCACTTGCAAATTCCACAAAAAGAGAGTTTCAACTCTGCTGTTTCTAAAGGAAAGTTCAACTCTGAGAGTTGAATACACACCAGAAAAAGCAGTTACTGAGAAGTCTTCTGTCTAGCATTATATGAAGAAATCCCATTTCCAACGAAGACTTCAAAGAGGTCCAAATATCCACTTGCAGATTCTGCAAAAAGAGTGTTTCGAAACAACTGTATGAAAAGAAAGGTTAAACACTGTGAGTTGAACGCACACATTGCAAAGCAGTTTCTGAGAATGATTCCGTCTAATTATTATACGAAGGTATTTCTTTTTCTATCATTGGCCTCAAAGCGCTTGATACCTCCATCTGAAAATTCCACAAAAAGAGTGTTTCCAATCTACTCTGTCTAAAGGAACGTTCAACTCTGTGAGTTGAATACACACACACAGAAAGAATTCACTGAGAATTCTTCTGTCTGGCATTACATGAAGAAATCCCGTTTCCAACGAAGGCCTCAAAGAGGTCCAAATATCCACTTGCAGATTCTGCAAAAAGAGTGTTTCAAAACCGCTCCATTAAAAGGAATGTTGAACTCTGTGAGTTGAATGCAAACATCACAACTCAGTTGCTGAGAATGCTTCTGACTAGATTTTATGGTAAGATATTTCCTTTTCTACCGTAGGCTTCAATGCCCTCTAAATACACCCTTGCGAATTCTACAAAGAGACTGTTTCATAACTGCTCTATAGGAAGAAAGGTTCAACTCTGTGAGTTGAATGCAGAGATCACAACGTGGTTTCTGCGAATGATTCTTTGTAGTTTTTACATGAAGATATTTCGTTGTCAACCGTAGGCTTCAAAGCACTCAAAGTATTCACTTGGAACTTTTACAAAAAGAGTGTTAGAAAACTGCTCTTTCCAAAGTAAGGTTCAACTCTGTGAGTTGAATGCACACATAACAATCAAGAAGTTTCTGAGAATTCTTCTGTCCTGGTTTATATGAAAAAATCCCGTTTCCAACAAAGGCCTCAAAGACGTTTAAATATCCACTTGCAGACTTCACAAACAGAGTGTTTCCAAACTGCTCTATGAAAAGAAAGGTTAAACTCTGTGAATTGAACGCACACATCACAAAGTAGTTTCTGAGAATGATACTGTCTAGTTTTTATACGAAGATATTTCCTTTCTACCATTGGCGTCAAAGCGCTAGAATTCTCCACTTGCAAATTCCACAAAAAGAGTGTTTCCAATCTGCTCTGTCTAAAGGAAGGTTCAACTCTGTGAGTTGAATACACACACACAAAGAAGCTACTGAGAATTCTTTTGTCAAGAATTATAAGAAGAAATCCCGTTTCCAACGAAGGCCTCAAAGAGTTCCAAATATCCACTTGCACACTGCACAAACTAAGTCTTTCCATACTGCTCTATGCAAAGAAATGTTCAAATCTGTGAGTTTAATATGCACATCACAAAGCAGTTTCTGAGAATGATACTGTCTAGTTTTTATACGAAGATATTTCCTTTTGTACCATTGGCCTCATACTGCTAGAATTTTCCACTTGCAAATTCCACAAAAAGAGTGTTTCCAATCCGCTCTGTCTAAAGGAAGGTTCAACTCTCTGATTTGAATACATACATCCCAAAAGAAGTTCCTGAGAATTCTTCTGTCTAGCATTATGTGAAGAAATCCCGTTTCCAACGAAAGCCTCAAAGAGGTCCAAATATCCAGTTGCAGAATTTACAAACTGACTGTTTCCAAACTCATCTATGAAAAGAAAGGTTAAACTCTGGGAGTTGAATGCACATATCACAAAGTAGTTCCTGAGAATGATTCTGTCTAGTTTTCATACGAAGATATTTCCTTTTCCACCAATGGCCTCAAAGTGCTTGAAATCTCCCCTTGCAAATTCCACAGACAAGTGTCTCAAATCTGCACTGTCTAAAGGAAGGTTCAACCCTGTGAGTTGAATACACACACACAGAAAAAAATTCACTGAGAATTCTATTGTCTATCATTACACGAAGAAATCCCGTTTACTACGAAGGCCTCAAAGAGGTCCAAATATCCAGCTGCAGACATTACAAACTGAGTGTTTCCAAAGTGCTCTATGAAAAGAAGTGTTAAACACTGTGAGTTCAATGCACACATCCCAAAGCAGTTTCTGAGAATGATTCCGTCTATTTTTTCTACGAAGATATTTCCTTTTCTGCCGTTGGCCTCAAAGCGCTTGAAATCTCCACTTGCAAATTCCACAAAAAGAGAGTTTCAAATCTGCTCTGTCTAAAGGAAGGTTCAACTCTGTGAGTTGAATACACACCACAAAAAGAAGTTACTGAGAATTCTTCTGTCTAGCATTATATGAAAAATCCCGTTTCCAACGAAGGCCACAAAGAGGTCCAAATATCCACTTGCAGATTCTGCAAAAAGAGTGTTTCCAAACTGCTCTATGAAAAGAAACGTTAAACTCTGTGAGTTGAACGCAAACATCACAAAGTAGTTTCTGAGAATGACTCCGTCTAGTTTTTATACGAAGATATTTCCTTTCCTACCATTCACTTCAAAGCGCTTGAAGTCTCCCCCTGAAAATTCCACAAAAAGTGTTTCCAATCTGCTCCGCCTAAAGGAAGCTTCAACTCTGTGACTTGAATACCCACAACCCAAAGAAGTTACTGAGAATTCTTCTGTCTAGCATTATATGAAGAAATCCCGTTTCCAACGAAGGCCTCAAATACATCCAAATATCCAGTTGCTGACTTTACAAACTGAGTGTTTCCAAACTGCTCTATGAAAAGAAAGGTTAAACACTGTGAGTTGAACACACACGTACCAAAGTAGTTTCTGAGAATGATTCTGTCTAGTTTGCATACGAAGATATTTCCTTTTCTACCATTGGCCTCAAAGCTTTGAAATCTCCACTTGCAAATTCCACAAAAAGAGAGTTTCAAATCTGCTGTTTCTAAAGGAAAGTTCAACTCTGAGAGTTGAATACACACCAGAAAAAGCAGTTACTGAGAAGTCTTCTGTCTAGCATTATATGAAGAAATCCCATTTCCAACGAAGACTTCAAACAGGTCCAAATATCCACTTGCAGATTCTGCAAAAAGAGTGTTTCGAAACAACTGTATGAAAAGAAAGGTTAAACGCTGTGAGTTGAAGGCACACATTGCAAAGCAGTTTCTCAGAATGATTCCGTCTAATTATTATACGAAGGTATTTCCTTTTCTATCATGGGCCTCAAAGCGCTTGATACCTCCACCTGAAAATTCCACAAAAAGAGTGTTTCCAATCTACTCTGTCTAAAGGAACGTTCAACTCTGTGAGTTGAATACACACACACAGAAAGAATTCACTGAGAGTTCTTCTGTCTGGCATTACATGAAGAAATCCCGTTTCCAACGAAGGCCTCAAAGAGGTCCAAATATCCACTTGCAGATTCTGCAAAAAGAGTGTTTCAAAACCGCTCCATTAAAAGGAATGTTGAACTCTGTGAGTTGAATGCAAACATCACAACTCAGTTGCTGAGAATGCTTCTGACTAGATTTTATGGTAAGATATTTCCTTTTCTACCGTAGGCTTCAATGCCCTCTAAATACACCCTTGCAAATTCTACAAAGAGACTGTTTCATAACTGCTCTATAGGAAGAAAGGTTCAACTCTGTGAGTTGAATGCAGAGATCACAACGTGGTTTCTGCGAATGATTCTTTGTAGTTTTTACATGAAGATATTTCGTTGTCAACCGTAGGCTTCAAAGCACTCAAAGTATTCACTTGGAACTTTTACAAAAAGAGTGTTAGAAAACTGCTCTTTCCAAAGTAAGGTTCAACTCTGTGAGTTGAATGCACACATAACAATCAAGAAGTTTCTGAGAATTCTTCTGTCCTGGTTTATAGGAACAAATCCCGTTTCCAACGAAGGCCTCAAAGACGTTTAAATATCCACTTGCAGACTTCACAAACAGAGGGTTTCCAAACTGCTCTATGAAAAGAAAGGTTAAACTCTGTGAGTTGAACGCACACATCACAAAGTAGCTTCTGAGAATGATACTGTCTAGTTTTTATACGAAGATATTTCCTTTCTACCATTGGCGTCAAAGCGCTAGAATTCTCCACTTGCAAATTCCACAAAAAGAGTGTTTCCAATCTGCTCTGTCTAAAGGAAGGTTCAACTCTGTGAGTTGAATACACACACACAAAGAAGCTACTGAGAATTCTTTT
This sequence comes from Homo sapiens, assembly GCF_000001405.40. NCBI lineage: Eukaryota > Metazoa > Chordata > Mammalia > Primates > Hominidae > Homo > Homo sapiens. The sequence goes on along the minus strand of NC_000003.12, from coordinate 92,680,103 downwards.
GTCAAGAATTATAAGAAGAAATCCCATTTCCAACGAAGGCCTCAAAGAGTTCCAAATATCCACTTGCACACTGTACAAACTAAGTCTTTCCAAACTGCTCTATGCAAAGAAATGTTCAACTCTGTGAGTTTAATGCACACATCACAAAGCAGTTTCTGAGAATGATACTGTCTAGTTTTTATACGAAGATATTTCCTTTTGTACCATTGGCCTCATACTGCTAGAATTTTCCACTTGCAAATTCCACAAAAAGAGTGTTTCCAATCCGGTCTGTCTAAAGGAAGGTTCAACTCTCTGATTTGAATACATACATCCCAAAAGAAGTTACTGAGAATTCTTCTGTCTAGCATTATGTGAAGAAATCCCGTTTCCAACGAAAGCCTCAAAGAGGTCCAAATATCCAGTTGCAGAATTTACAAACTGACTGTTTCCAAACTCATCTATGAAAAGAAAGGTTAAACTCTGGGAGTTGAATGCACATATCACAAAGTAGTTCCTGAGAATGATTCTGTCTAGTTTTCATACGAAGATATTTCCTTTTCCACCAATGGCCTCAAAGTGCTTGAAATCTCCCCTTGCAAATTCCACAGACAAGTGTTTCAAATCTGCACTGTCTAAAGGAAGGTTCAACCCTGTGAGTTGAATACACACACACAGAAAAAAATTCACTGAGAATTCTATTGTCTATCATTACACGAAGAAATCCCGTTTACCACGAAGGCCTCAAAGAGGTCCAAATATCCAGCTGCAGACATTACAAACTGAGTGTTTCCAAAGTGCTCTATGAAAAGAAGTGTTAAACACTGTGAGTTCAATGCACACATCCCAAAGCAGTTTCTGAGAATGATTCCGTCTATTTTTTCTACGAAGATATTTCCTTTTCTGCCGTTGGCCTCAAAGCGCTTGAAATCTCCACTTGCAAATTCCACAAAAAGAGAGTTTCAAATCTGCTCTGTCTAAAGGAAGGTTCAACTCTGTGAGTTGAATACACACCACAAAAAGAAGTTACTGAGAATTCTTCTGTCTAGCATTATATGAAAAATCCCGTTTCCAACGAAGGCCACAAAGAGGTCCAAATATCCACTTGCAGATTCTGCAAAAAGAGTGTTTCCAAACTGCTCTATGAAAAGAAACGTTAAACCTCTGTGAGTTGAACGCAAACATCACAAAGTAGTTTCTGAGAATGACTCCGTCTAGTTTTTATACGAAGATATTTCCTTTTCTACCATTCACTTCAAAGCGCTTGAAGTCTCCCCCTGAAAATTCCACAAAAAGTGTTTCCAATCTGCTCCGCCTAAAGGAAGCTTCAACTCTGTGAGTTGAATACCCACAACCCTAAGAAGTTACTGAGAATTCTTCTGTCTAGCACTATATGAAGAAATCCCGTTTCCAACGAAGGCCTCAAATACATCCAAATATCCAGTTGCTGACTTTACAAACTGAGTGTTTCCAAACTGCTCTATGAAAAGAAAGGTTAAACACTGTGACTTGAACACACACGTACCAAAGTAGTTTCTGAGAATGATTCTGTCTAGTTTGCATACGAAGATATTTCCTTTTCTACCATTGGCCTCAAAGCTTTGAAATCTCCACTTGCAAATTCCACAAAAAGAGAGTTTCAACTCTGCTGTTTCTAAAGGAAAGTTCAACTCTGAGAGTTGAATACACACCAGAAAAAGCAGTTACTGAGAAGTCTTCTGTCTAGCATTATATGAAGAAATCCCATTTCCAACGAAGACTTCAAAGAGGTCCAAATATCCACTTGCAGATTCTGCAAAAAGAGTGTTTCGAAACAACTGTATGAAAAGAAAGGTTAAACACTGTGAGTTGAACGCACACATTGCAAAGCAGTTTCTGAGAATGATTCCGTCTAATTATTATACGAAGGTATTTCCTTTTCTATCATTGGCCTCAAAGCGCTTGATACCTCCACCTGAAAATTCCACAAAAAGAGTGTTTCCAATCTACTCTGTCTAAAGGAACGTTCAACTCTGTGAGTTGAATACACACACACAGAAAGAATTCACTGAGAATTCTTCTGTCTGGCATTACATGAAGAAATCCCGTTTCCAACGAAGGCCTCAAAGAGGTCCAAATATCCACTTGCAGATTCTGCAAAAAGAGTGTTTCAAAACCGCTCCATTAAAAGGAATGTTGAACTCTGTGAGTTGAATGCAAACATCACAACTCAGTTGCTGAGAATGCTTCTGACTAGATTTTATGGTAAGATATTTCCTTTTCTACCGTAGGCTTCAATGCCCTCTAAATACACCCTTGCAAATTCTACAAAGAGACTGTTTCATAACTGCTCTATAGGAAGAAAGGTTGAACTCTGTGAGTTGAATGCAGAGATCACAACGTGGTTTCTGCGAATGATTCTTTGTAGTTTTTACATGAAGATATTTCGTTGTCAACCGTAGGCTTCAAAGCACTCAAAGTATTCACTTGGAACTTTTACAAAAAGAGTGTTAGAAAACTGCTCTTTCCAAAGTAAGGTTCAACTCTGTGAGTTGAATGCACACATAACAATCAAGAAGTTTCTGAGAATTCTTCTGTCCTGGTTTATATGAAAAAATCCCATTTCCAACGAAGGCCTCAAAGACGTTTAAATATCCACTTGCAGACTTCACAAACAGAGGGTTTCCAAACTGCTCTATGAAAAGAAAGGTTAAACTCTGTGAGTTGAACGCACACATCACAAAGTAGCTTCTGAGAATGATACTGTCTAGTTTTTATACGAAGATATTTCCTTTCTACCATTGGCGTCAAAGCGCTAGAATTCTCCACTTGCAAATTCCACAAAAAGAGTGTTTCCAATCTGCTCTGTCTAAAGGAAGGTTCAACTCTGTGAGTTGAATACACACACACAAAGAAGCTACTGAGAATTCTTTTGTCAAGAATTATAAGAAGAAATCCCGTTTCCAACGAAGGCCTCAAAGAGTTCCAAATATCCACTTGCACACTGCACAAACTAAGTCTTTCCAAACTGCTCTATGCAAAGAAATGTTCAACTCTGTGAGTTTAATACGCACATCACAAAGCAGTTTCTGAGAATGATTACTGTCTAGTTTTTATACGAAGAATATTTCCTTTTGTACCATTGGCCTCATACTGCTAGAATTTTCCACTTGCAAATTCCACAAAAAGAGTGTTTCCAATCCGCTCTGTCTAAAGGAAGGTTCAACTCTCTGATTTGAATACATACATCCCAAAAGAAGTTACTGAGAATTCTTCTGTCTAGCATTATGTGAAGAAATCCCGTTTCCAACGAAAGCCTCAAAGAGGTCCAAATATCCAGTTGCAGAATTTACAAACTGACTGTTTCCAAACTCATCTATGAAAAGAAAGGTTAAACTCTGGGAGTTGAATGCACATATCACAAAGTAGTTCCTGAGAATGATTCTGTCTAGTTTTCATACGAAGATATTTCCTTTTCCACCAATGGCCTCAAAGTGCTTGAAATGTCCCGTTGCAAATTCCACAGACAAGTGTTTCAAATCTGCACTGTCTAAAGGAAGGTTCAACCCTGTGAGTTGAATACACACACACAGAAAAAAATTCACTGAGAATTCTATTGTCTATCATTACACGAAGAAATCCCGTTTACTACGAAGGCCTCAAAGAGGTCCAAATATCCAGCTGCAGACATTACAAACTGAGTGTTTCCAAAGTGCTCTATGAAAAGAAGTGTTAAACACTGTGAGTTCAATGCACACATCCCAAAGCAGTTTCTGAGAATGATTCCGTCTATTTTTTCTACGAAGATATTTCCTTTTCTGCCGTTGGCCTCAAAGCGCTTGAAATCTCCACTTGCAAATTCCACAAAAAGAGAGTTTCAAATCTGCTCTGTCTAAAGGAAGGTTCAACTCTGTGAGTTGAATACACACCACAAAAAGAAGTTACTGAGAATTCTTCTGTCTAGCATTATATGAAAAATCCCGTTTCCAACGAAGGCCACAAAGAGGTCCAAATATCCACTTGCAGATTCTGCAAAAAGAGTGTTTCCAAACTGCTCTATGAAAAGAAACGTTAAACTCTGTGAGTTGAACGCAAACATCACAAAGTAGTTTCTGAGAATGACTCCGTCTAGTTTTTATACGAAGATATTTCCTTTTCTACCGTTGGCCTCAAAGCGCTTGAAGTCTCCCCCTGAAAATTCCACAAAAAGTGTTTCCAATCTGCTCCGCCTAAAGGAAGCTTCAGCTCTGTGAGTTGAATACCCACAACCCAAAGAAGTTACTGAGAATTTTTCTGTCTAGCACTATATGAAGAAATCCCGTTTCCAACGAAGGCCTCAAATACATCCAAATATCCAGTTGCTGACTTTACAAACTGAGTGTTTCCAAACTGCTCTATGAAAAGAAAGGTTAAACACTGTGAGTTGAACACACACGTACCAAAGTAGTTTCTGAGAATGATTCTGTCTAGTTTGCATACGAAGATATTTCCTTTTCTACCATTGGCCTCAAAGCTCTGAAATCTCCACTTGCAAATTCCACAAAAAGAGAGTTTCAAATCTGCTGTTTCTAAAGGAAAGTTCAACTCTGAGAGTTGAATACACACCAGAAAAAGCAGTTACTGAGAAGTCTTCTGTCTAGCATTATATGAAGAAATCCCATTTCCAACGAAGACTTCAAAGAGGTCCAAATATCCACTTGCAGATTCTGCAAAAAGAGTGTTTCGAAACAACTGTATGAAAAGAAATGTTAAACACTGTGAGTTGAACGCACACATTGCAAACCAGTTTCTGAGAATGATTCCGTCTAATTATTATACGAAGGTATTTCCTTTTCTATCATTGGCCTCAAAGCGCTTGATACCTCCACCTGAAAATTCCACAAAAAGAGTGTTTCCAATCTACTCTGTCTAAAGGAACGTTCAACTCTGTGAGTTGAATACACACACACAGAAAGAATTCACTGAGAATTCTTCTGTCTGGCATTACATGAAGAAATCCCGTTTCCAACGAAGGCCTCAAAGAGGTCCAAATATCCACTTGCAGATTCTGCAAAAAGAGTGTTTCAAAACCGCTCTATTAAAAGGAATGTTGAACTCTGTGAGTTGAATGCAAACATCACAACTCAGTTTCTGAGAATGCTTCTGACTAGATTTTATGGTAAGATATTTCCTTTTCTACCGTAGGCTTCAATGCCCTCTAAATACACCCTTGCAAATTCTACAAAGAGACTGTTTAATAACTGCTCTATAGGAAGAAAGGTTGAACTCTGTGAGTTGAATGCAGAGATCACAACGTGGTTTCTGCGAATGATTCTTTGTAGTTTTTACATGAAGATATTTCGTTGTCTACCGTAGGCTTCAAAGCACTCAAAGTATTCACTTGGAACTTTTAAAATAAGAGTGTTAGAAAACTGCTCTTTCCAAAGTAAGGTTCAACTCTGTGAGTTGAATGCACACATAACAAACAAGAAGTTTCTGAGAATCCTTCTGTCCTGGTTTATATGAAAAAATCCCGTTTCCAACGAAGGCCTCAAAGTACGTTTAAATATCCACTTGCAGACTTCTCAAACAGAGTGTTTCCAAACTGCTCTATGAAAACAAAGGTTAAACTCTGTGAGTTGAACGCACACATCACAAAGTAGTTTCTGAGAATGATCTGTCCAGTTTTTATACGAAGATATTTCCTTTCCTACCATTGGCGTCAAAGCGCTAGAATTCTCCACTTGCAAATTCCACAAAAAGAGGGTTTCCAATCTGCTCTGCCTAAAGGAAGGTTCAACTCTGTGAGTTGAATACACACACACAAAGAAGCTACTGAGAATCTTTTTTGTCAAGAATTATAAGAAGAAATCCCGTTTCCAACGAAGGCCTCAAAGAGTTCCAAATATCCACTTGCACACTGTACAAACTAAGTCTTTCCAAACTGCTCTATGCAAAGAAATGTTCAACTCTGTGAGTTTAATGCACACATCACAAAGCAGTTTCTGAGAATGATTCCGTCTAGTTTTTATACGAAGTTAGCCTTTTCTACCATTGGCCTCAAGGCTCTTGAAATCTCCACCTGAAAATTCCGCAAAAAGCGTGTTTCCAATCCGCTCTGTCTAAAGGAAGGTTCAACTCTCTGAGTTGAATACATACATCCCAAAAGAAGTTACTGCGAATTCTTCTGTCTAGCATTATGTGAAGAAATCCCGTTTCCAACGAAAGCCTCCAAGAGGTCCAAATATCCAGTTGCAGAATTTACAAACTGACTGTTTCCAAACTCATCTATGAAAAGGAAGGTTAAACTCTGTGAGTTGAATGCACATATCACAAAGTAGTTCCTGAGAATGATTCTGTCTAGTTTTTATACGAAGATATTTCCTTTTCCACCAATGGCCTCAAAGTGCTTGAAATCTCCCCTTGCAAATTCCACAGAAAAGTGTTTCAAATCTGCACTGTCTAAAGGAAGGTTCAACCCTGTGAGTTGAATACACACACACAGAAAAAAATTCACTGAGAATTCTATTGTCTATCATTACACGAAGAAATCCCGTTTACTAAGAAGGCCTCAAAGAGGTCCAAATATCCAGCTGCAGACATTACAAACTGAGTGTTTCCAAAGTGCTCTATGAAAAGAAGTGTTAAACACTGTGAGTTCAATGCACACATCCCAAAGCAGTTTCTGAGAATGATTCCGTCTATTTTTTCTACGAAGATATTTCCTTTTCTACCGTTGGCCTCAAAGCGCTTGAAATCTCCACTTGCAAATTCCACAAAAAGAGAGTTTCAAATCTGCTCTGTCTAAAGGAATGTTCAACTCTGTGAGTTGAATACACACCACAAAAAGAAGTTACTGAGAATTCTTCTGTCTAGCATTATATGAAAAATCCCGTTTCCAACGAAGGCCACAAAGAGGTCCAAATATCCACTTGCAGATTCTGCAAAAAGAGTGTTTCCAAACTGCTCTATGAAAAGAAACATTAAACTCTGTGAGTTGAACGCAAACATCACAAAGTAGTTTCTGAGAATGACTCCGTCTAGTTTTTATACGAAGATATTTCCTTTTCTACCATTCACTTCAAAGCGCTTGAAGTCTCCCCCTGAAAATTCCAGAAAAAGTGTTTCCAATCTGCTCCGCCTAAAGGAAGCTTCAACTCTGTGAGTTGAATACCCACAACCCAAAGAAGTTACTGAGAATTCTTCTGTCTAGCATTATATGAAGAAATCCCGTTTCCAACGAAGGCCTCAAATACATCCAAATATCCAGTTGCTGACTTTACAAACTGAGTGTTTCCAAACTGCTCTATGAAAAGAAAGGTTAAACACTGTGAGTTGAACACACACGTACCAAAGTAGTTTCTGAGAATGATTCTGTCTAGTTTGCATACGAAGATATTTCCTTTTCTACCAGTGGCCTCAAAGCTCTGAAATCTCCACTTGCAAATTCCACAAAAAGAGAGTTTCAAATCTGCTGTTTCTAAAGGAAAGTTCAACTCTGAGAGTTGAATACACACCAGAAAAAGCAGTTACTGAGAAGTCTTCTGTCTAGCATTATATGAAGAAATCCCGTTTCCAACGAAGACTTCAAAGAGGTCCAAATATCCACTTGCAGATTCTGCAAAAAGAGTGTTTCGAAACAACTGTATGAAAAGAAAGGTTAAACACTGTGAGTTGAACGCACACATTGCAAAGCAGTTTCTGAGAATGATTCCGTCTAATTATTATACGAAGGTATTTCCTTTTCTATCATTGGCCTCAAAGCGCTTGATACCTCCACCTGAAAATTCCACAAAAAGAGTGTTTCCAATCTACTCTGTCTAAAGGAACGTTCAACTCTGTGAGTTGAATACACACACACAGAAAGAATTCACTGAGAATTCTTCTGTCTGGCATTACATGAAGAAATCCCGTTTCCAACGCAGGCCTCAAAGAGGTCCAAATATCCACTTGCAGATTCTGCAAAAAGAGTGTTTCAAAACCGCTCCATTAAAAGGAATGTTGAACTCTGTGAGTTGAATGCAAACATCACAACTCAGTTTCTGAGAATGCTTCTGACTAGATTTTATGGTAAGATATTTCCTTTTCTACCGTAGGCTTCAATGCCCTGTAAATACACCCTTGCAAATTCTACAAAGAGACTGCTTCATAACTGCTCTATAGGAGGAAAGGTTCAACTCTGTGAGTTGAATGCAGAGATCACAACGTGGTTTCTGCGAATGATTCTTTGTAGTTTTTACATGAAGATATTTCGTTGTCTACCGTAGGCTTCAAAGCACTCAAAGTATTCACTTGGAACTTTTACAAAAAGAGTGTTAGAAAACTGCTCTTTCCAAAGTAAGGTTCAACTCTGTGAGTTGAATGCACACATAACAAACAAGAAGTTTCTGAGAATTCTTCTGTCCTGGTTTATATGAAGAAATCCCGTTTCCAACGAAGGCCTCAAAGACGTTTAAATATCCACTTGCAGACTTCACAAACAGAGTGTTTCCAAACTGCTCTATGAAAAGAAAGGGTAAACACTGTGAGTTGAACGCACACCTCACAAAGTAGTTTCTGAGAATGATACTGTCTAGTTTTTATATGAAGATATTTCCTTTTGTACCATTGGCCTCATACTGCTAGAATTTTCCACTTGCAAATTCCACAAAAAGAGTGTTTCCAATCTGCTCTGTCTAAAGGAAGGTTCAACTCTGTGAGTTGAGTACACACACACAAAGAAGCTACTGAGAATTCTTTTGTCAAGAATTATAAGAAGAAATCCCGTTTCCAACCAAGGCCTCAAAGAGTTCCAAATATCCACTTGCACACTGCACAAACTAAGTCTTTCCATACTGCTCTATGCAAAGAAATGTTCAACTCTGTGAGTTTAATACACACATCACAAAGCAGTTTCTGAGAATGATACTGTCTAGTTTTTATACGAAGATATTTCCTTTTGTACCATTGGCCTCATACTGCTAGAATTTTCCACTTGCAAATTCCACAAAAAGAGTGTTTCCAATCCGCTCTGTCTAAAGGAAGGTTCAACTCTCTGATTTGAATACATACATCCCAAAAGAAGTTACTGAGAATTCTTCTGTCTAGCATTATGTGAAGAAATCCCGTTTCCAACGAAAGCCTCAAAGAGGCCCAAATATCCAGTTGCAGCATTTACAAACTGACTGTTTCCAAACTCATCTATGAAAAGAAAGGTTAAACTCTGTGAGTTGAATGCACATATCACAAAGTAGTTCCTGAGAATGATTCTGTCTAGTTTTTATACGAAGATATTTCCTTTTCCACCAATGGCCTCAAAGTGCTTGAAATCTCCCCTTGCAAATTCCACAGACAAGTGTCTCAAATCTGCACTGTCTAAAGGAAGGTTCAACCCTGTGAGTTGAATACACACACACAGAAAAAAATTCACTGAGAATTCTATTGTCTATCATTACACGAAGAAATCCCGTTTACTACGAAGGCCTCAAAGAGGTCCAAATATCCAGCTGCAGACATTACAAACTGAGTGTTTCCAAAGTGCTCTATGAAAAGAAGTGTTAAACACTGTGAGTTCAATGCACACATCCCAAAGCAGTTTCTGAGAATGATTCCGTCTATTTTTTCTACGAAGATATTTCCTTTTCTACCGTTGGCCTCAAAGCGCTTGAAATCTCCACTTGCAAATTCCACAAAAAGAGAGTTTCAAATCTGCTCTGTCTAAAGGAAGGTTCAACTCTGTGAGTTGAATACACACCACAAAAAGAAGTTACTGAGAATTCTTCTGTCTAGCATTATATGAAAAATCCCGTTTCCAACGAAGGCCACAAAGAGGTCCAAATATCCACTTGCAGATTCTGCAAAAAGAGTGTTTCCAAACTGCTCTATGAAAAGAAACGTTAAACTCTGTGAGTTGAACGCAAACATCACAAAGTAGTTTCTGAGAATGACTCCGTCTAGTTTTTATACGAAGATATTTCCTTTTCTACCGTTGGCCTCAAAGCGCTTGAAGTCTCCCCCTGAAAATTCCACAAAAAGTGTTTCCAATCTGCTCCGCCTAAAGGAAGCTTCAACTCTGTGAGTTGAATACCCACAACACAAAGAAGTTACTGAGAATTCTTCTGTCTCGCATTATATGAAGAAATCCCGTTTCCAACGAAGGCCTCAAATACATCCACATATCCAGTTGCTGACTTTACAAACTGAGTGTTTCCAAACTGCTCTATGAAAAGAAAGGTTAAACACTGTGAGTTGAACACACACGTACCAAAGTAGTTTCTGAGAATGATTCTGTCTAGTTTGCGTACAAAGATATTTCCTTTTCTACCACTGGCCTCAAAGCTTTGAAATCTCCACTTGCAAATTCCACAAAAAGAGAGTTTCAAATCTGCTGTTCCTAAAGGAAAGTTCAACTCTGAGAGTTGAATACACACCAGAAAAAGCAGTTACTGAGAAGTCTTCTGTCTAGCATTATATGAAGAAATCCCATTTCCAAAGAAGACTTCAAACAGGTCCAAATATCCACTTGCAGATTCTGCAAAAAGAGTGTTTCGAAACAACTGTATGAAAAGAAAGGTTAAACACTGTGAGTTGAACGCACCCATTGCAAAGCATTTTCTGACAATGATTCCGTCTAATTATTATACGAAGGTATTTCCTTTTCTATCATGGGCCTCAAAGCACTTGATACCTCCACCTGAAAATTCCACAAAAAGAGTGTTTCCAATCTACTCTGTCTAAAGGAACGTTCAACTCTGTGAGTTGAATACACACACACAGAAAGAATTCACTGAGAATTCTTCTGTCTGGCATTACATGAAGAAATCCCGTTTCCAACGAAGGCCTCAAAGAGGTCCAAATATCCACTTGCAGATTCTGCAAAAAGAGTGTTTCAAAACCGCTCTATTAAAAGGAATGTTGAACTCTGTGAGTTGAATGCAAACATCACAACTCAGTTTCTGAGAATGCTTCTGACTAGATTTTATGGTAAGATATATCCTTTTCTACCGTAGGCTTCAATGCCCTCTAAATACACCCTTGCAAATTCTACAAAGAGACTGTTTCATAACTGCTCTATAGGAAGAAAGGTTGAACTCTGTGAGTTGAATGCAGAGATCACAACGTGGTTTCTGCGAATGATTCTTTGTAGTTTTTACATGAAGATATTTCGTTCTCTACCGTAGGCTTCAAAGCACTCAAAGTATTCACTTGGAACTTTTACAAAAAGAGTGTTAGAAAACTGCTCTTTCCAAAGTAAGGTTCAACTCTGTGAGTTGAATGCACACATAACAAACAAGAAGTTTCTGAGAATTCTTCTGTCCTGGTTTATATGAAAAAATCCCGTTTCCAACGAAGGCCTCAAAGACGTTTAAATATCCACTTGCAGACTTCACAAACAGAGTGTTTCCAAACTGCTCTATGAAAAGAAAGGTTAAACTCTGTGAGTTGAACGCACACATCACAAAGTAGTTTCTGAGAATGATACAGTCCAGTTTTTATACGAAGAGATTTCCTTTCCTACCATTGGCGTCAAAGCGCTAGAATTCTCCACTTGCAAATTCCACAAAAAGAGGGTTTCCAATCTGCTCTGCCTAAAGGCAGGTTCAACTCTGCGAGTTGAATACACACACACAAGGAAGCTACTGAGAATTCTTTTGTCAAGAATTACAAGAAGAAATCCCGTTTCCAACGAAGGCCTCAAAGAGTTCCAAATATCCACTTGCACACTGCACAAACTAAGTCTTTCCAAACTGCTCTATGCAAAGAAATGTTCAACTCTGTGAGTTTAATACGCACATCACAAAGCAGTTTCTGAGAATGATACTGTCTAGTTTTTATACGAAGATATTTCCTTTTGTACCATTGGCCTCATACTGCTAGAATTTTCCACTTGCAAATTCCACAAAAAGAGTGTTTCCAATCCGCTCTGTCTAAAGGAAGGTTCAACTCTCTGATTTGAATACATACATCCCAAAAGAAGTTACTGAGAATTCTTCTGTCTAGCATTATGTGAAGAAATCCCGTTTCCAACGAAAGCCTCAAAGAGGTCCAAATATCCAGTTGCAGAATTTACAAACTGACTGTTTCCAAACTCATCTATGAAAAGAAAGGTTAAACTCTGGGAGTTGAATGCACATATCACAAAGTAGTTCCTGAGAATGATTCTGTCTAGTTTTCATACGAAGATATTTCCTTTTCCACCAATGGCCTCAAAGTGCTTGAAATCTCCCCTTGCAAATTCCACAGACAAGTGTCTCAAATCTGCACTGTCTAAAGGAAGGTTCAACCCTGTGAGTTGAATACACACACACAGAAAAAAATTCACTGAGAATTCTATTGTCTATCATTACACGAAGAAATCCCGTTTACTACGAAGGCCTCAAAGAGGTCCAAATATCCAGCTGCAGACATTACAACCTGAGTGTTTCCAAAGTGCTCTAGGAAAAGAAGTGTTAAACACTGTGAGTTCAATGCACACATCCCAAAGCAGTTTCTGAGAATGATTCCGTCTATTTTTTCTACGAAGATATTTCCTTTTCTGCCGTTGGCCTCAAAGCGCTTGAAATCTCCACTTGCAAATTCCACAAAGAGAGAGTTTCAAATCTGCTCTGTCTAAAGGAAGGTTCAACTCTGTGAGTTGAATACACACCACAAAAAGAAGTTACTGAGAATTCTTCTGTCTAGCATTATATGAAAAATCCCGTTTCCAACGAAGGCCACAAAGAGGTCCAAATATCCACTTGCAGATTCTGCAAAAAGAGTGTTTCCAAACTGCTCTATGAAAAGAAACGTTAAACTCTGTGAGTTGAACGCAAACATCACAAAGTAGTTTCTGAGAATGACTCCGTCTAGTTTTTATACGAAGATATTTCCTTTCCTACCATTCACTTCAAAGCGCTTGAAGTCTCCCCCTGAAAATTCCACAAAAAGTGTTTCCAATCTGCTCCGCCTAAAGGAAGCTTCAACTCTGTGACTTGAATACCCACAACCCAAAGAAGTTACTGAGAATTCTTCTGTCTAGCATTATATGAAGAAATCCCGTTTCCAACGAAGGCCTCAAATACATCCAAATATCCAGTTGCTGACTTTACAAACTGAGTGTTTCCAAACTGCTCTATGAAAAGAAAGGTTAAACACTGTGAGTTGAACACACACGTACCAAAGTAGTTTCTGAGAAGATTCTGTCTAGTTTGCATACGAAGGATATTTCCTTTTCTACCATTGGCCTCAAAGCTCTGAAATCTCCACTTGCAAATTCCACAAAAAGAGAGTTTCAACTCTGCTGTTTCTAAAGGAAAGTTCAACTCTGAGAGTTGAATACACACCAGAAAAAGCAGTTACTGAGAAGTCTTCTGTCTAGCATTATATGAAGAAATCCCATTTCCAACGAAGACTTCAAAGAGGTCCAAATATCCACTTGCAGATTCTGCAAAAAGAGTGTTTCGAAACAACTGTATGAAAAGAAAGGTTAAACACTGTGAGTTGAACGCACACATTGCAAAGCGGTTTCTGAGAATGATTCCGTCTAATTATTATACGAAGGTATTTCCTTTTCTATCATTGGCCTCAAAGCGCTTGATACCTCCACCTGAAAATTCCACAAAAAGAGTGTTTCCAATCTACTCTGTCTAAAGGAACGTTCAACTCTGTGAGTTGAATACACACACACAGAAAGAATTCACTGAGAATTCTTCTGTCTGGCATTACATGAAGAAATCCCGTTTCCAACGAAGGCCTCAAAGAGGTCCAAATATCCACTTGCAGATTCTGCAAAAAGAGTGTTTCAAAACCGCTCCATTAAAAGGAATGTTGAACTCTGTGAGTTGAATGCAAACATCACAACTCAGTTTCTGAGAATGCTTCTGACTAGATTTTATGGTAAGATATTTCCTTTTCTACCGTAGGCTTCAATGCCCTGTAAACACACCCTTGCAAATTCTACAAAGAGACTGCTTCATAACTGCTCTATAGGAGGAAAGGTTCAACTCTGTGAGTTGAATGCAGAGATCACAACGTGGTTTCTGCGAATGATTCTTTGTAGTTTTTACATGAAGATATTTCGTTGTCTACCGTAAGGCTTCAAAGCACTCAAAGTATTCACTTGGAACTTTTACAAAAAGAGTGTTAGAAAACTGCTCTTTCCAAAGTAAGGTTCAACTCTGTGAGTTGAATGCACACATAACAAACAAGAAGTTTCTGAGAATTCTTCTGTCCTGGTTTATATGAAGAAATCCCGTTTCCAACGAAGGCCTCAAAGACGTTTAAATATCCACTTGCAGACTTCACAAACAGAGTGTTTCCAAACTGCTCTATGAAAAGAAAGGGTAAACACTGTGAGTTGAACGCACACCTCACAAAGTAGTTTCTGAGAATGATACTGTCTAGTTTTTATACGAAGATATTTCCTTTTGTACCATTGGCCTCATACTGCTAGAATTTTCCACTTGCAAATTCCACAAAAAGAGTGTTTCCAATCTGCTCTGTCTAAAGGAAGGTTCAACTCTGTGAGTTGAGTACACACACACAAAGAAGCTACTGAGAATTCTTTTGTCAAGAATTATAAGAAGAAATCCCGTTTCCAACCAAGGCCTCAAAGAGTTCCAAATATCCACTTGCACACTGCACAAACTAAGTCTTTCCATACTGCTCTATGCAAAGAAATGTTCAACTCTGTGAGTTTAATACACACATCACAAAGCAGTTTCTGAGAATGATTACTGTCTAGTTTTTATACGAAGAATATTTCCTTTTGTACCATTGGCCTCATACTGCTAGAATTTTCCACTTGCAAATTCCACAAAAAGAGTGTTTCCAATCCGCTCTGTCTAAAGGAAGGTTCAACTCTCTGATTTGAATACATACATCCCAAAAGAAGTTACTGAGAATTCTTCTGTCTAGCATTATGTGAAGAAATCCCGTTTCCAACGAAAGCCTCAAAGAGGCCCAAATATCCAGTTGCAGCATTTACAAACTGACTGTTTCCAAACTCATCTATGAAAAGAAAGGTTAAACTCTGTGAGTTGAATGCACATATCACAAAGTAGTTCCTGAGAATGATTCTGTCTAGTTTTTATACGAAGATATTTCCTTTTCCACCAATGGCCTCAAAGTGCTTGAAATCTCCCCTTGCAAATTCCACAGACAAGTGTCTCAAATCTGCACTGTCTAAAGGAAGGTTCAACCCTGTGAGTTGAATACACACACACAGAAAAAAATTCACTGAGAATTCTATTGTCTATCATTACACGAAGAAATCCCGTTTACTACGAAGGCCTCAAAGAGGTCCAAATATCCAGCTGCAGACATTACAAACTGAGTGTTTCCAAAGTGCTCTATGAAAAGAAGTGTTAAACACTGTGAGTTCAATGCACACATCCCAAAGCAGTTTCTGAGAATGATTCCGTCTATTTTTTCTACGAAGATATTGCCTTTTCTACCGTTGGCCTCAAAGCGCCTGAAATCTCCACTTGCAAATTCCACGAAAAGAGAGTTTCAAATCTGCTCTGTCTAAAGGAAGGTTCCACTCTGTGAGTTGAATACACACCACAAAAAGAAGTTACTGAGAATTCTTCTGTCTAGCATTATATGAAAAATCCCGTTTCCAACGAAGGCCACAAAGAGGTCCAAATATCCACTTGCAGATTCTGCAAAAAGAGTGTTTCCAAACTGCTCTATGAAAAGAAACGTTAAACTCTGTGAGTTGAACGCAAACATCACAAAGTAGTTTCTGAGAATGACTCCGTCTAGTTTTTATACGAAGATATTTCCTTCTCTACCATTCACTTCAAAGCGCTTGAAGTCTCCCCCTGAAAATTCCACAAAAAGTGTTTCCAATCTGCTCCGCCTAAAGGAAGCTTCAACTCTGTGAGTTGAATACCCACAACCCAAAGAAGTTACTGAGAATTCTTCTGTCTAGCATTATATGAAGAAATCCCCTTTCCAACGAAGGCCTCAAATACATCCAAATATCCAGTTGCTGACTTTACAAACTGAGTGTTTCCAAACTGCTCTATGAAAAGAAAGGTTAAACACTGTGAGTTGAACACACACGTACCAAAGTAGTTTCTGAGAATGATTCTGTCTAGTTTGCATACGAAGATATTTCCTTTTCTACCATTGGCCTCAAAGCTTTGAAATCTCCACTTGCAAATTCCACAAAAAGAGAGTTTCAAATCTGCTGTTTCTAAAGGAAAGTTCAACTCTGAGAGTTGAATACACACCAGAAAAAGCAGTTACTGAGAAGTCTTCTGTCTAGCATTATATGAAGAAATCCCATTTCCAACGAAGACTTCAAAGAGGTCCAAATATCCACTTGCAGATTCTGCAAAAAGAGTGTTTCGAAACAACTGTATGAAAAGAAAGGTTAAACACTGTGAGTTGAACGCACACATTGCAAAGCAGTTTCTGAGAATGATTCCGTCTAATTATTATACGAAGGTATTTCCTTTTCTATCATTGGCCTCAAAGCGCTTGATACCTCCACCTGAAAATTCCACAAAAAGAGTGTTTCCAATCTACTCTGTCTAAAGGAACGTTCAACTCTGTGAGTTGAATACACACACAGAGAAAGAATTCACTGAGAATTCTTCTGTCTGGCATTACATGAAGAAATCCCGTTTCCAACGAAGGCCTCAAAGAGGTCCAAATATCCACTTGCAGATTCTGCAAAAAGAGTGTTTCAAAACCGCTCCATTAAAAGGAATGTTGAACTCTGTGAGTTGAATGGAAACATCACAACTCAGTTGCTGAGAATGCTTCTGACTAGATTTTATGGTAAGATATTTCCTTTTATACCGTAGGCTTCAATGCCCTCTAAATACACCCTTGCAAATTCTACAAAGAGACTGTTTCATAACTGCTCTATAGGAAGAAAGGTTCAACTCTGTGAGTTGAATGCAGAGATCACAACGTGGTTTCTGCGAATGATTCTTTGTAGTTTTTACAGGAAGATATTTCGTTGTCAACCGTAGGCTTCAAAGCACTCAAAGTATTCACTTGGAACTTTTACAAAAAGAGTGTTAGAAAACTGCTCTTTCCAAAGTAAGGTTCAACTCTGTGAGTTGAATGCACACATAACAATCAAGAAGTTTCTGAGAATTCTTCTGTCCTGGTTTATATGAAAAAATCCCGTTTCCAACGAAGGCCTCAAAGACGTTTAAATATCCACTTCCAGACTTCACAAACAGAGGGTTTCCAAACTGCTCTATGAAAAGAAAGGTTAAACTCTGTGAGTTTAATACACACATCACAAATCAGTTTCTGAGAATGATACTGTCTAGTTTTTATACGAAGATATTTCCTTTTGTACCATTGGCCTCATACTGCTAGAATTTTCCACTTGCAAATTCCACAAAAAGAATGTTTCCAATCCGCTCTGTCTAAAGGAAGGTTCAACTCTCTGATTTGAATACATACATCCCAAAAGAAGTTACTGAGAATTCTTCTGTCTTGCATTATGTGAAGAAATCCCGTTTCCAACGAAAGCCTCAAAGAGGTCCAAATATCCAGTTGCAGAATTTACAAACTGACTGTTTCCAAACTCATCTATGAAAAGAAAGGTTAAACTCTGTGAGTTGAATGCACATATCACAAAGTAGTTCCTGAGAATGATTCTGTCTAGTTTTTATACGAAGATATTTCCTTTTCCACCAATGGCCTCAAAGTGCTTGAAATCTCCCCTTGCAAATTCCACAGAAAAGTGTTTCAAATCTGCACTGTCTGAAGGAAGGTTCAACCCTGTGAGTTGAATACACACACACAGAAAGAAATTCACTGAGAATTACATTGTCTATCATTACACGAAGAAATCCCGTTTACTACGAAGGCCTCAAAGAGGTCCAAATATCCAGCTGCAGACATTACAAACTGAGTGTTTCCAAAGTGCTCTATGAAAAGAAGTGTTAAACACTGTGAGTTCAATGCACACATCCCAAAGCAGTTTCTGAGAATGATTCCGTCTATTTTTTCTACGAAGATATTTCCTTTTCTACCGTTGGCCTCAAAGCGCTTGAAATCTCCACTTGCAAATTCCACAAAAAGAGAGTTTCAAATCTGCTCTGTCTAAAGGAAGGTTCAACTCTGTGAGTTGAATACACACCACAAAAAGAAGTTACTGAGAATTCTTCTGTCTAGCATTATATGAAAAATCCCGTTTCCAACGAAGGCCACAAAGAGGTCCAAATATCCACTTGCAGATTCTGCAAAAAGAGTGTTTCCAAACTGCTCTATGAAAAGAAACGTTAAACTCTGTGAGTTGAACGCAAACATCACAAAGTAGTTTCTGAGAATGACTCCGTCTAGTTTTTATACGAAGATATTTCCTTTTCTACCATTCACTTCAAAGCGCTTGAAGTCTCCCCCTGAAAATTCCACAAAAAGTGTTTCCAATCTGCTCCGCCTAAAGGAAGCTTCAACTCTGTGAGTTGAATACCCACAACCCAAAGAAGTTACTGAGAATTCTTCTGTCTAGCACTATATGAAGAAATCCCGTTTCCAACGAAGGCCTCAAATACATCCAAATATCCAGTTGCTGACTTTACAAACTGAGTGTTTCCAAACTGCTCTATGAAAAGAAAGGTTAAACACTGTGAGTTGAACACACACGTACCAAAGTAGTTTCTGAGAATGATTCTGTCTAGTTTGCATACGAAGATATTTCCTTTTCTACCATTGGCCTCAAAGCTTTGAAATCTCCACTTGCAAATTCCACAAAAAGAGAGTTTCAACTCTGCTGTTTCTAAAGGAAAGTTCAACTCTGAGAGTTGAATACACACCAGAAAAAGCAGTTACTGAGAAGTCTTCTGTCTAGCATTATATGAAGAAATCCCATTTCCAACGAAGACTTCAAAGAGGTCCAAATATCCACTTGCAGATTCTGCAAAAAGAGTGTTTCGAAACAACTGTATGAAAAGAAAGGTTAAACACTGTGAGTTGAACGCACACATTGCAGAGCAGTTTCTGAGAATGATTCCGTCTAATTATTATACGAAGGTATTTCCTTTTCTATCATTGGCCTCAAAGCGCTTGATACCTCCACCTGAAAATTCCACAAAAAGAGTGTTTCCAATCTATTCTGTCTAAAGGAACGTTCAACTCCGTGAGTTGAATACACACACACAGAAAGAATTCACTGAGAATTCTTCTGTCTGGCATTACATGAAGAAATCCCGTTTCCAACGAAGGCCTCAAAGAGGTCCAAATATCCACTTGCAGATTCTGCAAAAAGAGTGTTTCAAAACCGCTCCATTAAAAGGAATGTTGAACTCTGTGAGTTGAATGCAAACATCACAACTCAGTTTCTGAGAATGCTTCTGACTAGATTTTATGGTAAGATATTTCCTTTTCTACCGTAGGCTTCAATGCCCTGTAAATACACCCTTGCAAATTCTACAAAGAGACTGTTTCATAACTGCTCTATAGGAGGAAAGGTTCAACTCTGTGAGTTGAATGCAGAGATCACAACGTGGTTTCTGCGAATGATTCTTTGTAGTTTTTACATGAAGATATTTCGTTGTCTACCGTAGGCTTCAAAGCACTCAAAGTATTCACTTGGAACTTTTACAAAAAGAGTGTTAGAAAACTGCTCTTTCCAAAGTAAGGTTCAACTCTGTGAGTTGAATGCACACATAACAAACAAGAAGTTTCTGAGAATTCTTCTGTCCTGGTTTATATGAAGAAATCCCGTTTCCAACGAAGGCCTCAAAGACGTTTAAATATCCACTTGCAGACTTCACAAACAGAGTGTTTCCAAACTGCTCTATGAAAAGAAAGGGTAAACACTGTGAGTTGAACGCACACCTCACAAAGTAGTTTCTGAGAATGATACTGTCTAGTTTTTATACGAAGATATTTCCTTTCTACCATTGGTGTCAAAGCGCTAGAATTCTCCACTTGCAAATTCCACAAAAAGAGTGTTACCAATCTGCTCTGTCTAAAGGAAGGTTCAACTCTGTGAGTTGAATACACACACACAAAGAAGCTACTGAGAATTCTTTTGTCAAGAATTATAAGAAGAAATCCCGTTTCCAACGAAGGCCTCAAAGAGTTCCAAATATCCACTTGCACACTGCACAAACTAAGTCTTTCCAAACTGCTCTATGCAAAGAAATGTTCAACTCTGTGAGTTTAATACACACATCACAAAGCAGTTTCTGAGAATGATACTGTCTAGTTTTTATACGAAGATATTTCCTTTTGTACCATTGGCCTCATACTGCTAGAATTTTCCACTTGCAAATTCCACAAAAAGAGTGTTTCCAATCCGCTCTGTCTAAAGGAAGGTTCAACTCTCTGATTTGAATACATACATCCCAAAAGAAGTTACTGAGAATTCTTCTGTCTAGCATTATGTGAAGAAATCCCGTTTCCAACGAAAGCCTCAAAGAGGTCCAAATATCCAGTTGCAGAATTTACAAACTGACTGTTTCCAAACTCATCTATGAAAAGAAAGGTTAAACTCTGTGAGTTGAATGCACATATCACAAAGTAGTTCCTGAGAATGATTCTGTCTAGTTTTTATACTAAGATATTTCCTTTTCCACCAATGGCCTCAAAGTGCTTGAAATCTCCCCTTGCAAATTCCACAGAAAAGTGTTTCAAATCTGCACTGTCTGAAGGAAGGTTCAACCCTGTGAGTTGAATACACACACACAGAAAAAAATTCACTGAGAATTCTATTGTCTATCATTACACGAAGAAATCCCGTTGACTACGAAGGCCTCAAAGAGGTCCAAATATCCAGCTGCAGACATTACAAACTGAGTGTTTCCAAAGTGCTCTATGAAAAGAAGTGTTAAACACTGTGAGTTCAATGCACACATCCCAAAGCAGTTTCTGAGAATGATTCCGTCTATTTTTTCTACGAAGATATTTCCTTTTCTGCCGTTGGCCTCAAAGCGCTTGAAATCTCCACTTGCAAATTCCACAAAAAGAGAGTTTCAAATCTGCTCTGTCTAAAGGAAGGTTCAACTCTGTGAGTTGAATACACACCACAAAAAGAAGTTACTGAGAATTCTTCTGTCTAGCATTATATGAAAAATCCCGTTTCCAACGAAGGCCACAAAGAGGTCCAAATATCCACTTGCAGATTCTGCAAAAAGAGTGTTTCCAAACTGCTCTATGAAAAGAAACGTTAAACTCTGTGAGTTGAACGCAAACATCACAAAGTAGTTTCTGAGAATGACTCCGTCTAGTTTTTATACGAAGATATTTCCTTTCCTACCATTCACTTCAAAGCGCTTGAAGTCTCCCCCTGAAAATTCCACAAAAAGTGTTTCCAATCTGCTCCGCCTAAAGGAAGCTTCAACTCTGTGACTTGAATACCCACAACCCAAAGAAGTTACTGAGAATTCTTCTGTCTAGCATTATATGAAGAAATCCCGTTTCCAACGAAGGCCTCAAATACATCCAAATATCCAGTTGCTGACTTTACAAACTGAGTGTTTCCAAACTGCTCTATGAAAAGAAAGGTTAAACACTGTGAGTTGAACACACACGTACCAAAGTAGTTTCTGAGAATGATTCTGTCTAGTTTGCATACGAAGATATTTCCTTTTCTACCATTGGCCTCAAAGCTCTGAAATCTCCACTTGCAAATTCCACAAAAAGAGAGTTTCAACTCTGCTGTTTCTAAAGGAAAGTTCAACTCTGAGAGTTGAATACACACCAGAAAAAGCAGTTACTGAGAAGTCTTCTGTCTAGCATTATATGAAGAAATCCCATTTCCAACGAAGACTTCAAAGAGGTCCAAATATCCACTTGCAGATTCTGCAAAAAGAGTGTTTCGAAACAACTGTATGAAAAGAAAGGTTAAACACTGTGAGTTGAACGCACACATTGCAAAGCAGTTTCTGAGAATGATTCCGTCTAATTATTATACGAAGGTATTTCCTTTTCTATCATTGGCCTCAAAGCGCTTGATACCTCCACCTGAAAATTCCACAAAAAGAGTGTTTCCAATCTACTCTGTCTAAAGGAACGTTCAACTCTGTGAGTTGAATACACACACACAGAAAGAATTCACTGAGAATTCTTCTGTCTGGCATTACATGAAGAAATCCCGTTTCCAACGAAGGCCTCAAAGAGGTCCAAATATCCACTTGCAGATTCTGCAAAAAGAGTGTTTCAAAACCGCTCCATGAAAAGGAATGTTGAACTCTGTGAGTTGAATGCAAACATCACAACTCAGTTGCTGAGAATGCTTCTGACTACATTTTATGGTAAGATATTTCCTTTTCTACCGTAGGCTTCAATGCCCTCTAAATACACCCTTGCAAATTCTACAAAGAGACTGTTTCATAACTGCTCTATAGGAAGAAAGGTTCAACTCTGTGAGTTGAATGCAGAGATCACAACGTGGTTTCTGCGAATGATTCTTTGTAGTTTTTACATGAAGATATTTCGTTGTCAACCGTAGGCTTCAAAGCACTCAAAGTATTCACTTGGAACTTTTACAAAAAGAGTGTTAGAAAACTGCTCTTTCCAAAGTAAGGTTCAACTCTGTGAGTTGAATGCACACATAACAATCAAGAAGTTTCTGAGAATTCTTCTGTCCTGGTTTATATGAACAAATCCCGTTTCCAACGAAGGCCTCAAAGACGTTTAAATATCCACTTGCAGACTTCACAAACAGAGGGTTTCCAAACTGCTCTATGAAAAGAAAGGTTAAACTCTGTGAGTTGAACGCACACATCACAAAGTAGCTTCTGAGAATGATACTGTCTAGTTTTTATACGAAGATATTTCCTTTCTACCATTGGCGTCAAAGCGCTAGAATTCTCCACTTGCAAATTCCACAAAAAGAGTGTTTCCAATCTGCTCTGTCTAAAGGAAGGTTCAACTCTGTGAGTTGAATACACACACACAAAGAAGCTACTGAGAATTCTTTTGTCAAGAATTATAAGAAGAAATCCCGTTTCCAACGAAGGCCTCAAAGAGTTCCAAATATCCACTTGCACACTGCACAAACTAAGTCTTTCCAAACTGCTCTATGCAAAGAAATGTTCAACTCTGTGAGTTTAATACACACATCACAAAGCAGTTTCTGAGAATGATACTGTCTAGTTTTTATACGAAGATATTTCCTTTTGTACCATTGGCCTCATACTGCTAGAATTTTCCACTTGCAAATTCCACAAAAAGAGTGTTTCCAATCCGCTCTGTCTAAAGGAAGGTTCAACCCTCTGATTTGAATACATACATCCCAAAAGAAGTTACTGAGAATTCTTCTGTCTAGCATTATGTGAAGAAATCCCGTTTCCAACGAAAGCCTCAAAGAGGTCCAAATATCCAGTTGCAGAATTTACAAACTGACTGTTTCCAAACTCATCTATGAAAAGAAAGGTTAAACTCTGTGAGTTGAATGCACATATCACAAAGTAGTTCCTGAGAATGATCTGTCTAGTTTTTATACGAAGATATTTCCTTTTCCACCAATGGCCTCAAAGTGCTTGAAATCTCCCCTTGCAAATTCCACAGACAAGTGTTTCAAATCTGCACTGTCTAAAGGAAGGTTCAACCCTGTGAGTTGAATACACACACACAGAAAAAAATTCACTGAGAATTCTATCTATTGTCTATCATTACACGAAGAAATCCCGTTTACTACGAAGGCCTCAAAGAGGTCCAAATATCCAGCTGCAGACATTACAAACTGAGTGTTTCCAAAGTGCTCTATGAAAAGAAGTGTTAAACACTGTGAGTTCAATGCACACATCCCAAAGCAGTTTCTGAGAATGATTCCGTCTATTTTTTCTACGAAGATATTTCCTTTTCTGCCGTTGGCCTCAAAGCGCTTGAAATCTCCACTTGCAAATTCCACAAAAAGAGAGTTTCAAATCTGCTCTGTCTAAAGGAAGGTTCAACTCTGTGAGTTGAATACACACCACAAAAAGAAGTTACTGAGAATTCTTCTGTCTAGCATTATATGAAAAATCCCGTTTCCAACGAAGGCCACAAAGAGGTCCAAATATCCACTTGCAGATTCTGCAAAAAGAGTGTTTCCAAACTGCTCTATGAAAAGAAACGTTAAACTCTGTGAGTTGAACGCAAACATCACAAAGTAGTTTCTGAGAATGACTCCGTCTAGTTTTTATACGAAGATATTTCCTTTCCTACCATTCGCTTCAAAGCGCTTGAAGTCTCCCCCTGAAAATTCCACAAAAAGTGTTTCCAATCTGCTCCGCCTAAAGGAAGCTT
The DNA here is from genome assembly GCF_000001405.40 of Homo sapiens. Taxonomy (NCBI): domain Eukaryota; kingdom Metazoa; phylum Chordata; class Mammalia; order Primates; family Hominidae; genus Homo; species Homo sapiens. Next base: position 92,655,995 of record NC_000003.12, on the reverse strand, counting down.
CAACTCTGTGAGTTGAATACCCACAACCCAAAGAAGTTACTGAGAATTCTTCTGTCTAGCATTATATGAAGAAATCCCGTTTCCAACGAAGGCCTCAAATACATCCAAATATCCAGTTGCTGACTTTACAAACTGAGTGTTTCCAAACTGCTCTATGAAAAGAAAGGTTAAACACTGTGAGTTGAACACACACGTACCAAAGTAGTTTCTGAGAATGATTCTGTCTAGTTTGCATACGAAGATATTTCCTTTTCTACCATTGGCCTCAAAGCTCTGAAATCTCCACTTGCAAATTCCACAAAAAGAGAGTTTCAAATCTGCTGTTTCTAAAGGAAAGTTCAACTCTGAGAGTTGAATACACACCAGAAAAAGCAGTTACTGAGAAGTCTTCTGTCTAGCATTATATGAAGAAATCCCATTTCCAACGAAGACTTCAAAGAGGTCCAAATATCCACTTGCAGATTCTGCAAAAAGAGTGTTTCGAAACAACTGTATGAAAAGAAAGGTTAAACACTGTGAGTTGAACGCACACATTGCAAAGCAGTTTCTGAGAATGATTCCGTCTAATTATTATACGAAGGTATTTCCTTTTCTATCATTGGCCTCAAAGCGCTTGATACCTCCACCTGAAAATTCCACAAAAAGAGTGTTTCCAATCTACTCTGTCTAAAGGAACGTTCAACTCTGTGAGTTGAATACACACACACAGAAAGAATTCACTGAGAATTCTTCTGTCTGGCATTACATGAAGAAATCCCGTTTCCAACGAAGGCCTCAAAGAGGTCCAAATATCCACTTGCAGATTCTGCAAAAAGAGTGTTTCAAAACCGCTCCATTAAAAGGAATGTTGAACTCTGTGAGTTGAATGCAAACATCACAACTCAGTTTCTGAGAATGCTTCTGACTAGATTTTATGGTAAGATATTTCCTTTTCTACCGTAGGCTTCAATGCCCTCTAAATACACCCTTGCAAATTCTACAAAGAGACTGTTTCATAACTGCTCTATAGGAAGAAAGGTTCAACACTGTGAGTTGAATGCAGAGATCACAACGTGGTTTCTGCGAATGATTCTTTGTAGTTTTTACATGAAGATATTTCGTTGTCAACCGTAGGCTTCAAAGCACTCAAAGTATTCACTTGGAACTTTTACAAAAAGAGTGTTAGAAAACTGCTCTTTCCAAAGTAAGGTTCAACTCTGTGAGTTGAATGCACACATAACAATCAAGAAGTTTCTGAGAATTCTTCTGTCCTGGTTTATATGAAAAAATCCCGTTTCCAACGAAGGCCTCAAAGACGTTTAAATATCCACTTGCAGACTTCACAAACAGAGGGTTTCCAAACTGCTCTATGAAAAGAAAGGTTAAACTCTGTGAGTTTAATACACACATCACAAAGCAGTTTCTGAGAATGATACTGTCTAGTTTTTATACGAAGATATTTCCTTTTGTACCATTGGCCTCATACTGCTAGAATTTTCCACTTGCAAATTCCACAAAAAGAGTGTTTCCAATCCGCTCTGTCTAAAGGAAGGTTCAACTCTCTGATTTGAATACATACATCCCAAAAGAAGTTACTGAGAATTCTTCTGTCTAGCATTATGTGAAGAAATCCCGTTTCCAACGAAAGCCTCAAAGAGGTCCAAATATCCAGTTGCAGAATTTACAAACTGACTGTTTCCAAACTCATCTATGAAAAGAAAGGTTAAACTCTGTGAGTTGAATGCACATATCACAAAGTAGTTCCTGAGAATGATTCTGTCTAGTTTTCATACGAAGATATTTCCTTTTCCACCAATGGCCTCAAAGTGCTTGAAATCTCCCCTTGCAAATTCCACAGACAAGTGTTTCAAATCTGCACTGTCTAAAGGAAGGTTCAACCCTGTGAGTTGAATACACACACACAGAAAAAAATTCACTGAGAATTCTATTGTCTATCATTACACGAAGAAATCCCGTTTACCACGAAGGCCTCAAAGAGGTCCAAATATCCAGCTGCAGACATTACAAACTGAGTGTTTCCAAAGTGCTCTATGAAAAGAAGTGTTAAACACTGTGAGTTCAATGCACACATCCCAAAGCAGTTTCTGAGAATGATTCCGTCTATTTTTTCTACGAAGATATTTCCTTTTCTGCCGTTGGCCTCAAAGCGCTTGAAATCTCCACTTGCAAATTCCACAAAAAGAGAGTTTCAAATCTGCTCTGTCTAAAGGAAGGTTCAACTCTGTGAGTTGAATACACACCACAAAAAGAAGTTACTGAGAATTCTTCTGTCTAGCATTATATGAAAAATCCCGTTTCCAACGAAGGCCACAAAGAGGTCCAAATATCCACTTGCAGATTCTGCAAAAAGAGTGTTTCCAAACTGCTCTATGAAAAGAAACGTTAAACTCTGTGAGTTGAACGCAAACATCACAAAGTAGTTTCTGAGAATGACTCCGTCTAGTTTTTATACGAAGATATTTCCTTTCCTACCATTCACTTCAAAGCGCTTGAAGTCTCCCCCTGAAAATTCCACAAAAAGTGTTTCCAATCTGCTCCGCCTAAAGGAAGCTTCAACTCTGTGACTTGAATACCCACAACCCAAAGAAGTTACTGAGAATTCTTCTGTCTAGCATTATATGAAGAAATCCCGTTTCCAACGAAGGCCTCAAATACATCCAAATATCCAGTTGCTGACTTTACAAACTGAGTGTTTCCAAACTGCTCTATGAAAAGAAAGGTTAAACACTGTGAGTTGAACACACACGTACCAAAGTAGTTTCTGAGAATGATTCTGTCTAGTTTGCATACGAAGATATTTCCTTTTCTACCATTGGCCTCAAAGCTCTGAAATCTCCACTTGCAAATTCCACAAAAAGAGAGTTTCAAATCTGCTGTTTCTAAAGGAAAGTTCAACTCTGAGAGTTGAATACACACCAGAAAAAGCAGTTACTGAGAAGTCTTCTGTCTAGCATTATATGAAGAAATCCCATTTCCAACGAAGACTTCAAAGAAGTCCAAATATCCACTTGCAGATTCTGCAAAAAGAGTGTTTCGAAACAACTGTATGAAAAGAAAGGTTAAACACTGTGAGTTGAACGCACACATTGCACAGCAGTTTCTGAGAATGATTCCGTCTAATTATTATACGAAGGTATTTCCTTTTCTATCATTGGCCTCAAAGCGCTTGATACCTCCACCTGAAAATTCCACAAAAAGAGTGTTTCCAATCTACTCTGTCTAAAGGAACGTTCAACTCTGTGAGTTGAATACACACACACAGAAAGAATTCACTGAGAATTCTTCTGTCTGGCATTACATGAAGAAATCCCGTTTCCAACGAAGGCCTCAAAGAGGTCCAAATATCCACTTGCAGATTCTGCAAAAAGAGTGTTTCAAAACCGCTCCATTAAAAGGAATGTTGAACTCTGTGAGTTGAATGCAAACATCACAACTCAGTTTCTGAGAATGCTTCTGACTAGATTTTATGGTAAGATATTTCCTTTTCTACCGTAGGCTTCAATGCCCTCTAAATACACCCTTGCAAATTCTACAAAGAGACTGTTTCATAACTGCTCTATAGGAAGAAAGGTTCAACACTGTGAGTTGAATGCAGAGATCACAACGTGGTTTCTGCGAATGATTCTTTGTAGTTTTTACATGAAGATATTTCGTTGTCAACCGTAGGCTTCAAAGCACTCAAAGTATTCACTTGGAACTTTTACAAAAAGAGTGTTAGAAAACTGCTCTTTCCAAAGTAAGGTTCAACTCTGTGAGTTGAATGCACACATAACAATCAAGAAGTTTCTGAGAATTCTTCTGTCCTGGTTTATATGAAAAAATCCCGTTTCCAACGAAGGCCTCAAAGACGTTTAAATATCCACTTGCAGACTTCACAAACAGAGGGTTTCCAAACTGCTCTATGAAAAGAAAGGTTAAAGTCTGTGAGTTTAATACACACATCACAAAGCAGTTTCTGAGAATGATACTGTCTAGTTTTTATACGAAGATATTTCCTTTTGTACCATTGGCCTCATACTGCTAGAATTTTCCACTTGCAAATTCCACAAAAAGAGTGTTTCCAATCCGCTCTGTCTAAAGGAAGGTTCAACTCTCTGATTTGAATACATACATCCCAAAAGAAGTTACTGAGAATTCTTCTGTCTAGCATTATGTGAAGAAATCCCGTTTCCAACGAAAGCCTCAAAGAGGTCCAAATATCCAGTTGCAGAATTTACAAACTGACTGTTTCCAAACTCATCTATGAAAAGAAAGGTTGAACTCTGGGAGTTGAATGCACATATCACAAAGTAGTTCCTGAGAATGATTCTGTCTAGTTTTCATACGAAGATATTTCCTTTTCCACCAATGGCCTCAAAGTGCTTGAAATCTCCCCTTGCAAATTCCACAGACAAGTGTTTCAAATCTGCACTGTCTAAAGGAAGGTTCAACCCTGTGAGTTGAATACACACACACAGAAAAAAATTCACTGAGAATTCTATTGTCTATCATTACACGAAGAAATCCCGTTTACCACGAAGGCCTCAAAGAGGTCCAAATATCCAGCTGCAGACATTACAACCTGAGTGTTTCCAAAGTGCTCTATGAAAAGAAGTGTTAAACACTGTGAGTTCAATGCACACATCCCAAAGCAGTTTCTGAGAATGATTCCGTCTATTTTTTCTACGAAGATATTTACTTTTCTACCGTTGGCCTCAAAGCGCTTGAAATCTCCACTTGCAAATTCCACAAAAAGAGAGTTTCAAATCTGCTCTGTCTAAAGGAAGGTTCAACTCTGTGAGTTGAATACACACCACAAAAAGAAGTTACTGAGAATTCTTCTGTCTAGCATTATATGAAAAATCCCGTTTCCAACGAAGGCCACAAAGAGGTCCAAATATCCACTTGCAGATTCTGCAAAAAGAGTGTTTCCAAACTGCTCTATGAAAAGAAACGTTAAACTCTGTGAGTTGAACGCAAACATCACAAAGTAGTTTCTGAGAATGACTCCGTCTAGTTTTTATACGAAGATATTTCCTTTCCTACCATTCACTTCAAAGCGCTTGAAGTCTCCCCCTGAAAATTCCACAAAAAGTGTTTCCAATCTGCTCCGCCTAAAGGAAGCTTCAACTCTGTGACTTGAATACCCACAACCCAAAGAAGTTACTGAGAATTCTTCTGTCTAGCATTATATGAAGAAATCCCGTTTCCAACGAAGGCCTCAAATACATCCAAATATCCAGTTGCTGACTTTACAAACTGAGTGTTTCCAAACTGCTCTATGAAAAGAAAGGTTAAACACTGTGAGTTGAACACACACGTACCAAAGTAGTTTCTGAGAATGATTCTGTCTAGTTTGCATACGAAGATATTTCCTTTTCTACCATTGGCCTCAAAGCTCTGAAATCTCCACTTGCAAATTCCACAAAAAGAGAGTTTCAAATCTGCTGTTTCTAAAGGAAAGTTCAACTCTGAGAGTTGAATACACACCAGAAAAAGCAGTTACTGAGAAGTCTTCTGTCTAGCATTATATGAAGAAATCCCATTTCCAACGAAGACTTCAAAGAGGTCCAAATATCCACTTGCAGATTCTGCAAAAAGAGTGTTTCGAAACAACTGTATGAAAAGAAAGGTTAAACACTGTGAGTTGAACGCACACATTGCAAAGCAGTTTCTGAGAATGATTCCGTCTAATTATTATACGAAGGTATTTCCTTTTCTATCATTGGCCTCAAAGCGCTTGATACCTCCACCTGAAAATTCCACAAAAAGAGTGTTTCCAATCTACTCTGTCTAAAGGAACGTTCAACTCTGTGAGTTGAATACACACACACAGAAAGAATTCACTGAGAATTCTTCTGTCTGGCATTACATGAAGAAATCCCGTTTCCAACGAAGGCCTCAAAGAGGTCCAAATATCCACTTGCAGATTCTGCAAAAAGAGTGTTTCAAAACCGCTCCATTAAAAGGAATGTTGAACTCTGTGAGTTGAATGCAAACATCACAACTCAGTTTCTGAGAATGCTTCTGACTAGATTTTATGGTAAGATATTTCCTTTTCTACCGTAGGCTTCAATGCCCTCTAAATACACCCTTGCAAATTCTACAAAGAGACTGTTTCATAACTGCTCTATAGGAAGAAAGGTTGAACGCTGTGAGTTGAATGCAGAGATCACAACGTGGTTTCTGCGAATGATTCTTTGTAGTTTTTACATGAAGATATTTCGTTGTCAACCGTAGGCTTCAAAGCACTCAAAGTATTCACTTGGAACTTTTACAAAACGAGTGTTAGGAAACTGCTCTTTCCAAAGTAAGGTTCAACTCTGTGAGTTGAATGCACACATAACAATCAAGAAGTTTCTGAGAATTCTTCTGTCCTGGTTTATATGAAAAAATCCCGTTTCCAACGAAGGCCTCAAAGACGTTTAAATATCCACTTGCAGACTTCACAAACAGAGGGTTTCCAAACTGCTCTATGAAAAGAAAGGTTAAACTCTGTGAGTTGAACGCACACATCACAAAGTAGCTTCTGAGAATGATACTGTCTAGTTTTTATACGAAGATATTTCCTTTCTACCATTGGCGTCAAAGCGCTAGAATTCTCCACTTGCAAATTCCACAAAAAGAGTGTTTCCAATCTGCTCTGTCTAAAGGAAGGTTCAACTCTGTGAGTTGAATACACACACACAAAGAAGCTACTGAGAATTCTTTTGTCAAGAAATATAAGAAGAAATCCCGTTTCCAACGAAGGCCTCAAAGAGTTCCAAATATCCACTTGCACACTGCACAAACTAAGTCTTTCCAAACTGCTCTATGCAAAGAAATGTTCAACTCTGTGAGTTTAATACACACATCACAAAGCAGTTTCTGAGAATGATACTGTCTAGTTTTTATACGAAGATATTTCCTTTTGTACCATTGGCCTCATACTGCTAGAATTTTCCACTTGCAAATTCCACAAAAAGAGTGTTTCCAATCCGCTCTGTCTAAAGGAAGGTTCAACTCTCTGATTTGAATACATACATCCCAAAAGAAGTTACTGAGAATTCTTGTCTAGCATTATGTGAAGAAATCCCGTTTCCAACGAAAGCCTCAAAGAGGTCCAAATATCCAGTTGCAGAATTTACAAACTGACTGTTTCCAAACTCATCTATGAAAAGAAAGGTTAAACTCTGTGAGTTGAATGCACATATCACAAAGTAGTTCCTGAGAATGATTCTGTCTAGTTTTTATACGAAGTTATTTCCTTTTCCACCAATGGCCTCAAAGTGCTTGAAATCTCCCCTTGCAAATTCCACAGACAAGTGTTTCAAATCTGCACTGTCTAAAGGAAGGTTCAACCCTGTGAGTTGAATACACACACACAGAAAAAAATTCACTGAGAATTCTATTGTCTATCATTACACGAAGAAATCCCGTTTACTACGAAGGCCTCAAAGAGGTCCAAATATCCAGCTGCAGACATTACAAACTGAGTGTTTCCAAAGTGCTCTATGAAAAGAAGTGTTAAACACTGTGAGTTCAATGCACACATCCCAAAGCAGTTTCTGAGAATGATTCCGTCTATTTTTTCTACGAAGATATTTACTTTTCTACCGTTGGCCTCAAAGCGCTTGAAATCTCCACTTGCAAATTCCACAAAAAGAGAGTTTCAAATCTGCTCTGTCTAAAGGAAGGTTCAACTCTGTGAGTTGAATACACACCACAAAAAGAAGTTACTGAGAATTCTTCTGTCTAGCATTATATGAAAAATCCCGTTTCCAACGAAGGCCACAAAGAGGTCCAAATATCCACTTGCAGATTCTGCAAAAAGAGTGTTTCCAAACTGCTCTATGAAAAGAAACGTTAAACTCTGTGAGTTGAACGCAAACATCACAAAGTAGTTTCTGAGAATGACTCCGTCTAGTTTTTATACGAAGATATTTCCTTTCCTACCATTCACTTCAAAGCGCTTGAAGTCTCCCCCTGAAAATTCCACAAAAAGTGTTTCCAATCTGCTCCGCCTAAAGGAAGCTTCAACTCTGTGACTTGAATACCCACAACCCAAAGAAGTTACTGAGAATTCTTCTGTCTCGCATTATATGAAGAAATCCCGTTTCCAACGAAGGCCTCAAATACATCCAAATATCCAGTTGCTGACTTTACAAACTGAGTGTTTCCAAACTGCTCTATGAAAAGAAAGGTTAAACACTGTGAGTTGAACACACACGTACCAAAGTAGTTTCTGAGAATGATTCTGTCTAGTTTGCATACGAAGATATTTCCTTTTCTACCACTGGCCTCAAAGCTTTGAAATCTCCACTTGCAAATTCCACAAAAAGAGAGTTTCAAATCTGCTGTTTCTAAAGGAAAGTTCAACTCTGAGAGTTGAATACACACCAGAAAAAGCAGTTACTGAGAAGTCTTCTGTCTAGCATTATATGAAGAAATCCCATTTCCAAAGAAGACTTCAAAGAGGTCCAAATATCCACTTGCACATTCTGCAAAAAGAGTGTTTCGAAACAACTGTATGAAAAGAAAGGTTAAACGCTGTGAGTTGAAGGCACACATTGCAAAGCAGTTTCTGAGAATGATTCCGTCTACTTATTATACGAAGCTTTTTCCTTTTCTATCATGGGCCTCAAAGCGCTTGATACCTCCACCTGAAAATTCCACAAAAAGAGTGTTTCCAATCTACTCTGTCTAAAGGAACGTTCAACTCTGTGAGTTGAATACACACACACAGAAAGAATTCACTGAGAGTTCTTCTGTCTGGCATTACATGAAGAAATCCCGTTTCCAACGAAGGCCTCAAAGAGGTCCAAATATCCACTTGCAGATTCTGCAAAAAGAGTGTTTCAAAACCGCTCTATTAAAAGGAATGTTGAACTCTGTGAGTTGAATGCAAACATCACAACTCAGTTTCTGAGAATGCTTCTGACTAGATTTTATGGTAAGATATTTCCTTTTCTACCGTAGGCTTCAATGCCCTCTAAATACACCCTTGCAAATTCTACAAAGAGACTGTTTAATAACTGCTCTATAGGAAGAAAGGTTGAACTCTGTGAGTTGAATGCAGAGATCACAACGTGGTTTCGGCGAATGATTCTTTGTAGTTTTTACATGAAGATATTTCGTTGTCTACCGTAGGCTTCAAAGCACTCAAAGTATTCACTTGGAACTTTTACAAAAAGAGTGTTAGAAAACTGCTCTTTCCAAAGTAAGGTTCAACTCTGTGAGTTGAATGCACACATAACAAACAAGAAGTTTCTGAGAATCCTTCTGTCCTGGTTTATATGAAAAAATCCCGTTTCCAACGAAGGCCTCAAAGACGTTTAAATATCCACCTGCAGACTTCACAAACAGAGTGTTTCCAAACTGCTCTATGAAAAGAAAGGTTAAACTCTGTGAGTTGAACGCACACATCACAAAGTAGTTTCTGAGAATGATACTGTCTAGTTTTTATACGGAGATATTTCCTTTCCTTCCATTGGCGTCAAAGCGCTAGAATTCTCCACTTGCAAATTCCACAAAAAGAGTGTTTCCAATCTGCTCTGTCTAAAGGAAGGTTCAACTCTGTGAGTTGAATACACACACACAAAGAAGCTACTGAGAATTCTTTTGTCAAGAATTATAAGAAGAAATCCCGTTTCCAACGAAGGCCTCAAAGAGTTCCAAATATCCACTTGCACACTGTACAAACTAAGTCTTTCCAAACTGCTCTATGCAAAGAAATGTTCAACTCTGTGAGTTTAATGCACACATCACAAAGCAGTTTCTGAGAATGATTCCGTCTAGTTTTTATACGAAGTTAGCCTTTTCTACCATTGGCCTCAAGGCTCTTGAAATCTCCACCTGAAAATTCCGCAAAAAGCGTGTTTCCAATCCGCTCTGTCTAAAGGAAGGTTCAACTCTCTGAGTTGAATACATACATCCCAAAAGAAGTTACTGCGAATTCTTCTGTCTAGCATTATGTGAAGAAATCCCGTTTCCAACGAAAGCCTCCAAGAGGTCCAAATATCCAGTTGCAGAATTTACAAACTGACTGTTTCCAAACTCATCTATGAAAAGAAAGGTTAAACTCTGTGAGTTGAATGCACATATCACAAAGTAGTTCCTGAGAATGATTCTGTCTAGTTTTTATACGAAGATATTTCCTTTTCCACCAATGGCCTCAAAGTGCTTGAAATCTCCCCTTGCAAATTCCACAGAAAAGTGTTTCAAATCTGCACTGTCTGAAGGAAGGTTCAACCCTGTGAGTTGAATACACACACACAGAAAAAAATTCACTGAGAATTCATTGTCTATCATTACACGAAGAAATCCCGTTTACTACGAAGGCCTCAAAGAGGTCCAAATATCCAGCTGCAGACATTAAAAACTGAGTGTTTCCAAAGTGCTCTATGAAAAGAAGTGTTAAACACTGTGAGTTCAATGCACACATCCCAAAGCAGTTTCTGAGAATGATTCCGTCTAATTATTATACGAAGGTATTTCCTTTTCTATCATTGGCCTCAAAGCGCTTGATACCTCCACCTGAAAATTCCACAAAAAGAGTGTTTCCAATCTACTCTGTCTAAAGGAACGTTCAACTCTGTGAGTTGAATACACACACACAGAAAGAATTCACTGAGAATTCTTCTGTCTGGCATTACATGAAGAAATCCCGTTTTCAACGAAGGCCTCAAAGAGGTCCAAATATCCACTTGCAGATTCTGCAAAAAGAGTGTTTCAAAACCGCTCCATGAAAAGGAATGTTGAACTCTGTGAGTTGAATGCAAACATCACAACTCAGTTTCTGAGAATGCTTCTGACTAGATTTTATGGTAAGATATTTCCTTTTATACCGTAGGCTTCAATGCCCTCTAAATACACCCTTGCAAATTCTACAAAGAGACTGTTTCATAACTGCTCTATAGGAAGAAAGGTTCAACTCTGTGAGTTGAATGCAGAGATCACAACGTGGTTTCTGCGAATGATTCTTTGTAGTTTTTACATGAAGATATTTCGTTGTCAACCGTAGGCTTCAAAGCACTCAAAGTATTCACTTGGAACTTTTACAAAAAGAGTGTTAGAAAACTGCTCTTTCCAAAGTAAGGTTCAACTCTGTGAGTTGAATGCACACATAACAATCAAGAAGTTTCTGAGAATTCTTCTGTCCTGGTTTATATGAAGAAATCCCGTTTCCAACGAAGGCCTCAAAGACGTTTAAATATCCACTTGCAGACTTCACAAACAGAGGGTTTCCAAACTGCTCTATGAAAAGAAAGGTTAAACTCTGTGAGTTGAACGCACACATCACAAAGTAGCTTCTGAGAATGATTACTGTCTAGTTTTTATACGAAGCATATTTCCTTTCTACCATTGGCGTCAAAGCGCTAGAATTCTCCACTTGCAAATTCCACAAAAAGAGTGTTTCCAATCTGCTCTGTCTAAAGGAAGGTTCAACTCTGTGAGTTGAATACACACACACAAAGAAGCTACTGAGAATTCTTTTGTCAAGAATTATAAGAAGAAATCCCGTTTCCAACGAAGGCCTCAAAGAGTTCCAAATATCCACTTGCACACTGTACAAACTAAGTCTTTCCAAACTGCTCTATGCAAAGAAATGTTCAACTCTGTGAGTTTAATGCACACATCACAAAGCAGTTTCTGAGAATGATTCCGTCTAGTTTTTATACGAAGTTAGCCTTTTCTACCATTGGCCTCAAGGCTCTTGAAATCTCCACCTGAAAATTCCGCAAAAAGCGTGTTTCCAATCCGCTCTGTCTAAAGGAAGGTTCAACTCTCTGAGTTGAATACATACATCCCAAAAGAAGTTACTGCGAATTCTTCTGTCTAGCATTATGTGAAGAAATCCCGTTTCCAACGAAAGCCTCAAAGAGGTCCAAATATCCAGTTGCAGAATTTACAAACTGACTGTTTCCAAACTCATCTATGAAAAGGAAGGTTAAACTCTGTGAGTTGAATGCACATATCACAAAGTAGTTCCTGAGAATGATTCTGTATAGTTTTCATACGAAGATATTTCCTTTTCCACCAATGGCCTCAAAGTGCTTGAAATCTCCCCTTGCAAATTCCACAGACAAGTGTTTCAAATCTGCACTGTCTAAAGGATGGTTCAACCCTGTGAGTTGAATACACACACACAGAAAAAAATTCACTGAGAATTCTATTGTCTATCATTACACGAAGAAATCCCGTTTACTACGAAGGCCTCAAAGAGGTCCAAATATCCAGCTGCAGACATTTCAAACTGAGTGTTTCCAAAGTGCTCTATGAAAAGAAGTGTTAAACACTGTGAGTTCAATGCACACATCCCAAAGCAGTTTCTGAGAATGATTCCGTCTATTTTTTCTACGAAGTATATTTCCTTTTCTGCCGTTGGCCTCAAAGCGCTTGAAATCTCCACTTGCAAATTCCACAAAAAGAGAGGTTCAAATCTGCTCTGTCTAAAGGAAGGTTCAACTCTGTGAGTTGAATACACACCACAAAAAGAAGTTACTGAGAATTCTTCTGTCTAGCATTATATGAAAAATCCCGTTTCCAACGAAGGCCACAAAGAGGTCCAAATATCCACTTGCAGATTCTGCAAAAAGAGTGTTTCCAAACTGCTCTATGAAAAGAAACGTTAAACTCTGTGAGTTGAACGCAAACATCACAAAGTAGTTTCTGAGAATGACTCCGTCTAGTTTTTATACGAAGATATTTCCTTTCCTACCATTCACTTCAAAGCGCTTGAAGTCTCCCCCTGAAAATTCCACAAAAAGTGTTTCCAATCTGCTCCGCCTAAAGGAAGCTTCAACTCTGTGACTTGAATACCCACAACCCAAAGAAGTTACTGAGAATTCTTCTGTCTAGCACTATATGAAGAAATCCCGTTTCCAACGAAGGCCTCAAATACATCCAAATATCCAGTTGCTGACTTTACAAACTGAGTGTTTCCAAACTGCTCTATGAAAAGAAAGGTTAAACACTGTGAGTTGAACACACACGTACCAAAGTAGTTTCTGAGAATGATTCTGTCTAGTTTGCATACGAAGATATTTCCTTTTCTACCATTGGCCTCAAAGCTCTGAAATCTCCACTTGCAAATTCCACAAAAAGAGAGTTTCAAATCTGCTGTTTCTAAAGGAAAGTTCAACTCTGAGAGTTGAATACACACCAGAAAAAGCAGTTACTGAGAAGTCTTCTGTCTAGCATTATATGAAGAAATCCCATTTCCAACGAAGACTTCAAAGAGGTCCAAATATCCACTTGCAGATTCTGCAAAAAGAGTGTTTCGAAACAACTCTATGAAAAGAAAGGTTAAACACTGTGAGTTGAACGCACACATTGCAAAGCAGTTTCTGAGAATGATTCCGTCTAATTATTATACGAAGGTATTTCCTTTTCTATCATTGGCCTCAAAGCGCTTGATACCTCCACCTGAAAATTCCACAAAAAGAGTGTTTCCAATCTACTCTGTCTAAAGGAACGTTCAACTCTGTGAGTTGAATACACACACACTAAAAGAATTCACTGAGAATTCTTCTGTCTGGCATTACATGAAGAAATCCCGTTTCCAACGAAGGCCTCAAAGAGGTCCAAATATCCACTTGCAGATTCTGCAAAAAGAGTGTTTCAAAACCGCTCCATTAAAAGGAATGTTGAACTCTGTGAGTTGAATGCAAACATCACAACTCAGTTTCTGAGAATGCTTCTGACTAGATTTTATGGTAAGATATTTCCTTTTCTACCGTAGGCTTCAATGCCCTCTAAATACACCCTTGCAAATTCTACAAAGAGACTGTTTCATAACTGCTCTATAGGAAGAAAGGTTCAACTCTGTGAGTTGAATGCAGAGATCACAACGTGGTTTCTGCGAATGATTCTTTGTAGTTTTTACATGAAAATATTTCGTTGTCAACCGTAGGCTTCAAAGCACTCAAAGTATTCACTTGGAACTTTTACAAAAAGAGTATTAGAAAACTGCTCTTTCCAAAGTAAGGTTCAACTCTGTGAGTTGAATGCACACATAACAATCAAGACGTTTCTGAGAATTCTTCTGTCCTGGTTTATATGAAAAAATCCCGTTTCCAACGAAGGCCTCAAAGACGTTTAAATATCCACTTGCAGACTTCACAAACAGAGGGTTTCCAAACTGCTCTATGAAAAGAAAGGTTAAACTCTGTGAGTTGAACGCACACATCACAAAGTAGCTTCTGAGAATGATACTGTCTAGTTTTTATACGAAGATATTTCCTTTCTACCATTGGCGTCAAAGCGCTAGAATTCTCCACTTGCAAATTCCACAAAAAGAGTGTTTCCAATCTGCTCTGTCTAAAGGAAGGTTCAACTCTGTGAGTTGAATACACACACACAAAGAAGCTACTGAGAATTCTTTTGTCAAGAATTATAAGAAGAAATCCCGTTTCCAACGAAGGCCTCAAAGAGTTCCAAATATCCACTTGCACACTGCACAAACTAAGTCTTTCCAAACTGCTCTATGCAAAGAAATGTTCAACTCTGTGAGTTTAATACACACATCACAAAGCAGTTTCTGAGAATGATACTGTCTAGTTTTTATACGAAGATATTTCCTTTTGTACCATTGGCCTCATACTGCTAGAATTTTCCACTTGCAAATTCCACAAAAAGAGTGTTTCCAATCCGCTCTGTCTAAAGGAAGGTTCAACTCTCTGATTTGAATACATACATCCCAAAAGAAGTTACTGAGAATTCTTCTGTCTAGCATTATGTGAAGAAATCCCGTTTCCAACGAAAGCCTCAAAGAGGTCCAAATATCCAGTTGCAGAATTTACAAACTGACTGTTTCCAAACTCATCTATGAAAAGAAAGGTTAAACACTGTGAGTTGAATGCACATATCACAAAGTAGTTCCTGAGAATGATTCTGTCTAGTTTTCATACGAAGATATTTCCTTTTCCACCAATGGCCTCAAAGTGCTTGAAATCTCCCCTTGCAAATTCCACAGACAAGTGTTTCAAATCTGCACTGTCTAAAGGAAGGTTCAACCCTGTGAGTTGAATACACACACACAGAAAAAAATTCACTGAGAATTCTATTGTCTATCATTACACGAAGAAATCCCGTTTACTACGAAGGCCTCAAAGAGGTCCAAATATCCAGCTGCAGACATTACAAACTGAGTGTTTCCAAAGTGCTCTATGAAAAGAAGTGTTAAACACTGTGAGTTCAATGCACACATCCCAAAGCAGTTTCTGAGAATGATTCCGTCTATTTTTTCTACGAAGATATTTCCTTTTCTGCCGTTGGCCTCAAAGCGCTTGAAATCTCCACTTGCAAATTCCACAAAAAGAGAGTTTCAAATCTGCTCTGTCTAAAGGAAGGTTCAACTCTGTGAGTTGAATACACACCACAAAAAGAAGTTACTGAGAATTCTTCTGTCTAGCATTATATGAAAAATCCCGTTTCCAACGAAGGCCACAAAGAGGTCCAAATATCCACTTGCAGATTCTGCAAAAAGAGTGTTTCCAAACTGCTCTATGAAAAGAAACGTTAAACTCTGTGAGTTGAACGCAAACATCACAAAGTAGTTTCTGAGAATGACTCCGTCTAGTTTTTATACGAAGATATTTCCTTTCCTACCATTCACTTCAAAGCGCTTGAAGTCTCCCCCTGAAAATTCCACAAAAAGTGTTTCCAATCTGCTCCGCCTAAAGGAAGCTTCAACTCTGTGACTTGAATACCCACAACCCAAAGAAGTTACTGAGAATTCTTCTGTCTAGCATTATATGAAGAAATCCCGTTTCCAACGAAGGCCTCAAATACATCCAAATATCCAGTTGCTGACTTTACAAACTGAGTGTTTCCAAACTGCTCTATGAAAAGAAAGGTTAAACACTGTGAGTTGAACACACACGTACCAAAGTAGTTTCTGAGAATGATTCTGTCTAGTTTGCATACGAAGATATTTCCTTTTCTACCATTGGCCTCAAAGCTCTGAAATCTCCACTTGCAAATTCCACAAAAAGAGAGTTTCAAATCTGCTGTTTCTAAAGGAAAGTTCAACTCTGAGAGTTGAATACACACCAGAAAAAAGCAGTTACTGAGAAGTCTTCTGTCTAGCATTATATGAAGAAATCCCATTTCCAACGAAGACTTCAAAGAGGTCCAAATATCCACTTGCAGATTCTGCAAAAAGAGTGTTTCGAAACAACTGTATGAAAAGAAAGGTTAAACACTGTGAGTTGAACGCACACATTGCAAAGCGGTTTCTGAGAATGATTCTGTCTAATTATTATACGAAGGTATTTCCTTTTCTATCATTGGCCTCAAAGCGCTTGATACCTCCACCTGAAAATTCCACAAAAAGAGTGTTTCCAATCTACTCTGTCTAAAGGAACGTTCAACTCTGTGAGTTGAATACACACACACAGAAAGAATTCACTGAGAATTCTTCTGTCTGGCATTACATGAAGAAATCCCGTTTCCAACGAAGGCCTCAAAGAGGTCCAAATATCCACTTGCAGATTCTGCAAAAAGAGTGTTTCAAAACCGCTCCATTAAAAGGAATGTTGAACTCTGTGAGTTGAATGCAAACATCACAACTCAGTTTCTGAGAATGCTTCTGACTAGATTTTATGGTAAGATATTTCCTTTTCTACCGTAGGCTTCAATGCCCTCTAAATACACCCTTGCAAATTCTACAAAGAGACTGTTTCATAACTGCTCTATAGGAAGAAAGGTTCAACACTGTGAGTTGAATGCAGAGATCACAACGTGGTTTCTGCGAATGATTCTTTGTAGTTTTTACATGAAGATATTTCGTTGTCAACCGTAGGCTTCAAAGCACTCAAAGTATTCACTTGGAACTTTTACAAAAAGAGTGTTAGAAAACTGCTCTTTCCAAAGTAAGGTTCAACTCTGTGAGTTGAATGCACACATAACAATCAAGAAGTTTCTGAGAATTCTTCTGTCCTGGTTTATATGAAAAAATCCCGTTTCCAACGAAGGCCTCAAAGACGTTTAAATATCCACTTGCAGACTTCACAAACAGAGTGTTTCCAAACTGCTCTATGAAAAGAAAGGTTAAACTCTGTGAGTTGAACGCACACATCACAAAGTAGCTTCTGAGAATGATACTGTCTAGTTTTTATACGAAGATATTTCCTTTCTACCATTGGCGTCAAAGCGCTAGAATTCTCCACTTGCAAATTCCACAAAAAGAGTGTTTCCAATCTGCTCTGTCTAAAGGAAGGTTCAACTCTGTGAGTTGAATACACATACACAAAGAAGCAACTGAGAATTCTTTTGTCAAGAATTATAAGAAGAAATCCCGTTTCCAACGAAGGCCTCAAAGAGTTCCAAATATCCACTTGCACACTGCACAAACTAAGTCTTTCCAAACTGCTCTATGCAAAGAAATGTTCAACTCTGTGAGTTTAATACACACATCACAAAGCAGTTTCTGAGAACGATACTGTCTAGTTTTTATACGAAGATATTTCCTTTTGTACCATTGGCCTCATACTGCTAGAATTTTCCACTTGCAAATTCCACAAAAAGAGTGTTTCCAATCCGCTCTGTCTAAAGGAAGGTTCAACTCTCTGATTTGAATACATACATCCCAAAAGAAGTTACTGAGAATTCTTCTGTCTAGCATTATGTGAAGAAATCCCGTTTCCAACGAAAGCCTCAAAGAGGTCCAAATATCCAGTTGCAGAATTTACAAACTGACTGTTTCCAAACTCATCTATGAAAAGAAAGGTTAAACTCTGGGAGTTGAATGCCCATATCACAAAGTAGTTCCTGAGAATGATCTGTCTAGTTTTTATACGAAGATATTTCCTTTTCCACCAATGGCCTCAAAGTGCTTGAAATCTCCCCTTGCAAATTCCACAGACAAGTGTTTCAAATCTGCACTGTCTAAAGGAAGGTTCAACCCTGTGAGTTGAATACACACACACAGAAAAAAATTCACTGAGAATTCTATTGTCTATCATTACACGAAGAAATCCCGTTTACTACGAAGGCCTCAAAGAGGTCCAAATATCCAGCTGCAGACATTTCAAACTGAGTGTTTCCAAAGTGCTCTATGAAAAGAAGTGTTAAACACTGTGAGTTCAATGCACACATCCCAAAGCAGTTTCTGAGAATGATTCCGTCTATTTTTTCTACGAAGATATTTCCTTTTCTGCCGTTGGCCTCAAAGCGCTTGAAATCTCCACTTGCAAATTCCACAAAAAGAGAGTTTCAAATCTGCTCTGTCTAAAGGAAGGTTCAACTCTGTGAGTTGAATACACACCACAAAAAGAAGTTACTGAGAATTCTTCTGTCTAGCATTATATGAAAAATCCCGTTTCCAACGAAGGCCACAAAGGAGGTCCAAATATCCACTTGCAGATTCTGCAAAAAGAGTGTTTCCAAACTGCTCTATGAAAAGAAACGTTAAACTCTGTGAGTTGAACGCAAACATCACAAAGTAGTTTCTGAGAATGACTCCGTCTAGTTTTTATACGAAGATATTTCCTTTCCTACCATTCACTTCAAAGCGCTTGAAGTCTCCCCCTGAAAATTCCACAAAAAGTGTTTCCAATCTGCTCCGCCTAAAGGAAGCTTCAACTCTGTGAGTTGAATACCCACAACCCAAAGAAGTTACTGAGAATTCTTCTGTCTAGCATTATATGAAGAAATCCCGTTTCCAACGAAGGCCTCAAATACATCCAAATATCCAGTTGCTGACTTTACAAACTGAGTGTTTCCAAACTGCTCTATGAAAAGAAAGGTTAAACACTGTGAGTTGAACACACACGTACCAAAGTAGTTTCTGAGAATGATTCTGTCTAGTTTGCATACGAAGATATTTCCTTTTCTACCAGTGGCCTCAAAGCTCTGAAATCTCCACTTGCAAATTCCACAAAAAGAGAGTTTCAAATCTGCTGTTTCTAAAGGAAAGTTCAACTCGGAGAGTTGAATACACACCAGAAAAAGCAGTTACTGAGAAGTCTTCTGTCTAGCATTATATGAAGAAATCCCATTTCCAACGAAGACTTCAAAGAGGTCCAAATATCCACTTGCAGATTCTGCAAAAAGAGTGTTTCGAAACAACTGTATGAAAAGAAAGGTTAAACACTGTGAGTTGAACGCACACATTGCAAAGCAGTTTCTGAGAATGATTCCGTCTAATTATTATACGAAGGTATTTCCTTTTCTATCATTGGCCTCAAAGCGCTTGATACCTCCACCTGAAAATTCCACAAAAAGAGTGTTTCCAATCTACTCTGTCTAAAGGAACGTTCAACTCTGTGAGTTGAATACACACACACAGAAAGAATTCACTGAGAATTCTTCTGTCTGGCATTACATGAAGAAATCCCGTTTCCAACGAAGGCCTCAAAGAGGTCCAAATATCCACTTGCAGATTCTGCAAAAAGAGTGTTTCAAAACCGCTCCATTAAAAGGAATGTTGAACTCTGTGAGTTGAATGCAAACATCACAACTCAGTTGCTGAGAATGCTTCTGACTAGATTTTATGGTAAGATATTTCCTTTTCTACCGTAGGCTTCAATGCCCTCTAAATACACCCTTGCAAATTCTACAAAGAGACTGTTTCATAACTGCTCTATAGGAAGAAAGGTTGAACTCTGTGAGTTGAATGCAGAGATCACAACGTGGTTTCTGCGAATGATTCTTTGTAGTTTTTACATGAAGATATTTCGTTGTCTACCGTAGGCTTCAAAGCACTCAAAGTATTCACTTGGAACTTTTACAAAAAGAGTGTTAGAAAACTGCTCTTTCCAAAGTAAGGTTCAACTCTGTGAGTTGAATGCACCCATAACAATCAAGAAGTTTGTGAGAATTCTTCTGTCCTGGTTTATATGAAAAAATCCCGTTTCCAACGAAGGCCTCAAAGACGTTTAAATATCCACTTGCAGACTTCACGAACAGAGGGTTTCCAAACTGCTCTATGAAAAGAAAGGTTAAACTCTGTGAGTTGAACGCACACATCACAAAGTAGCTTCTGAGAATGATACTGTTTAGTTTTTATACGAAGATATTTCCTTTCTACCATTGGCGTCAAAGCGCTAGAATTCTCCACTTGCAAATTCCACAAAAAGAGTGTTTCCAATCTGCTCTGTCTAAAGGAAGGTTCAACTCTGTGAGTTGAATACACACACACAAAGAAGCTACTGAGAATTCTTTTGTCAAGAATTATAAGAAGAAATCCCGTTTCCAACGAAGGCCTCAAAGAGTTCCAAATATCCACTTGCACACTGCACAAACTAAGTCTTTCCAAACTGCTCTATGCAAAGAAATGTTCAACTCTGTGAGTTTAATACACACATCACAAAGCAGTTTCTGAGAATGATACTGTCTAGTTTTTATACGAAGATATTTCCTTTTGTACCATTGGCCTCATACTGCTAGAATTTTCCACTTGCAAATTCCACAAAAAGAGTGTTTCCAATCCGCTCTGTCTAAAGGAAGGTTCAACTCTCTGATTTGAATACATACATCCCAAAAGAAGTTACTGAGAATTCTTCTGTCTAGCATTATGTGAAGAAATCCCGTTTCCAACGAAAGCCTCAAAGAGGTCCAAATATCCAGTTGCAGAATTTACAAACTGACTGTTTCCAAACTCATCTATGAAAAGAAAGGTTAAACTCTGTGAGTTGAATGCACATATCACAAAGTAGTTCCTGAGAATGATTCTGTCTAGTTTTCATACGAAGATATTTCCTTTTCCACCAATGGCCTCAAAGTGCTTGAAATCTCCCCTTGCAAATTCCACAGACAAGTGTTTCAAATCTGCACTGTCTAAAGGAAGGTTCAACCCTGTGAGTTGAATACACACACACAGAAAAAAATTCACTGAGAATTCTATTGTCTATCATGACACGAAGAAATCCCGTTTACTACGAAAGCCTCAAAGAGGTCCAAATATCCAGCTGCAGACATTACAAACTGAGTGTTTCCAAAGTGCTCTATGAAAAGAAGTGTTAAACACTGTGAGTTCAATGCACACATCCCAAAGCAGTTTCTGAGAATGATTCCGTCTATTTTTTCTACGAAGATATTTCCTTTTCTGCCGTTGGCCTCAAAGCGCTTGAAATCTCCACTTGCAAATTCCACAAAAAGAAAGTTTCAAATCTGCTCTGTCTAAAGGAAGGTTCAACTCTGTGAGTTGAATACACACCACAAAAAGAAGTTACTGAGAATTCTTCTGTCTAGCATTATATGAAAAATCCCGTTTCCAACGAAGGCCACAAAGAGGTCCAAATATCCACTTGCAGATTCTGCAAAAAGAGTGTTTCCAAACTGCTCTATGAAAAGAAACGTTAAACTCTGTGAGTTGAACGCAAACATCACAAAGTAGTTTCTGAGAATGACTCCGTCTAGTTTTTATACGAAGATATTTCCTTTCCTACCATTCACTTCAAAGCGCTTGAAGTCTCCCCCTGAAAATTCCACAAAAAGTGTTTCCAATCTGCTCCGCCTAAAGGAAGCTTCAACTCTGTGAGTTGAATACCCACAACCCAAAGAAGTTACTGAGAATTCTTCTGTCTAGCATTATATGAAGAAATCCCGTTTCCAACGAAGGCCTCAAATACATCCAAATATCCAGTTGCTGACTTTACAAACTGAGTGTTTCCAAACTGCTCTATGAAAAGAAAGGTTAAACACTGTGAGTTGAACACACACGTACCAAAGTAGTTTCTGAGAATGATTCTGTCTAGTTTGCATACGAAGATATTTCCTTTTCTACCATTGGCCTCAAAGCTCTGAAATCTCCACTTGCAAATTCCACAAAAAGAGAGTTTCAAATCTGCTGTTTCTAAAGGAAAGTTCAACTCTGAGAGTTGAATACACACCAGAAAAAGCAGTTACTGAGAAGTCTTCTGTCTAGCATTATATGAAGAAATCCCATTTCCAACGAAGACTTCAAAGAGGTCCAAATATCCACTTGCAGATTCTGCAAAAAGAGTGTTTCGAAACAACTGTATGAAAAGAAAGGTTAAACACTGTGAGTTGAACGCACACATTGCAAAGCGGTTTCTGAGAATGATTCCGTCTAATTATTATACGAAGGTATTTCCTTTTCTATCATTGGCCTCAAAGCGCTTGATACCTCCACCTGAAAATTCCACAAAAAGAGTGTTTCCAATCTACTCTGTCTAAAGGAACGTTCAACTCTGTGAGTTGAATACACACACACAGAAAGAATTCACTGAGAATTCTTCTGTCTGGCATTACATGAAGAAATCCCGTTTCCAACGAAGGCCTCAAAGAGGTCCAAATATCCACTTGCAGATTCTGCAAAAAGAGTGTTTCAAAACCGCTCCATTAAAAGGAATGTTGAACTCTGTGAGTTGAATGCAAACATCACAACTCAGTTTCTGAGAATGCTTCTGACTAGATTTTATGGTAAGATATTTCCTTTTCTACCGTAGGCTTCAATGCCCTCTAAATACACCCTTGCAAATTCTACAAAGAGACTGTTTCATAACTGCTCTATAGGAAGAAAGGTTCAACACTGTGAGTTGAATGCAGAGATCACAACGTGGTTTCTGCGAATGATTCTTTGTAGTTTTTACATGAAGATATTTCGTTGTCAACCGTAGGCTTCAAAGCACTCAAAGTATTCACTTGGAACTTTTACAAAAAGAGTGTTAGAAAACTGCTCTTTCCAAAGTAAGGTTCAACTCTGTGAGTTGAATGCACACATAACAATCAAGAAGTTTCTGAGAATTCTTCTGTCCTGGTTTATATGAAAAAATCCCGTTTCCAACGAAGGCCTCAGAGACGTTTAAATATCCACTTGCAGACTTCACAAACAGAGTGTTTCCAAACTGCTCTATGAAAAGAAAGGTTAAACTCTGTGAGTTGAACGCACACATCACAAAGTTGTTTCTGAGAAAGATCTGTCTAGTTTTTATACGAAGATATTTCCTTTTGTACCATTGGCCTCATACTGCTAGAATTTTCCACTTGCAAATTCCACAAAAAGAATATTTCCAATCTGCTCTGTCTAAAGGAAGGTTCAACTCTGTGAGTTGAGTACACACACACAAAGAAGCTACTGAGAATCTTTTTTGTCAAGAATTATAAGAAGAAATCCCGTTTCCAACGAAGGCCTCAAAGAGTTCCAAATATCCACTTGCACACTGTACAAACTAAGTCTTTCCAAACTGCTCTATGCAAAGAAATGTTCAACCCTGTGAGTTTAATGCACACATCACAAAGCAGTTTCTGAGAATGATTCCCTCTAGTTTTTATACGAAGATAGCCTTTTGTACCATTGGCCTCAAGGCTCTTGGAATCTCCACCTGAAAATTCCGCAAAAAGCGTGTTTCCAATGCGCTCTGTCTAAAGGAAGGTTCAACTCTCTGAGTTGAATACATACATCCCAAAGGAAGTTACTGCGAATTCTTCTGTCTAGCATTATGTGAAGAAATCCCATTTCCAACGAAAGCCTCAAAGAGGTCCAAATATCCAGTTGCAGAATTTACAAACTGACTGTTTCCAAACTCATCTATGAAAAGAAAGGTTAAACCCTGTGAGTTGAATGCACATATCACAAAGTAGTTCCTGAGAATGATTCTGTCTAGTTTTTATACCGAAGATATTTCCTTTTCCACCAATGGCCTCAAAGTGCTTGCAATCTCCCCTTGCAAATTCCACAGACAAGTGTTTCAAATCTGCACTGTCTAAAGGAAGGTTCAACCCTGTGAGTTGAATACACACACACAGAAACAAATTCACTGAGAATTCTATTGTCTATCATTACACGAAGAAATCCCGTTTACTACGAAGGCCTCAAAGAGGTCCAAATATCCAGCTGCAGACATTACAAACTGAGTGTTTCCAAAGTGCTCTATGAAAAGAAGTGTTAAACACTGTGAGTTCAATGCACACATCCCAAAGCAGTTTCTGAGAATGATTCCGTCTATTTTTTCTACGAAGATATTTCCTTTTCTACCGTTGGCCTCAAAGCGCTTGAAATCTCCACTTGCAAATTCCACAAAAAGAGAGTTTCAAATCTGCTCTGTCTAAAGGAAGGTTCAACTCTGTGAGTTGAATACACACCACAAAAAGAAGTTACTGAGAATTCTTCTGTCTAGCATTATATGAAAAATCCCGTTTCCAACGAAGGCCACAAAGAGGTCCAAATATCCACTTGCAGATTCTGCAAAAAGAGTGTTTCCAAACTGCTCTATGAAAAGAAACGTTAAACTCTGTGAGTTGAACGCAAACATCACAAAGTAGTTTCTGAGAATGACTCCGTCTAGTTTTTATACGAAGATATTTCCTTTCCTACCATTCACTTCAAAGCGCTTGAAGTCTCCCCCTGAAAATTCCACAAAAAGTGTTTCCAATCTGCTCCGCCTAAAGGAAGCTTCAACTCTGTGAGTTGAATACCCACAACCCAAAGAAGTTACTGAGAATTCTTCTGTCTAGCATTATATGAAGAAATCCCGTTTCCAACGAAGGCCTCAAATACATCCAAATATCCAGTTGCTGACTTTACAAACTGAGTGTTTCCAAACTGCTCTATGAAAAGAAAGGTTAAACACTGTGAGTTGAACACACACGTACCAAAGTAGTTTCTGAGAATGATTCTGTCTAGTTTGCATACGAAGATGTTTCCTTTTCTACCATTGGCCTCAAAGCTCTGAAATCTCCACTTGCAAATTCCACAAAAAGAGAGTTTCAAATCTGCTGTTTCTAAAGGAAAGTTCAACTCTGAGAGTTGAATACACACCAGAAAAAGCAGTTACTGAGAAGTCTTCTGTCTAGCATTATATGAAGAAATCCCATTTCCAACGAAGACTTCAAAGGAGGTCCAAATATCCACTTGCAGATTCTGCAAAAAGAGTGTTTCGAAACAACTGTATGAAAAGAAAGGTTAAACACTGTGAGTTGAACGCACACATTGCAAAGCAGTTTCTGAGAATGATTCCGTCTAATTATTATACGAAGGGTATTTCCTTTTCTATCATTGGCCTCAAAGCGCTTGATACCTCCACCTGAAAATTCCACAAAAAGAGTGTTTCCAATCTACTCTGTCTAAAGGAACGTTCAACTCCGTGAGTTGAATACACACACACAGAAAGAATTCACTGAGAATTCTTCTGTCTGGCATTA
Source organism: Homo sapiens (assembly GCF_000001405.40). Lineage (NCBI taxonomy): Eukaryota > Metazoa > Chordata > Mammalia > Primates > Hominidae > Homo > Homo sapiens. The sequence goes on along the minus strand of NC_000003.12, from coordinate 92,630,924 downwards.
CATGAAGAAATCCCGTTTCCAACGAAGGCCTCAAAGAGGTCCAAATATCCACTTGCAGATTCTGCAAAAAGAGTGTTTCAAAACCGCTCCATTAAAAGGAATGTTGAACTCTGTGAGTTGAATGCAAACATCACAACTCAGTTGCTGAGAATGCTTCTGACTAGATTTTATGGTAAGATATTTCCTTTTCTACCGTAGGCTTCAATGCCCTCTAAATACACCCTTGCAAATTCTACAAAGAGACTGTTTCATAACTGCTCTATAGGAAGAAAGGTTCAACTCTGTGAGTTGAATGCAGAGATCACAACGTGGTTTCTGCGAATGATTCTTTGTAGTTTTTACATGAAGATATTTCGTTGTCAACCATAGGCTTCAAAGCACTCAAAGTATTCACTTGGAACTTTTACAAAAAGAGTGTTAGAAAACTGCTCTTTCCAAAGTAAGGTTCAACTCTGTGAGTTGAATGCACACATAACAATCAAGAAGTTTCTGAGAATTCTTCTGTCCTGGTTTATATGAAGAAATCCCGTTTCCAACGAAGGCCTCAAAGACGTTTAAATATCCACTTGCAGACTTCACAAACAGAGGGTTTCCAAACTGCTCTATGAAAAAAAAGGTTAAACTCTGTCAGTTGAAGGCACACATCACAAAGTAGCTTCTGAGAATGATACTGTCTAGTTTTTATACGAAGATATTTCCTTTCTACCATTGGCGTCAAAGCGCTAGAATTCTCCACTTGCAAATTCCACAAAAAGAGTGTTTCCAATCTGCTCTGTCTAAAGGAAGGTTCAACTCTGTGAGTTGAATACACACACACAAAGAAGCTACTGAGAATTCTTTTGTCAAGAATTACAAGAAGAAATCCCGTTTCCAACGAAGGCCTCAAAGAGTTCCAAATATCCACTTGCACACTGCACAAACTAAGTCTTTCCAAACTGCTCTATGCAAAGAAATGTTCAACTCTGTGAGTTTAATACGCACATCACAAAGCAGTTTCTGAGAATGATACTGTCCTAGTTTTTATACGAAGATATTTCCTTTTGTACCATTGGCCTCATACTGCTAGAATTTTCCACTTGCAAATTCCACAAAAAGAGTGTTTCCAATCCGCTCTGTCTAAAGGAAGGTTCAACTCTCTGATTTGAATACATACATCCCAAAAGAAGTTCCTGAGAATTCTTCTGTCTAGCATTATGTGAAGAAATCCCGTTTCCAACGAAAGCCTCAAAGAGGTCCAAATATCCAGTTGCAGAATTTACAAACTGACTGTTTCCAAACTCATCTATGAAAAGAAAGGTTAAACTCTGGGAGTTGAATGCACATATCACAAAGTAGTTCCTGAGAATGATTCTGTCTAGTTTTCATACGAAGATATTTCCTTTTCCACCAATGGCCTCAAAGTGCTTGAAATCTCCCCTTGCAAATTCCACAGACAAGTGTTTCAAATCTGCACTGTCTAAAGGAAGGTTCAACCCTGTGAGTTGAATACACACACACAGAAAAAAATTCACTGAGAATTCTATTGTCTATCATTACACGAAGAAATCCCGTTTACTACGAAGGCCTCAAAGAGGTCCAAATATCCAGCTGCAGACATTACAAACTGAGTGTTTCCAAAGTGCTCTATGAAAAGAAGTGTTAAACACTGTGAGTTCAATGCACACATCCCAAAGCAGTTTCTGAGAATGATTCCGTCTATTTTTTCTACGAAGATATTTCCTTTTCTGCCGTTGGCCTCAAAGCGCTTGAAATCTCCACTTGCAAATTCCACAAAAAGAGAGTTTCAAATCTGCTCTGTCTAAAGGAAGGTTCAACTCTGTGAGTTGAATACACACCACAAAAAGAAGTTACTGAGAATTCTTCTGTCTAGCATTATATGAAAAATCCCGTTTCCAACGAAGGCCACAAAGAGGTCCAAATATCCACTTGCAGATTCTGCAAAAAGAGTGTTTCCAAACTGCTCTATGAAAAGAAACGTTAAACTCTGTGAGTTGAACGCAAACATCACAAAGTAGTTTCTGAGAATGACTCCGTCTAGTTTTTATACGAAGATATTTCCTTTCCTACCATTCACTTCAAAGCGCTTGAAGTCTCCCCCTGAAAATTCCACAAAAAGTGTTTCCAATCTGCTCCGCCTAAAGGAAGCTTCAACTCTGTGACTTGAATACCCACAACCCAAAGAAGTTACTGAGAATTCTTCTGTCTAGCATTATATGAAGAAATCCCGTTTCCAACGAAGGCCTCAAATACATCCAAATATCCAGTTGCTGACTTTACAAACTGAGTGTTTCCAAACTGCTCTATGAAAAGAAAGGTTAAACACTGTGAGTTGAACACACACGTACCAAAGTAGTTTCTGAGAATGATTCTGTCTAGTTTGCATACGAAGATATTTCCTTTTCTACCATTGGCCTCAAAGCTCTGAAATCTCCACTTGCAAATTCCACAAAAAGAGAGTTTCAACTCTGCTGTTTCTAAAGGAAAGTTCAACTCTGAGAGTTGAATACACACCAGAAAAAGCAGTTACTGAGAAGTCTTCTGTCTAGCATTATATGAAGAAATCCCATTTCCAACGAAGACTTCAAAGAGGTCCAAATATCCACTTGCAGATTCTGCAAAAAGAGTGTTTCGAAACAACTGTATGAAAAGAAAGGTTAAACACTGTGAGTTGAACGCACACATTGCAAAGCAGTTTCTGAGAATGATTCCGTCTAATTATTATACGAAGGTATTTCCTTTTCTATCATTGGCCTCAAAGCGCTTGATACCTCCACCTGAAAATTCCACAAAAACAGTGTTTCCAATCTACTCTGTCTAAAGGAACGTTCAACTCTGTGAGTTGAATACACACACACAGAAAGAATTCACTGAGAATTCTTCTGTCTGGCATTACATGAAGAAATCCCGTTTCCAACGAAGGCCTCAAAGAGGTCCAAATATCCACTTGCAGATTCTGCAAAAAGAGTGTTTCAAAACCGCTCCATTAAAAGGAATGTTGAACTCTGTGAGTTGAATGCAAACATCACAACTCAGTTGCTGAGAATGCTTCTGACTAGATTTTATGGTAAGATATTTCCTTTTCTACCGTAGGCTTCAATGCCCTCTAAATACACCCTTGCAAATTCTACAAAGAGACTGTTTCATAACTGCTCTATAGGAAGAAAGGTTCAACTCTGTGAGTTGAATGCAGAGATCACAACGTGGTTTCTGCGAATGATTCTTTGTAGTTTTTACATGAAGATATTTCGTTGTCAACCGTAGGCTTCAAAGCACTCAAAGTATTCACTTGGAACTTTTACAAAAAGAGTGTTAGAAAACTGCTTTTTCCAAAGTAAGGTTCAACTCTGTGAGTTGAATGCACACATAACAATCAAGAAGTTTCTGAGAATTCTTCTGTCCTGGTTTATATGAAAAAATCCCGTTTCCAACGAAGGCCTCAAAGACGTTTAAATATCCACTTGCAGACTTCACAAACAGAGGGTTTCCAAACTGCTCTATGAAAAGAAAGGTTAAACTCTGTGAGTTGAACGCACACATCACAAAGTAGCTTCTGAGAATGATACTGTCTAGTTTTTATACGAAGATATTTCCTTTCTACCATTGGCGTCAAAGCGCTAGGAATTCTCCACTTGCAAATTCCACAAAAAGAGTGTTTTCAATCTGCTCTGTCTAAAGGAAGGTTCAACTCTGTGAGTTGAATACACACACACAAAGAAGCTACTGAGAATTCTTTTGTCAAGAATTATAAGAAGAAATCCCGTTTCCAACCAAGGCCTCAAAGAGTTCCAAATATCCACTTGCACACTGCACAAACTAAGTCTTTCCATACTGCTCTATGCAAAGAGATGTTCAAATCTGTGAGTTTAATACACACATCACAAAGCAGTTTCTGAGAATGATACTGTCTAGTTTTTATACGAAGATATTTCCTTTTGTACCATTGGCCTCATACTGCTAGAATTTTCCACTTGCAAATTCCACAAAAAGAGTGTTTCCAATCCGCTCTGTCTAAAGGAAGGTTCAACTCTCTGATTTGAATACATACATCCCAAAAGAAGTTACTGAGAATTCTTCTGTCTAGCATTATGTGAAGAAATCCCGTTTCCAACGAAAGCCTCAAAGAGGCCCAAATATCCAGTTGCAGCATTTACAAACTGACTGTTTCCAAACTCATCTATGAAAAGAAAGGTTAAACTCTGTGAGTTGAATGCACATATCACAAAGTAGTTCCTGAGAATGATTCTGTCTAGTTTTCATACGAAGCATATTTCCTTTTCCACCAATGGCCTCAAAGTGCTTGAAATCTCCCCTTGCAAATTCCACAGACAAGTGTCTCAAATCTGCACTGTCTAAAGGAAGGTTCAACCCTGTGAGTTGAATACACACACACAGAAAAAAATTCACTGAGAATTCTATTGTCTATCATTACACGAAGAAATCCCGTTTACTACGAAGGCCTCAAAGAGGTCCAAATATCCAGCTGCAGACATTACAAACTGAGTGTTTCCAAAGTGCTCTATGAAAAGAAGTGTTAAACACTGTGAGTTCAATGCACACATCCCAAAGCAGTTTCTGAGAATGATTCCGTCTATTTTTTCTACGAAGATATTTCCTTTTCTACCGTTGGCCTCAAAGCGCTTGAAATCTCCACTTGCAAATTCCACAAAAAGAGAGTTTCAAATCTGCTCTGTCTAAAGGAAGGTTCAACTCTGTGAGTTGAATACACACCACAAAAAGAAGTTACTGAGAATTCTTCTGTCTAGCATTATATGAAAAATCCCGTTTCCAACGAAGGCCACAAAGGAGGTCCAAATATCCACTTGCAGATTCTGCAAAAAGAGTGTTTCCAAACTGCTCTATGAAAAGAAACGTTAAACTCTGTGAGTTGAACGCAAACATCACAAAGTAGTTTCTGAGAATGACTCCGTCTAGTTTTTATACGAAGATATTTCCTTTCCTACCATTCACTTCAAAGCGCTTGAAGTCTCCCCCTGAAAATTCCACAAAAAGTGTTTCCAATCTGCTCCGCCTAAAGGAAGCTTCAACTCTGTGACTTGAATACCCACAACCCAAAGAAGTTACTGAGAATTCTTCTGTCTAGCATTATATGAAGAAATCCCGTTTCCAACGAAGGCCTCAAATACATCCAAATATCCAGTTGCTGACTTTACAAACTGAGTGTTTCCAAACTGCTCTATGAAAAGAAAGGTTAAACACTGTGAGTTGAACACACACGTACCAAAGTAGTTTCTGAGAATGATTCTGTCTAGTTTGCATACGAAGATATTTCCTTTTCTACCATTGGCCTCAAAGCTCTGAAATCTCCACTTGCAAATTCCACAAAAAGAGAGTTTCAAATCTGCTGTTTCTAAAGGAAAGTTCAACTCTGAGAGTTGAATACACACCAGAAAAAGCAGTTACTGAGAAGTCTTCTGTCTAGCATTATATGAAGAAATCCCATTTCCAACGAAGACTTCAAAGAGGTCCAAATATCCACTTGCAGATTCTGCAAAAAGAGTGTTTCGAAACAACTGTATGAAAAGAAAGGTTAAACACTGTGAGTTGAACGCACACATTGCAAAGCGGTTTCTGAGAATGATTCCGTCTAATTATTATACGAAGGTATTTCCTTTTCTATCATTGGCCTCAAAGCGCTTGATACCTCCACCTGAAAATTCCACAAAAAGAGTGTTTCCAATCTACTCTGTCTAAAGGAACGTTCAACTCTGTGAGTTGAATACACACACACAGAAAGAATTCACTGAGAATTCTTCTGTCTGGCATTACATGAAGAAATCCCGTTTCCAACGAAGGCCTCAAAGAGGTCCAAATATCCACTTGCAGATTCTGCAAAAAGAGTGTTTCAAAACCGCTCCATTAAAAGGAATGTTGAACTCTGTGAGTTGAATGCAAACATCACAACTCAGTTTCTGAGAATGCTTCTGACTAGATTTTATGGTAAGATATTTCCTTTTCTACCGTAGGCTTCAATGCCCTCTAAATACACCCTTGCAAATTCTACAAAGAGACTGTTTCATAACTGCTCTATAGGAAGAAAGGTTCAACTCTGTGAGTTGAATGCAGAGATCACAACGTGGTTTCTGCGAATGATTCTTTGTAGTTTTTACATGAAGATATTTCGTTGTCAACCGTAGGCTTCAAAGCACTCAAAGTATTCACTTGGAACTTTTACAAAAAGAGTGTTAGAAAACTGCTCTTTCCAAAGTAAGGTTCAACTCTGTGAGTTGAATGCACACATAACAATCAAGAAGTTTCTGAGAATTCTTCTGTCCTGGTTTATATGAAAAAATCCCGTTTCCAACGAAGGCCTCAAAGACGTTTAAATATCCACTTGCAGACTTCACAAACAGAGTGTTTCCAAACTGCTCTATGAAAAGAAAGGTTAAACTCTGTGAGTTGAACGCACACATCACAAAGTAGTTTTTGAGAATGATACTGTCTAGTTTTTATACGAAGATATTTCCTTTCTACCATTGGCGTCAAAGCGCTAGAATTCTCCACTTGCAAATTCCACAAAAAGAGTGTTTCCAATCTGCTCTGTCTAAAGGAAGGTTCAACTCTGTGAGTTGAATACACACACACAAAGAAGCTACTGAGAATTCTGTTGTCAAGAATTATAAGAAGAAATCCCGTTTCCAACGAAGGCCTCAAAGAGTTCCAAATATCCACTTGCACACTGCACAAACTAAGTCTTTCCAAACTGCTCTATGCAAAGAAATGTTCAACTCTGTGAGTTTAATACGCACATCACAAAGCAGTTTCTGAGAATGATACTGTCTAGTTTTTATACGAAGATATTTCCTTTTGTACCATTGGCCTCATACTGCTAGAATTTTCCACTTGCAAATTCCACAAAAAGAGTGTTTCCAATCCGCTCTGTCTAAAGGAAGGTTCAACTCTCTGATTTGAATACATACATCCCAAAAGAAGTTACTGAGAATTCTTCTGTCTAGCATTATGTGAAGAAATCCCGTTTCCAACGAAAGCCTCAAAGAGGTCCAAATATCCAGTTGCAGAATTTACAAACTGACTGTTTCCAAACTCATATATGAAAAGAAAGGTTAAACTCTGTGAGTTGAATGCACATATCACAAAGTAGTTCCTGAGAATGATTCTGTCTAGTTTTTATACGAAGATATTTCCTTTTCCACCAATGGCCTCAAAGTGCTTGAAATCTCCCCTTGCAAATTCCACAGACAAGTGTTTCAAATCTGCACTGTCTAAAGGAAGGTTCAACCCTGTGAGTTGAATACACACACACAGAAAAAAATTCACTGAGAATTCTATTGTCTATCATTACACGAAGAAATCCCGTTTACTACGAAGGCCTCAAAGAGGTCCAAATATCCAGCTGCAGACATTACAAACTGAGTGTTTCCAAAGTGCTCTATGAAAAGAAGTGTTAAACACTGTGAGTTCAATGCACACATCCCAAAGCAGTTTCTGAGAATGATTCCGTCTATTTTTTCTACGAAGATATTTCCTTTTCTGCCGTTGGCCTCAAAGCGCTTGAAATCTCCACTTGCAAATTCCACAAAAAGAGAGTTTCAAATCTGCTCTGTCTAAAGGAAGGTTCAACTCTGTGAGTTGAATACACACCACAAAAAGAAGTTACTGAGAATTCTTCTGTCTAGCATTATATGAAAAATCCCGTTTCCAACGAAGGCCACAAAGAGGTCCAAATATCCACTTGCAGATTCTGCAAAAAGAGTGTTTCCAAACTGCTCTATGAAAAGAAACGTTAAACTCTGTGAGTTGAACGCAAACATCACAAAGTAGTTTCTGAGAATGACTCCGTCTAGTTTTTATACGAAGATATTTCCTTTTCTACCATTCACTTCAAAGCGCTTGAAGTCTCCCCCTGAAAATTCCACAAAAAGTGTTTCCAATCTGCTCCGCCTAAAGGAAGCTTCAACTCTGTGAGTTGAATACCCACAACCCAAAGAAGTTACTGAGAATTCTTCTGTCTAGCATTATATGAAGAAATCCCGTTTCCAACGAAGGCCTCAAATACATCCAAATATCCAGTTGCTGACTTTACAAACTGAGTGTTTCCAAACTGCTCTATGAAAAGAAAGGTTAAACACTGTGAGTTGAACACACACGTACCAAAGTAGTTTCTGAGAATGATTCTGTCTAGTTTGCATACGAAGATATTTCCTTTTCTACCATTGGCCTCAAAGCTTTGAAATCTCCACTTGCAAATTCCACAAAAAGAGAGTTTCAACTCTGCTGTTTCTAAAGGAAAGTTCAACTCTGAGAGTTGAATACACACCAGAAAAAGCAGTTACTGAGAAGTCTTCTGTCTAGCATTATATGAAGAAATCCCATTTCCAACGAAGACTTCAAAGAGGTCCAAATATCCACTTGCAGATTCTGCAAAAAGAGTGTTTCGAAACAAAACTGTATGAAAAGAAAGGTTAAACACTGTGAGTTGAACGCACACATTGCAAAGCAGTTTCTGAGAATGATTCCGTCTAATTATTATACGAAGGTATTTCCTTTTCTATCATTGGCCTCAAAGCGCTTGATACCTCCACCTGAAAATTCCACAAAAAGAGTGTTTCCAATCTACTCTGTCTAAAGGAACGTTCAACTCTGTGAGTTGAATACACACACACAGAAAGAATTCACTGAGAATTCTTCTGTCTGGCATTACATGAAGAAATCCCGTTTCCAACGAAGGCCTCAAAGAGGTCCAAATATCCACTTGCAGATTCTGCAAAAAGAGTGTTTCAAAACCGCTCCATTAAAAGGAATGTTGAACTCTGTGAGTTGAATGCAAACATCACAACTCAGTTTCTGAGAATGCTTCTGACTAGATTTTATGGTAAGATATTGCCTTTTCTACCCTAGGCTTCAAGGCCCTCTAAATACACCCTTGCAAATTCTACAAAGAGACTGTTTAATAACTGCTCTATAGGAAGAAAGGTTCAACTCTGTGAGTTGAATGCAGAGATCACAACGTGGTTTCTGTGAATGATTCTTTGTAGTTTTTACATGAAGATATTTCGTTGTCTACCGTAGGCTTCAAAGCACTCAAAGTATTCACTTGGAACTTTTACAAAAAGAGTGTTAGAAAACTGCTCTTTCCAAAGTAAGGTTCAACTCTGTGAGTTGAATGCACACATAACAAACAAGAAGTTTCTGAGAATTCTTCTGTCCTGGTTTATATGAAGAAATCCCGTTTCCAACGAAGGCCTCAAAGACGTTTAAATATCCACTTGCAGACTTCACAAACAGAGTGTTTCCAAACTGCTCTATGAAAAGAAAGGGTAAACACTGTGAGTTGAACGCACACCTCACAAAGTAGTTTCTGAGAATGATACTGTCTAGTTTTTATACGAAGATATTTCCTTTTGTACCATTGGCCTCATACTGCTAGAATTTTCCACTTGCAAATTCCACAAAAAGAGTGTTTCCAATCTGCTCTGTCTAAAGGAAGGTTCAACTCTGTGAGTTGAGTACACACACACAAAGAAGCTACTGAGAATTCTTTTGTCAAGAATTATAAGAAGAAATCCCGTTTCCAACCAAGGCCTCAAAGAGTTCCAAATATCCACTTGCACACTGCACAAACTAAGTCTTTCCATACTGCTCTATGCAAAGAAATGTTCAACTCTGTGAGTTTAATACACACATCACAAAGCAGTTTCTGAGAATGATACTGTCTAGTTTTTATACGAAGATATTTCCTTTTGTACCATTGGCCTCATACTGCTAGAATTTTCCACTTGCAAATTCCACAAAAAGAGTGTTTCCAATCCGCTCTGTCTAAAGGAAGGTTCAACTCTCTGATTTGAATACATACATCCCAAAAGAAGTTACTGAGAATTCTTCTGTCTAGCATTATGTGAAGAAATCCCGTTTCCAACGAAAGCCTCAAAGAGGCCCAAATATCCAGTTGCAGCATTTACAAACTGACTGTTTCCAAACTCATCTATGAAAAGAAAGGTTAAACTCTGTGAGTTGAATGCACATATCACAAAGTAGTTCCTGAGAATGATTCTGTCTAGTTTTTATACGAAGATATTTCCTTTTCCACCAATGGCCTCAAAGTGCTTGAAATCTCCCCTTGCAAATTCCACAGACAAGTGTCTCAAATCTGCACTGTCTAAAGGAAGGTTCAACCCTGTGAGTTGAATACACACACACAGAAAAAAATTCACTGAGAATTCTATTGTCTATCATTACACGAAGAAATCCCGTTTACTACGAAGGCCTCAAAGAGGTCCAAATATCCAGCTGCAGACATTACAAACTGAGTGTTTCCAAAGTGCTCTATGAAAAGAAGTGTTAAACACTGTGAGTTCAATGCACACATCCCAAAGCAGTTTCTGAGAATGATTCCGTCTATTTTTTCTACGAAGATATTTCCTTTTCTACCGTTGGCCTCAAAGCGCTTGAAATCTCCACTTGCAAATTCCACAAAAAGAGAGTTTCAAATCTGCTCTGTCTAAAGGAAGGTTCAACTCTGTGAGTTGAATACACACCACAAAAAGAAGTTACTGAGAATTCTTCTGTCTAGCATTATATGAAAAATCCCGTTTCCAATGAAGGCCACAAAGAGGTCCAAATATCCACTTGCAGATTCTGCAAACAGAGTGTTTCCAAACTGCTCTATGAAAAGAAACGTTAAACTCTGTGAGTTGAACGCAAACATCACAAAGTAGTTTCTGAGAATGACTCCGTCTAGTTTTTATACGAAGATATTTCCTTTCCTACCATTCACTTCAAAGCGCTTGAAGTCTCCACCTGAAAATTCCACAAAAAGTGTTTCCAATCTGCTCCGCCTAAAGGAAGCTTCAACTCTGTGAGTTGAATACCCACAACCCAAAGAAGTTACTGAGAATTCTTCTGTCTAGCATTATATGAAGAAATCCCGTTTCCAACGAAGGCCTCAAATACATCCAAATATCCAGTTGCTGACTTTACAAACTGAGTGTTTCCAAACTGCTCTATGAAAAGAAAGGTTAAACACTGTGAGTTGAACACACACGTACCAAAGTAGTTTCTGAGAATGATTCTGTCTAGTTTGCATACGAAGATATTTCCTTTTCTACCATTGGCCTCAAAGCTCTGAAATCTCCACTTGCAAATTCCACAAAAAGAGAGTTTCAAATCTGCTGTTTCTAAAGGAAAGTTCAACTCTGAGAGTTGAATACACACCAGAAAAAGCAGTTACTGAGAAGTCTTCTGTCTAGCATTATATGAAGAAATCCCATTTCCAACGAAGACTTCAAAGAGGTCCAAATATCCACTTGCAGATTCTGCAAAAAGAGTGTTTCGAAACAACTGTATGAAAAGAAAGGTTAAACACTGTGAGTTGAACGCACACATTGCAAAGCAGTTTCTGAGAATGATTCCGTCTAATTATTATACGAAGGTATTTCCTTTTCTATCATTGGCCTCAAAGCGCTTGATACCTCCACCTGAAAATTCCACAAAAAGAGTGTTTCCAATCTACTCTGTCTAAAGGAACGTTCAACTCTGTGAGTTGAATACACACACACAGAAAGAATTCACTGAGAATTCTTCTGTCTGGCATTACATGAAGAAATCCCGTTTCCAACGAAGGCCTCAAAGCAGGTCCAAATATCCACTTGCAGATTCTGCAAAAAGAGTGTTTCAAAACCGCTCCATTAAAAGGAATGTTGAACTCTGTGAGTTGAATGGAAACATCACAACTCAGTTGCTGAGAATGCTTCTGACTAGATTTTATGGTAAGATATTTCCTTTTCTACCGTAGGCTTCAATGCCCTGTAAATACACCCTTGCAAATTCTACAAAGAGACTGTTTCATAACTGCTCTATAGGAGGAAAGGTTCAACTCTGTGAGTTGAATGCAGAGATCACAACGTGGTTTCTGCGAATGATTCTTTGTAGTTTTTACATGAAGATATTTCGTTGTCTACCGTAGGCTTCAAAGCACTCAAAGTATTCACTTGGAACTTTTACAAAAAGAGTGTTAGAAAACTGCTCTTTCCAAAGTAAGGTTCAACTCTGTGAGTTGAATGCACACATAACAAACAAGAAGTTTCTGAGAATTCTTCTGTCCTGGTTTATATGAAGAAATCCCGTTTCCAACGAAGGCCTCAAAGACGTTTAAATATCCACTTGCACACTTCACAAACAGAGTGTTTCCAAACTGCTCTATGAAAAGAAAGGGTAAACACTGTGAGTTGAACGCACACATCACAAAGTAGTTTCTGAGAATGATACTGTCTAGTTTTTATACGAAGATATTTCCTTTTGTACCACTGGCCTCATACTGCTAGAATTTTCCACTTGCAAATTCCACAAAAAGAGAGTTTCCAATCTGCTCTGTCTAAAGGAAGGTTCAACTCTGTGAGTTGAGTACACACACACAAAGAAGCTACTGAGAATTCTTTTGTCAAGAATTATAAGAAGAAATCCCGTTTCCAACCAAGGCCTCAAAGAGTTCCAAATATCCACTTGCACACTGCACAAACTAAGTCTTTCCATACTGCTCTATGCAAAGAAATGTTCAACTCTGTGAGTTTAATACACACATCACAAAGCAGTTTCTGAGAATGATACTGTCTAGTTTTTATACGAAGATATTTCCTTTTGTACCATTGGCCTCATACTGCTAGAATTTTCCACTTGCAAATTCCACAAAAAGAGTGTTTCCAATCCGCTCTGTCTAAAGGAAGGTTCAACTCTCTGATTTGAATACATACATCCCAAAAGAAGTTACTGAGAATTCTTCTGTCTAGCATTATGTGAAGAAATCCCGTTTCCAACGAAAGCCTCAAAGAGGCCCAAATATCCAGTTGCAGCATTTACAAACTGACTGTTTCCAAACTCATCTATGAAAAGAAAGGTTAAACTCTGTGAGTTGAATGCACATATCACAAAGTAGTTCCTGAGAATGATTCTGTCTAGTTTTTATACGAAGATATTTCCTTTTCCACCAATGGCCTCAAAGTGCTTGAAATCTCCCCTTGCAAATTCCACAGACAAGTGTCTCAAATCTGCACTGTCTAAAGGAAGGTTCAACCCTGTGAGTTGAATACACACACACAGAAAAAAATTCACTGAGAATTCTATTGTCTATCATTACACGAAGAAATCCCGTTTACTACGAAGGCCTCAAAGAGGTCCAAATATCCAGCTGCAGACATTACAACCTGAGTGTTTCCAAAGTGCTCTATGAAAAGAAGTGTTAAACACTGTGAGTTCAATGCACACATCCCAAAGCAGTTTCTGAGAATGATTCCGTCTATTTTTTCTACGAAGATATTTCCTTTTCTACCGTTGGCCTCAAAGCGCTTGAAATCTCCACTTGCAAATTCCACAAAAAGAGAGTTTCAAATCTGCTCTGTCTAAAGGAAGGTTAAACTCTGTGAGTTGAATACACACCACAAAAAGAAGTTACTGAGAATTCTTCTGTCTAGCATTATATGAAGAAATCCCGTTTCCAACGAAGGCCTCAAAAACATCCAAATATCCAGTTGCTGACTTTACAAACTGAGTGTTTCCAAACTGCTCTATGAAAAGAAAGGTTAAACACTGTGAGTTGAACACACACGTACCAAAGTAGTTTCTGAGAATGATTCTGTCTAGTTTGCATACGAAGATATTTCCTTTTCTACCATTGGCCTCAAAGCTTTGAAATCTCCACTTGCAAATTCCACAAAAAGAGAGTTTCAACTCTGCTGTTTCTAAAGGAAAGTTCAACTCTGAGAGTTGAATACACACCAGAAAAAGCAGTTACTGAGAAGTCTTCTGTCTAGCATTATATGAAGAAATCCCATTTCCAACGAAGACTTCAAAGAGGTCCAAATATCCACTTGCAGATTCTGCAAAAAGAGTGTTTCGAAACAACTGTATGAAAAGAAAGGTTAAACACTGTGAGTTGAACGCACACATTGCAAAGCAGTTTCTGAGAATGATTCCGTCTAATTATTATACGAAGGTATTTCCTTTTCTATCATTGGCCTCAAAGCGCTTGATACCTCCACCTGAAAATTCCACAAAAAGAGTGTTTCCAATCTACTCTGTCTAAAGGAACGTTCAACTCTGTGAGTTGAATACACACACACAGAAAGAATTCACTGAGAATTCTTCTGTCTGGCATTACATGAAGAAATCCCGTTTCCAACGAAGGCCTCAAAGAGGTCCAAATATCCACTTGCAGATTCTGCAAAAAGAGTGTTTCAAAACCGCTCCATTAAAAGGAATGTTGAACTCTGTGAGTTGAATGCAAACATCACAACTCAGTTGCTGAGAATGCTTCTGACTAGATTTTATGGTAAGATATTTCCTTTTCTACCGTAGGCTTCAATGCCCTCTAAATACACCCTTGCAAATTCTACAAAGAGACTGTTTCATAACTGCTCTATAGGAAGAAAGGTTGAACTCTGTGAGTTGAATGCAGAGATCACAACGTGGTTTCTGCGAATGATTCTTTGTAGTTTTTACATGAAGATATTTCGTTGTCAACCGTAGGCTTCAAAGCACTCAAAGTATTCACTTGGAACTTTTACAAAAAGAGTATTAGAAAACTGCTCTTTCCAAAGTAAGGTTCAACTCTGTGAGTTGAATGCACACATAACAATCAAGAAGTTTCTGAGAATTCTTCTGTCCTGTTTTATATGAAAAAATCCCGTTTCCAACGAAGGCCTCAAAGACGTTTAAATATCCACTTGCAGACTTCACAAACAGAGGGTTTCCAAACTGCTCTATGAAAAGAAAGGTTAAACTCTGTGAGTTGAACGCACACATCACAAAGTAGCTTCTGAGAATGATACTGTCTAGTTTTTATACGAAGATATTTCCTTTCTACCATTGGCGTCAAAGCGCTAGAATTCTCCACTTGCAAATTCCACAAAAAGAGTGTTTCCAATCTGCTCTGTCTAAAGGAAGGTTCAACTCTGTGAGTTGAATACACACACACAAAGAAGCTACTGAGAATTCTTTTGTCAAGAATTATAAGAAGAAATCCCGTTTCCAACGAAGGCCTCAAAGAGTTCCAAATATCCACTTGCACACTGCACAAACTAAGTCTTTCCAAACTGCTCTATGCAAAGAAATGTTCAACTCTGTGAGTTTAATACACACATCACAAAGCAGTTTCTGAGAATGATACTGTCTAGTTTTTATACGAAGATATTTCCTTTTGTACCATTGGCCTCATATTGCTAGAATTTTCCACTTGCAAATTCCACAAAAAGAGTGTTTCCAATCCGCTCTGTCTAAAGGAAGGTTCAACTCTCTGATTTGAATACATACATCCCAAAAGAAGTTACTGAGAATTCTTCTGTCTAGCATTATGTGAAGAAATCCCGTTTCCAACGAAAGCCTCAAAGAGGTCCAAATATCCAGTTGCAGAATTTACAAACTGACTGTTTCCAAACTCATCTATGAAAAGAAAGGTTAAACTCTGTGAGTTGAATGCACATATCACAAAGTAGTTCCTGAGAATGATTCTGTCTAGTTTTTATACGAAGATATTTCCTTTTCCACCAATGGCCTCAAAGTGCTTGAAATCTCCCCTTGCAAATTCCACAGACAAGTGTCTCAAATCTGCACTGTCTAAAGGAAGGTTCAACCCTGTGAGTTGAATACACACACACAGAAAAAAATTCACTGAGAATTCTATTGTCTATCATTACACGAAGAAATCCCGTTTACTACGAAGGCCTCAAAGAGGTCCAAATATCCAGCTGCAGACATTACAACCTGAGTGTTTCCAAAGTGCTCTAGGAAAAGAAGTGTTAAACACTGTGAGTTCAATGCACACATCCCAAAGCAGTTTCTGAGAATGATTCCGTCTATTTTTTCTACGAAGATATTTCCTTTTCTGCCGTTGGCCTCAAAGCGCTTGAAATCTCCACTTGCAAATTCCACAAAAAGAGAGTTTCAAATCTGCTCTGTCTAAAGGAAGGTTCAACTCTGTGAGTTGAATACACACCACAAAAAGAAGTTACTGAGAATTCTTCTGTCTAGCATTATATGAAAAATCCCGTTTCCAACGAAGGCCACAAAGAGGTCCAAATATCCACTTGCAGATTCTGCAAAAAGAGTGTTTCCAAACTGCTCTATGAAAAGAAACGTTAAACTCTGTGAGTTGAACGCAAACATCACAAAGTAGTTTCTGAGAATGACTCCGTCTAGTTTTTATACGAAGATATTTCCTTTCCTACCATTCACTTCAAAGCGCTTGAAGTCTCCCCCTGAAAATTCCACAAAAAGTGTTTCCAATCTGCTCCGCCTAAAGGAAGCTTCAACTCTGTGACTTGAATACCCACAACCCAAAGAAGTTACTGAGAATTCTTCTGTCTAGCATTATATGAAGAAATCCCGTTTCCAACGAAGGCCTCAAATACATCCAAATATCCAGTTGCTGACTTTACAAACTGAGTGTTTCCAAACTGCTCTATGAAAAGAAAGGTTAAACACTGTGAGTTGAACACACACGTACCAAAGTAGTTTCTGAGAATGATTCTGTCTAGTTTGCATACGAAGATATTTCCTTTTCTACCATTGGCCTCAAAGCTCTGAAATCTCCACTTGCAAATTCCACAAAAAGAGAGTTTCAAATCTGCTGTTTCTAAAGGAAAGTTCAACTCTGAGAGTTGAATACACACCAGAAAAAGCAGTTACTGAGAAGTCTTCTGTCTAGCATTATATGAAGAAATCCCATTTCCAACGAAGACTTCAAAGAGGTCCAAATATCCACTTGCAGATTCTGCAAAAAGAGTGTTTCGAAACAACTGTATGAAAAGAAAGGTTAAACACTGTGAGTTGAACGCACACATTGCAAAGCGGTTTCTGAGAATGATTCCGTCTAATTATTATACGAAGGTATTTCCTTTTCTATCATTGGCCTCAAAGCGCTTGATACCTCCACCTGAAAATTCCACAAAAAGAGTGTTTCCAATCTACTCTGTCTAAAGGAACGTTCAACTCTGTGAGTTGAATACACACACACAGAAAGAACTCACTGAGAATTCTTCTGTCTGGCATTACATGAAGAAATCCCGTTTCCAACGAAGGCCTCAAAGAGGTCCAAATATCCACTTGCAGATTCTGCAAAAAGAGTGTTTCAAAACCGCTCCATTAAAAGGAATGTTGAACTCTGTGAGTTGAATGGAAACATCACAACTCAGTTGCTGAGAATGCTTCTGACTAGATTTTATGGTAAGATATTTCCTTTTCTACCGTAGGCTTCAATGCCCTCTAAATACACCCTTGCAAATTCTACAAAGAGACTGTTTCATAACTGCTCTATAGGAAGAAAGGTTCAACTCTGTGAGTTGAATGCAGAGATCACAACGTGGTTTCTGCGAATGATTCTTTGTAGTTTTTACAGGAAGATATTTCGTTGTCAACCGTAGGCTTCAAAGCACTCAAAGTATTCACTTGGAACTTTTACAAAAAGAGTGTTAGAAAACTGCTCTTTCCAAAGTAAGGTTCAACTCTGTGAGTTGAATGCACACATAACAATCAAGAAGTTTCTGAGAATTCTTCTGTCCTGGTTTATATGAAAAAATCCCGTTTCCAACGAAGGCCTCAAAGACGTTTAAATATCCACTTGCAGACTTCACAAACAGAGGGTTTCCAAACTGCTCTATGAAAAGAAAGGTTAAACTCTGTGAGTTGAACGCACACATCACAAAGTAGCTTCTGAGAATGATACTGTCTAGTTTTTATACGAAGATATTTCCTTTCTACCATTGGCGTCAAAGCGCTAGAATTCTCCACTTGCAAATTCCACAAAAAGAGTGTTTCCAATCTGCTCTGTCTAAAGGAAGGTTCAACTCTGTGAGTTGAATACACACACACAAAGAAGCTACTGAGAATTCTTTTGTCAAGAATTATAAGAAGAAATCCCGTTTCCAACGAAGGCCTCAAAGAGTTCCAAATATCCACTTGCACACTGCACAAACTAAGTCTTTCCAAACTGCTCTATGCAAAGAAATGTTCAACTCTGTGAGTTTAATACACACATCACAAAGCAGTTTCTGAGAATGATTCCGTCTAGTTTTTATACGAAGTTAGCCTTTTCTACCATTGGCCTCAAGGCTCTTGAAATCTCCACCTGAAAATTCCGCAAAAAGCGTGTTTCCAATCCGCTCTGTCTAAAGGAAGGTTCAACTCTCTGAGTTGAATACATACATCCCAAAAGAAGTTACTGCGAATTCTTCTGTCTAGCATTATGTGAAGAAATCCCGTTTCCAACGAAAGCCTCCAAGAGGTCCAAATATCCAGTTGCAGAATTTACAAACTGACTGTTTCCAAACTCATCTATGAAAAGGAAGGTTAAACTCTGTGAGTTGAATGCACATATCACAAAGTAGTTCCTGAGAATGATTCTGTCTAGTTTTTATACGAAGATATTTCCTTTTCCACCAATGGCCTCAAAGTGCTTGAAATCTCCCCTTGCAAATTCCACAGAAAAGTGTTTCAAATCTGCACTGTCTGAAGGAAGGTTCAACCCTGTGAGTTGAATACACACACACAGAAAAAAATTCACTGAGAATTCTATTGTCTATCATTACACGAAGAAATCCCGTTTACTACGAAGGCCTCAAAGAGGTCCAAATATCCAGCTGCAGACATTACAAACTGAGTGTTTCCAAAGTGCTCTATGAAAAGAAGTGTTAAACACTGTGAGTTCAATGCACACATCCCAAAGCAGTTTCTGAGAATGATTCCGTCTATTTTTTCTACGAAGATATTTCCTTTTCTACCGTTGGCCTCAAAGCGCTTGAAATCTCCACTTGCAAATTCCACAAAAAGAGAGTTTCAAATCTGCTCTGTCTAAAGGAAGGTTCAACTCTGTGAGTTGAATACACACCACAAAAAGAAGTTACTGAGAATTCTTCTGTCTAGCATTATATGAAAAATCCCGTTTCCAACGAAGGCCACAAAGAGGTCCAAATATCCACTTGCAGATTCTGCAAAAAGAGTGTTTCCAAACTGCTCTATGAAAAGAAACTGTTAAACTCTGTGAGTTGAACGCAAACATCACAAAGTAGTTTCTGAGAATGACCCGTCTAGTTTTTATACGAAGATATTTCCTTTCCTACCATTCACTTCAAAGCGCTTGAAGTCTCCCCCTGAAAATTCCACAAAAAGTGTTTCCAATCTGCTCCGCCTAAAGGAAGCTTCAACTCTGTGACTTGAATACCCACAACCCAAAGAAGTTACTGAGAATTCTTCTGTCTAGCATTATATGAAGAAATCCCGTTTCCAACGAAGGCCTCAAATACATCCAAATATCCAGTTGCTGACTTTACAAACTGAGTGTTTCCAAACTGCTCTATGAAAAGAAAGGTTAAACACTGTGAGTTGAACACACACGTACCAAAGTAGTTTCTGAGAATGATTCTGTCTAGTTTGCATACGAAGATATTTCCTTTTCTACCATTGGCCTCAAAGCTCTGAAATCTCCACTTGCAAATTCCACAAAAAGAGAGTTTCAACTCTGCTGTTTCTAAAGGAAAGTTCAACTCTGAGAGTTGAATACACACCAGAAAAAGCAGTTACTGAGAAGTCTTCTGTCTAGCATTATATGAAGAAATCCCATTTCCAACGAAGACTTCAAAGAGGTCCAAATATCCACTTGCAGATTCTGCAAAAAGAGTGTTTCGAAACAACTGTATGAAAAGAAAGGTTAAACACTGTGAGTTGAACGCACACATTGCAAAGCAGTTTCTGAGAATGATTCCGTCTAATTATTATACGAAGGTATTTCCTTTTCTATCATTGGCCTCAAAGCGCTTGATACCTCCACCTGAAAATTCCACAAAAAGAGTGTTTCCAATCTACTCTGTCTAAAGGAACGTTCAACTCTGTGAGTTGAATACACACACACAGAAAGAATTCACTGAGAATTCTTCTGTCTGGCATTACATGAAGAAATCCCGTTTCCAACGAAGGCCTCAAAGCAGGTCCAAATATCCACTTGCAGATTCTGCAAAAAGAGTGTTTCAAAACCGCTCCATTAAAAGGAATGTTGAACTCTGTGAGTTGAATGGAAACATCACAACTCAGTTGCTGAGAATGCTTCTGACTAGATTTTATGGTAAGATATTTCCTTTTCTACCGTAGGCTTCAATGCCCTCTAAATACACCCTTGCAAATTCTACAAAGAGACTGTTTCATAACTGCTCTATAGGAAGAAAGGTTCAACTCTGTGAGTTGAATGCAGAGATCACAACGTGGTTTCTGCGAATGATCTTTGTAGTTTTTACATGAAGATATTTCGTTGTCAACCGTAGGCTTCAAAGCACTCAAAGTATTCACTTGGAACTTTTACAAAAAGAGTGTTAGAAAACTGCTCTTTCCAAAGTAAGGTTCAACTCTGTGAGTTGAATGCACACATAACAATCAAGAAGTTTCTGAGAATTCTTTCTGTCCTGGTTTATATGAAGAAATCCCGTTTCCAACGAAGGCCTCAAAGGACGTTTAAATATCCACTTGCAGACTTCACAAACAGAGTGTTTCCAAACTGCTCTATGAAAAGAAAGGGTAAACACTGTGAGTTGAACGCACACCTCACAAAGTAGTTTCTGAGAATGATACTGTCTAGTTTTTATACGAAGATATTTCCTTTTGTACCATTGGCCTCATACTGCTAGAATTTTCCACTTGCAAATTCCACAAAAAGAGTGTTTCCAATCTGCTCTGCCTAAAGGAAGGTTCAACTCTGTGAGTTGAGTACACACACACAAAGAAGCTACTGAGAATTCTTTTGTCAAGAATTATAAGAAGAAATCCCGTTTCCAACCAAGGCCTCAAAGAGTTCCAAATATCCACTTGCACACTGCACAAACTAAGTCTTTCCATACTGCTCTATGCAAAGAAATGTTCAAATCTGTGAGTTTAATACACACATCACAAAGCAGTTTCTGAGAATGATACTGTCTAGTTTTTATACGAAGATATTTCCTTTTGTACCATTGGCCTCATACTGCTAGAATTTTCCACTTGCAAATTCCACAAAAAGAGTGTTTCCAATCCGCTCTGTCTAAAGGAAGGTTCAACTCTCTGATTTGAATACATACATCCCAAAAGAAGTTACTGAGAATTCTTCTGTCTAGCATTATGTGAAGAAATCCCGTTTCCAACGAAAGCCTCAAAGAGGCCCAAATATCCAGTTGCAGCATTTACAAACTGACTGTTTCCAAACTCATCTATGAAAAGAAAGGTTAAACTCTGTGAGTTGAATGCACATATCACAAAGTAGTTCCTGAGAATGATTCTGTCTAGTTTTTATACGAAGATATTTCCTTTTCCACCAATGGCCTCAAAGTGCTTGAAATCTCCCCTTGCAAATTCCACAGACAAGTGTCTCAAATCTGCACTGTCTAAAGGAAAGGTTCAACCCTGTGAGTTGAATACACACACACAGAAAAAAATTCACTGAGAATTCTATTGTCTATCATTACACGAAGAAATCCCGTTTACTACGAAGGCCTCAAAGAGGTCCAAATATCCAGCTGCAGACATTACAAACTGAGTGTTTCCAAAGTGCTCTACGAAAAGAAGTGTTAAACACTGTGAGTTCAATGCACACATCCCAAAGCAGTTTCTGAGAATGATTGCCGTCTATTTTTTCTACGAAGATATTTCCTTTTCTGCCGTTGGCCTCAAAGCGCTTGAAATCTCCACTTGCAAATTCCACAAAAAGAGAGTTTCAAATCTGCTCTGTCTAAAGGAAGGTTCAACTCTGTGAGTTTAATACACACCACAAAAAGAAGTTACTGAGAATTCTTCTGTCTAGCATTATATGAAAAATCCCGTTTCCAACGAAGGCCACAAAGAGGTCCAAATATCCACTTGCAGATTCTGCAAAAAGAGTGTTTCCAAACTGCTCTATGAAAAGAAACGTTAAACTCTGTGAGTTGAACGCAAACATCACAAAGTAGTTTCTGAGAATGACTCCGTCTAGTTTTTATACGAAGATATTTCCTTTCCTACCATTCACTTCAAAGCGCTTGAAGTCTCCCCCTGAAAATTCCACAAAAAGTGTTTCCAATCTGCTCCGCCTAAAGGAAGCTTCAACTCTGTGACTTGAATACCCACAACCCAAAGAAGTTACTGAGAATTCTTCTGTCTAGCATTATATGAAGAAATCCCGTTTCCAACGAAGGCCTCAAATACATCCAAATATCCAGTTGCTGACTTTACAAACTGAGTGTTTCCAAACTGCTCTATGAAAAGAAAGGTTAAACACTGTGAGTTGAACACACACGTACCAAAGTAGTTTCTGAGAATGATTCTGTCTAGTTTGCATACGAAGATATTTCCTTTTCTACCATTGGCCTCAAAGCTCTGAAATCTCCACTTGCAAATTCCACAAAAAGAGAGTTTCAAATCTGCTGTTTCTAAAGGAAAGTTCATCTCTGAGAGTTGAATACACACCAGAAAAAGCAGTTACTGAGAAGTCTTCTGTCTAGCATTATATGAAGAAATCCCATTTCCAACGAAGACTTCAAAGAGGTCCAAATATCCACTTGCAGATTCTGCAAAAAGAGTGTTTCGAAACAACTGTATGAAAAGAAAGGTTAAACACTGTGAGTTGAACGCACACATTGCAAAGCGGTTTCTGAGAATGATTCCGTCTAATTATTATACGAAGGTATTTCCTTTTCTATCATTGGCCTCAAAGCGCTTGATACCTCCACCTGAAAATTCCACAAAAAGAGTGTTTCCAATCTACTCTGTCTAAAGGAACGTTCAACTCTGTGAGTTGAATACACACACACAGAAAGAATTCACTGAGAATTCTTCTGTCTGGCATTACATGAAGAAATCCCGTTTCCAACGAAGGCCTCAAAGAGGTCCAAATATCCACTTGCAGATTCTGCAAAAAGAGTGTTTCAAAACCGCTCCATTAAAAGGAATGTTGAACTCTGTGAGTTGAATGCAAACATCACAACTCAGTTTCTGAGAATGCTTCTGACTAGATTTTATGGTAAGATATTTCCTTTTCTACCGTAGGCTTCAATGCCCTCTAAATACACCCTTGCAAATTCTACAAAGAGACTGTTTCATAACTGCTCTATAGGAAGAAAGGTTCAACTCTGTGAGTTGAATGCAGAGATCACAACGTGGTTTCTGCGAATGATTCTTTGTAGTTTTTACATGAAGATATTTCGTTGTCAACCGTAGGCTTCAAAGCACTCAAAGTATTCACTTGGAACTTTTACAAAAAGAGTGTTAGAAAACTGCTCTTTCCAAAGTAAGGTTCAAATCTGTGAGTTGAATGCACCCATAACAATCAAGAAGTTTCTGAGAATTCTTCTGTCCTGGTTTATATGAAGAAATCCCGTTTCCAACGAAGGCCTCAAAGACGTTTAAATATCCACTTGCAGACTTCACAAACAGAGGGTTTCCAAACTGCTCTATGAAAAGAAAGGTTAAACTCTGTGAGTTGAACGCACACATCACAAAGTAGCTTCTGAGAATGATACTGTCTAGTTTTTATACGAAGATATTTCCTTTCTACCATTGGCGTCAAAGCGCTAGAATTCTCCACTTGCAAATTCCACAAAAAGAGTGTTTCCAATCTGCTCTGTCTAAAGGAAGGTTCAACTCTGTGAGTTGAATACACACACACAAAGAAGCTACTGAGAATTCTTTTGTCAAGAATTATAAGAAGAAATCCCGTTTCCAACGAAGGCCTCAAAGAGTTCCAAATATCCACTTGCACACTGCACAAGCTAAGTCTTTCCAAACTGCTCTATGCAAAGAAATGTTCAACTCTGTGAGTTTAATACACACATCACAAAGCAGTTTCTGAGAATGATACTGTCTAGTTTTTATACGAAGATATTTCCTTTTGTACCATTGGCCTCATACTGCTAGAATTTTCCACTTGCAAATTCCACAAAAAGAGTGTTTCCAATCCGCTCTGTCTAAAGGAAGGTTCAACTCTCTGATTTGAATACATACATCCCAAAAGAAGTTACTGAGAATTCTTCTGTCTAGCATTATGTGAAGAAATCCCGTTTCCAACGAAAGCCTCAAAGAGGTCCAAATATCCAGTTGCAGAATTTACAAACTGACTGTTTCCAAACTCATCTATGAAAAGAAAGGTTAAACTCTGTGAGTTGAATGCACATATCACAAAGTAGTTCCTGAGAATGATTCTGTCTAGTTTTTATACGAAGATATTTCCTTTTCCACCAATGGCCTCAAAGTGCTTGGAATCTCTCTCCCTTGCAAATTCCACAGACAAGTGTTTCAAATCTGCACTGTCTAAAGGAAGGTTCAACCCTGTGAGTTGAATACACACACACAGAAAAAAATTCACTGAGAATTCTATTGTCTATCATTACACGAAGAAATCCCGTTTACTACGAAGGCCTCAAAGAGGTCCAAATATCCAGCTGCAGACATTACAAACTGAGTGTTTCCAAAGTGCTCTATGAAAAGAAGTGTTAAACACTGTGAGTTCAATGCACACATCCCAAAGCAGTTTCTGAGAATGATTCCGTCTATTTTTTCTACGAAGATATTTCCTTTTCTGCCGTTGGCCTCAAAGCGCTTGAAATCTCCACTTGCAAATTCCACAAAAAGAGAGTTTCAAATCTGCTCTGTCTAAAGGAAGGTTCAACTCTGTGAGTTGAATACACACCACAAAAAGAAGTTACTGAGAATTCTTCTGTCTAGCATTATATGAAAAATCCCGTTTCCAACGAAGGCCACAAAGAGGTCCAAATATCCACTTGCAGATTCTGCAAAAAGAGTGTTTCCAAACTGCTCTATGAAAAGAAACGTTAAACTCTGTGAGTTGAACGCAAACATCACAAAGTAGTTTCTGAGAATGACTCCGTCTAGTTTTTATACGAAGATATTTCCTTTCCTACCATTCACTTCAAAGCGCTTGAAGTCTCCCCCTGAAAATTCCACAAAAAGTGTTTCCAATCTGCTCCGCCTAAAGGAAGCTTCAACTCTGTGACTTGAATACCCACAACCCAAAGAAGTTACTGAGAATTCTTCTGTCTAGCATTATATGAAGAAATCCCGTTTCCAACGAAGGCCTCAAATACATCCAAATATCCAGTTGCTGACTTTACAAACTGAGTGTTTCCAAACTGCTCTATGAAAAGAAAGGTTAAACACTGTGAGTTGAACACACACGTACCAAAGTAGTTTCTGAGAATGATTCTGTCTAGTTTGCATACGAAGATATTTCCTTTTCTACCATTGGCCTCAAAGCTCTGAAATCTCCACTTGCAAATTCCACAAAAAGAGAGTTTCAAATCTGCTGTTTCTAAAGGAAAGTTCAACTCTGAGAGTTGAATACACACCAGAAAAAGCAGTTACTGAGAAGTCTTCTGTCTAGCATTATATGAAGAAATCCCATTTCCAACGAAGACTTCAAAGAGGTCCAAATATCCACTTGCAGATTCTGCAAAAAGAGTGTTTCGAAACAACTGTATGAAAAGAAAGGTTAAACACTGTGAGTTGAACGCACACATTGCAAAGCAGTTTCTGAGAATGATTCCGTCTAATTATTATACGAAGGTATTTCCTTTTCTATCATTGGCCTCAAAGCGCTTGATACCTCCACCTGAAAATTCCACAAAAAGAGTGTTTCCAATCTACTCTGTCTAAAGGAACGTTCAACTCTGTGAGTTGAATACACACACACAGAAAGAATTCACTGAGAATTCTTCTGTCTGGCATTACATGAAGAAATCCCGTTTCCAACGAAGGCCTCAAAGAGGTCCAAATATCCACTTGCAGATTCTGCAAAAAGAGTGTTTCAAAACCGCTCCATTAAAAGGAATGTTGAACTCTGTGAGTTGAATGCAAACATCACAACTCAGTTGCTGAGAATGCTTCTGACTAGTATTTTATGGTAAGATATTTCCTTTTCTACCGTAGGCTTCAATGCCCTCTAAATACACCCTTGCAAATTCTACAAAGAGACTGTTTCATAACTGCTCTATAGGAAGAAAGGTTGAACTCTGTGAGTTGAATGCAGAGATCACAACGTGGTTTCTGCGAATGATTCTTTGTAGTTTTTACATGAAGATATTTCGTTGTCAACCGTAGGCTTCAAAGCACTCAAAGTATTCACTTGGAACTTTTACAAAAAGAGTGTTAGAAAACTGCTCTTTCCAAAGTAAGGTTCAACTCTGTGAGTTGAATGCACACATAACAATCAAGAAGTTTCTGAGAATTCTTCTGTCCTCGTTCATATGAAAAAATCCCGTTTCCAACGAAGGCCTCAAAGACGTTTAAATATCCACTTGCAGACTTCACAAACAGAGGGTTTCCAAACTGCTCTATGAAAAGAAAGGTTAAACTCTGTGAGTTTAATACACACATCACAAAGCAGTTTCTGAGAATGATACTGTCTAGTTTTTATACGAAGATATTTCCTTTTGTACCATTGGCCTCATACTGCTAGAATTTTCCACTTGCACATTCCACAAAAAGAGTGTTTCCAATCCGCTCTGTCTAAAGGAAGGTTCAACTCTCTGATTTGAATACATACATCCCAAAAGAAGTTACTGAGAATTCTTCTGTCTAGCATTATGTGAAGAAATCCCGTTTCCAACGAAAGCCTCAAAGAGGTCCAAATATCCAGTTGCAGAATTTACAAACTGACTGTTTCCAAACTCATCTATGAAAAGAAAGGTTAAACTCTGTGAGTTGAATGCACATATCACAAAGTAGTTCCTGAGAATGATTCTGTCTAGTTTTTATACGAAGATATTTCCTTTTCCACCAATGGCCTCAAAGTGCTTGAAATCTCTCTCCCTTGCAAATTCCACAGACAAGTGTTTCAAATCTGCACTGTCTAAAGGAAGGTTCAACCCTGTGAGTTGAATACACACACACAGAAAAAAATTCACTGAGAATTCTATTGTCTATCATTACACGAAGAAATCCCGTTTACTACGAAGGCCTCAAAGAGGTCCAAATATCCAGCTGCAGACATTACAAACTGAGTGTTTCCAAAGTGCTCTATGAAAAGAAGTGTTAAACACTGTGAGTTCAATGCACACATCCCAAAGCAGTTTCTGAGAATGATTCCGTCTATTTTTTCTACGAAGATATTTCCTTTTCTACCGTTGGCCTCAAAGCGCTTGAAATCTCCACTTGCAAATTCCACAAAAAGAGAGTTTCAAATCTGCTCTGTCTAAAGGAAGGTTCAACTCTGTGAGTTGAATACACACCACAAAAAGAAGTTACTGAGAATTCTTCTGTCTAGCATTATATGAAAAATCCCGTTTCCAACGAAGGCCACAAAGAGGTCTAAATATCCACTTGCAGATTCTGCAAAAAGAGTGTTTCCAAACTGCTCTATGAAAAGAAACGTTAAACTCTGTGAGTTGAACGCAAACATCACAAAGTAGTTTCTGAGAATGACTCCGTCTAGTTTTTATACGAAGATATTTCCTTTTCTACCATTCACTTCAAAGCGCTTGAAGTCTCCCCCTGAAAATTCCACAAAAAGTGTTTCCAATCTGCTCCGCCTAAAGGAAGCTTCAACTCTGTGAGTTGAATACCCACAACCCAAAGAAGTTACTGAGAATTCTTCTGTCTAGCACTATATGAAGAAATCCCGTTTCCAACGAAGGCCTCAAATACATCCAAATATCCAGTTGCTGACTTTACAAACTGAGTGTTTCCAAACTGCTCTATGAAAAGAAAGGTTAAACACTGTGAGTTGAACACACACGTACCAAAGTAGTTTCTGAGAATGATTCTGTCTAGTTTGCATACGAAGATATTTCCTTTTCTACCATTGGCCTCAAAGCTTTGAAATCTCCACTTGCAAATTCCACAAAAAGAGAGTTTCAACTCTGCTGTTTCTAAAGGAAAGTTCAACTCTGAGAGTTGAATACACACCAGAAAAAGCAGTTACTGAGAAGTCTTCTGTCTAGCATTATATGAAGAAATCCCATTTCCAACGAAGACTTCAAAGAGGTCCAAATATCCACTTGCAGATTCTGCAAAAAGAGTGTTTCGAAACAACTGTATGAAAAGAAAGGTTAAACACTGTGAGTTGAACGCACACATTGCAAAGCAGTTTCTGAGAATGATTCCGTCTAATTATTATACGAAGGTATTTCCTTTTCTATCATTGGCCTCAAAGCGCTTGATACCTCCACCTGAAAATTCCACAAAAAGAGTGTTTCCAATCTACTCTGTCTAAAGGAACGTTCAACTCTGTGAGTTGAATACACACACACAGAAAGAATTCACTGAGAATTCTTCTGTCTGGCATTACATGAAGAAATCCCGTTTCCAACGAAGGCCTCAAAGAGGTCCAAATATCCACTTGCAGATTCTGCAAAAAGAGTGTTTCAAAACCGCTCCATTAAAAGGAATGTTGAACTCTGTGAGTTGAATGCAAATATCACAACTCAGTTGCTGAGAATGCTTCTGACTAGATTTTATGGTAAGATATTTCCTTTTATACCGTAGGCTTCAATGCCCTCTAAATACACCCTTGCAAATTCTACAAAGAGACTGTTTCATAACTGCTCTATAGGAAGAAAGGTTCAACTCTGTGAGTTGAATGCAGAGATCACAACGTGGTTTCTGCGAATGATTCTTTGTAGTTTTTACAGGAAGATATTTCGTTGTCAACCGTAGGCTTCAAAGCACTCAAAGTATTCACTTGGAACTTTTACAAAAAGAGTGTTAGGAAACTGCTCTTTCCAAAGTAAGGTTCAACTCTGTGAGTTGAATGCACACATAACAATCAAGAAGTTTCTGAGAATTCTTCTGTCCTGGTTTATATGAAAAAATCCCGTTTCCAACGAAGGCCTCAAAGACGTTTAAATATCCACTTGCAGACTTCACAAACAGAGGGTTTCCAAACTGCTCTATGAAAAGAAAGGTTAAACTCTGTGAGTTGAACGCACACATCACAAAGTAGCTTCTGAGAATGATACTGTCTAGTTTTTATACGAAGATATTTCCTTTCTACCATTGGCGTCAAAGCGCTAGAATTCTCCACTTGCAAATTCCACAAAAAGAGTGTTTCCAATCTGCTCTGTCTAAAGGAAGGTTCAACTCTGTGAGTTGAATACACACACACAAAGAAGCTACTGAGAATTCTTTTGTCAAGAATTATAAGAAGAAATCCCGTTTCCAACGAAGGCCTCAAAGAGTTCCAAATATCCACTTGCACACTGCACAAACTAAGTCTTTCCAAACTGCTCTATGCAAAGAAATGTTCAACTCTGTGAGTTTAATACACACATCACAAAGCAGTTTCTGAGAATGATACTGTCTAGTTTTTATACGAAGATATTTCCTTTTGTACCATTGGCCTCATACTGCTAGAATTTTCCACTTGCAAATTCCACAAAAAGAGTGTTTCCAATCCGCTCTGTCTAAAGGAAGGTTCAACTCTCTGATTTGAATACATACATCCCAAAAGAAGTTACTGAGAATTCTCTGTCTAGCATTATGTGAAGAAATCCCGTTTCCAACGAAAGCCTCAAAGAGGTCCAAATATCCAGTTGCAGAATTTACAAACTGACTGTTTCCAAACTCATATATGAAAAGAAAGGTTAAACTCTGTGAGTTGAATGCACATATCACAAAGTAGTTCCTGAGAATGATTCTGTCTAGTTTTTATACGAAGATATTTCCTTTTCCACCAATGGCCTCAAAGTGCTTGAAATCTCCCCTTGCAAATTCCACAGACAAGTGTTTCAAATCTGCACTGTCTAAAGGAAGGTTCAACCCTGTGAGTTGAATACACACACACAGAAAAAAATTCACTGAGAATTCTATTGTCTATCATTACACGAAGAAATCCCGTTTACTACGAAGGCCTCAAGGAGGTCCAAATATCCAGCTGCAGACATTACAAACTGAGTGTTTCCAAAGTGCTCTATGAAAAGAAGTGTTAAACACTGTGAGTTCAATGCACACATCCCAAAGCAGTTTCTGAGAATGATTCCGTCTATTTTTTCTACGAAGATATTTACTTTTCTACCGTTGGCCTCAAAGCGCTTGAAATCTCCACTTGCAAATTCCACAAAAAGAGAGTTTCAAATCTGCTCTGTCTAAAGGAAGGTTCAACTCTGTGAGTTGAATACACACCACAAAAAGAAGTTACTGAGAATTCTTCTGTCTAGCATTATATGAAAAATCCCGTTTCCAACGAAGGCCACAAAGAGGTCCAAATATCCACTTGCAGATTCTGCAAAAAGAGTGTTTCCAAACTGCTCTATGAAAAGAAACGTTAAACTCTGTGAGTTGAACGCAAACATCACAAAGTAGTTTCTGAGAATGACTCCGTCTAGTTTTTATACGAAGATATTTCCTTTCCTACCATTCACTTCAAAGCGCTTGAAGTCTCCCCCTGAAAATTCCACAAAAAGTGTTTCCAATCTGCTCCGCCTAAAGGAAGCTTCAACTCTGTGACTTGAATACCCACAACCCAAAGAAGTTACTGAGAATTCTTCTGTCTAGCATTATATGAAGAAATCCCGTTTCCAACGAAGGCCTCAAATACATCCAAATATCCAGTTGCTGACTTTACAAACTGAGTGTTTCCAAACTGCTCTATGAAAAGAAAGGTTAAACACTGTGAGTTGAACACACACTGTACCAAAGTAGTTTCTGAGAATGATTCTGTCTAGTTTGCATACGAAGATATTTCCTTTTCTACCATTGGCCTCAAAGCTCTGAAATCTCCACTTGCAAATTCCACAAAAAGAGAGTTTCAAATCTGCTGTTTCTAAAGGAAAGTTCAACTCTGAGAGTTGAATACACACCAGAAAAAGCAGTTACTGAGAAGTCTTCTGTCTAGCATTATATGAAGAAATCCCATTTCCAACGAAGACTTCAAAGAGGTCCAAATATCCACTTGCAGATTCTGCAAAAAGAGTGTTTCGAAACAACTGTATGAAAAGAAAGGTAAAACACTGTGAGTTGAACGCACACATTGCGAAGCAGTTTCTGAGAATGATTCCGTCTAATTATTATACGAAGGTATTTCCTTTTCTATCATTGGCCTCAAAGCGCTTGATACCTCCACCTGAAAATTCCACAAAAACAGTGTTTCCAATCTACTCTGTCTAAAGGAACGTTCAACTCTGTGAGTTGAATACACACACACAGAAAGAATTCACTGAGAATTCTTCTGTCTGGCATTACATGAAGAAATCCCGTTTCCAACGAAGGCCTCAAAGAGGTCCAAATATCCACTTGCAGATTCTGCAAAAAGAGTGTTTCAAAACCGCTCCATTAAAAGGAATGTTGAACTCTGTGAGTTGAATGCAAACATCACAACTCAGTTTCTGAGAATGCTTCTGACTAGATTTTATGGTAAGATATTTCCTTTTCTACCGTAGGCTTCAATGCCCTCTAAATACACCCTTGCAAATTCTACAAAGAGACTGTTTCATAACTGCTCTATAGGAAGAAAGGTTGAACTCTGTGAGTTGACTGCAGAGATCACAACGTGGTTTCTGCGAATGATTCTTTGTAGTTTTTACATGAAGATATTTCGTTGTCAACCGTAGGCTTCAAAGCACTCAAAGTATTCACTTGGAACTTTTACAAAAAGAGTGTTAGAAAACTGCTCTTTCCAAAGTAAGGTTCAACTCTGTGAGTTGAATGCACACATAACAATCAAGAAGTTTCTGAGAATTCTTCTGTCCTGGTTTATATGAAAAAATCCCGTTTCCAACGAAGGCCTCAAAGACGTTTAAATATCCACTTGCAGACTTCACAAACAGAGTGTTTCCAAACTGCTCTATGAAAAGAAAGGTTAAACTCTGTGAGTTGAACGCACACATCACAAAGTAGTTTCTGAGAATCATACTGTCTAGTTTTTATACGAAGATATTTCCTTTCTACCATTGGCGTCAAAGCGCTAGAATTCTCCACTTGCAAATTCCACAAAAAGAGTGTTTCCAATCTGCTCTGTCTAAAGGAAGGTTCAACTCTGTGAGTTGAATACACACACACAAAGAAGCTACTGAGAATTCTTTTGTCAAGAATTATAAGAAGAAATCCCGTTTCCAACGAAGGCCTCAAAGAGTTCCAAATATCCACTTGCACACTGCACAAACTAAGTCTTTCCAAACTGCTCTATGCAAAGAAATGTTCAACTCTGTGAGTTTAATACACACATCACAAAGCAGTTTCTGAGAATGATACTGTCTAGTTTTTATACGAAGATATTTCCTTTTGTACCATTGGCCTCATACTGCTAGAATTTTCCACTTGCAAATTCCACAAAAAGAGTGTTTCCAATCCGCTCTGTCTAAAGGAAGGTTCAACTCTCTGATTTGAATACATACATCCCAAAAGAAGTTACTGAGAATTCTTCTGTCTAGCATTATGTGAAGAAATCCCGTTTCCAACGAAAGCCTCAAAGAGGTCCAAATATCCAGTTGCAGAATTTACAAACTGACTGTTTCCAAACTCATCTATGAAAAGAAAGGTTAAACTCTGTGAGTTGAATGCACATATCACAAAGTAGTTCCTGAGAATGATTCTGTCTAGTTTTTATACGAAGATATTTCCTTTTCCACCAATGGCCTCAAAGTGCTTGAAATCTCCCCTTGCAAATTCCACAGACAAGTGTTTCAAATCTGCACTGTCTAAAGGAAGGTTCAACCCTGTGAGTTGAATACACACACACAGAAAAAAATTCACTGAGAATTCTATTGTCTATCATTACACGAAGAAATCCCGTTTACTACGAAGGCCTCAAAGAGGTCCAAATATCCAGCTGCAGACATTACAAACTGAGTGTTTCCAAAGTGCTCTATGAAAAGAAGTGTTAAACACTGTGAGTTCAATGCACACATCCCAAAGCAGTTTCTGAGAATGATTCCGTCTATTTTTTCTACGAAGATATTTCCTTTTCTGCCGTTGGCCTCAAAGCGCTTGAAATCTCCACTTGCAAATTCCACAAAAAGAGAGTTTCAAATCTGCTCTGTCTAAAGGAAGGTTCAACTCTGTGAGTTGAATACACACCACAAAAAGAAGTTACTGAGAATTCTTCTGTCTAGCATTATATGAAAAATCCCGTTTCCAACGAAGGCCACAAAGAGGTCCAAATATCCACTTGCAGATTCTGCAAAAAGAGTGTTTCCAAACTGCTCTATGAAAAGAAACGTTAAACTCTGTGAGTTGAACCGCAAACATCACAAAGTAGTTTCTGAGAATGACTCCGTCTAGTTTTTATACGAAGATATTTCCTTTCCTACCATTCACTTCAAAGCGCTTGAAGTCTCCCCCTGAAAATTCCACAAAAAGTGTTTCCAATCTGCTCCGCCTAAAGGAAGCTTCAACTCTGTGAGTTGAATACCCACAACCCAAAGAAGTTACTGAGAATTCTTCTGTCTAGCATTATATGAAGAAATCCCGTTTCCAACGAAGGCCTCAAATACATCCAAATATCCTGTTGCTGACTTTACAAACTGAGTGTTTCCAAACTGCTCTATGAAAAGAAAGGTTAAACACTGTGAGTTGAACACACACGTACCAAAGTAGTTTCTGAGAATGATTCTGTCTAGTTTGCATACGAAGATATTTCCTTTTCTACCATTGGCCTCAAAGCTCTGAAATCTCCACTTGCAAATTCCACAAAAAGAGAGTTTCAAATCTGCTGTTTCTAAAGGAAAGTTCAACTCTGAGAGTTGAATACACACCAGAAAAAGCAGTTACTGAGAAGTCTTCTGTCTAGCATTATATGAAGAAATCCCATTTCCAACGAAGACTTCAAAGAGGTCCAAATATCCACTTGCAGATTCTGCAAAAAGAGTGTTTCGAAACAACTGTATGAAAAGAAAGGTTAAACACTGTGAGTTGAACGCACACATTGCAAAGCAGTTTCTGAGAATGATTCCGTCTAATTATTATACGAAGGTATTTCCTTTTCTATCATTGGCCTCAAAGCGCTTGATACCTCCACCTGAAAATTCCACAAAAAGAGTGTTTCCAATCTACTCTGTCTAAAGGAAACGTTCAACTCTGTGAGTTGAATACACACACACAGAAAGAATTCACTGAGAATTCTTCTGTCTGGCATTACATGAAGAAATCCCGTTTCCAACGAAGGCCTCAAAGAGGTCCAAATATCCACTTGCAGATTCTGCAAAAAGAGTGTTTCAAAACCGCTCCATTAAAAGGAATGTTGAACTCTGTGAGTTGAATGCAAACATCACAACTCAGTTTCTGAGAATGCTTCTGACTAGATTTTATGGTAAGATATTTCCTTTTCTACCGTAGGCTTCAATGCCCTCTAAATACACCCTTGCAAATTCTACAAAGAGACTGTTTCATAACTGCTCTATAGGAAGAAAGGTTCAACACTGTGAGTTGAATGCAGAGATCACAACGTGGTTTCTGCGAATGATTCTTTGTAGTTTTTACATGAAGATATTTCGTTGTCAACCGTAGGCTTCAAAGCACTCAAAGTATTCACTTGGAACTTTTACAAAAAGAGTGTTAGAAAACTGCTCTTTCCAAAGTAAGGTTCAACTCTGTGAGTTGAATGCACACATAACAATCAAGAAGTTTCTGAGAATTCTTCTGTCCTGGTTTATATGAAGAAATCCCGTTTCCAACGAAGGCCTCAAAGACGTTTAAATATCCACTTGCAGACTTCACAAACAGAGGGTTTCCAAACTGCTCTATGAAAAGGAAGGTTAAACTGCTGTGAGTTGAACGCACACATCACAAAGTAGCTTCTGAGAATGATACTGTCTAGTTTTTATACGAAGATATTTCCTTTCTACCATTGGCGTCAAAGCGCTAGAATTCTCCACTTGCAAATTCCACAAAAAGAGTGTTTCCAATCTGCTCTGTCTAAAGGAAGGTTCAACTCTGTGAGTTGAATACACACACACAAAGAAGCTACTGAGAATTCTTTTTTCAAGAAATTATAAGAAGAAATCCCGTTTCCAACGAAGGCCTCAAAGAGTTCCAAATATCCACTTGCACACTGCACAAACTAAGTCTTTCCAAACTGCTCTATGCAAAGAAATGTTCAACTCTGTGAGTTTAATACACACATCACAAAGCAGTTTCTGAGAATGATACTGTCTAGTTTTTATACGAAGATATTTCCTTTTGTACCATTGGCCTCATACTGCTAGAATTTTCCACTTGCAAATTCCACAAAAAGAGTGTTTCCAATCCGCTCTGTCTAAAGGAAGGTTCAACTCTCTGATTTGAATACATACAT
The DNA here is from genome assembly GCF_000001405.40 of Homo sapiens. Taxonomy (NCBI): domain Eukaryota; kingdom Metazoa; phylum Chordata; class Mammalia; order Primates; family Hominidae; genus Homo; species Homo sapiens. The sequence continues at coordinate 92,595,730 of NC_000003.12, read as the reverse complement.
CCCAAAAGAAGTTACTGAGAATTCTTCTGTCTAGCATTATGTGAAGAAATCCCGTTTCCAACGAAAGCCTCAAAGAGGTCCAAATATCCAGTTGCAGAATTTACAAACTGACTGTTTCCAAACTCATCTATGAAAAGAAAGGTTAAACTCTGTGAGTTGAATGCACATATCACAAAGTAGTTCCTGAGAATGATTCTGTCTAGTTTTCATACGAAGTTATTTCCTTTTCCACCAATGGCCTCAAAGTGCTTGAAATCTCCCCTTGCAAATTCCACAGACAAGTGTTTCAAATCTGCACTGTCTAAAGGAAGGTTCAACACTGTGAGTTGAATACACACACACAGAAAAAAATTCACTGAGAATTCTATTGTCTATCATTACACGAAGAAATCCCGTTTACTACGAAGGCCTCAAAGAGGTCCAAATATCCAGCTGCAGACATTACAAACTGAGTGTTTCCAAAGTGCTCTATGAAAAGAAGTGTTAAACACTGTGAGTTCAATGCACACATCCCAAAGCAGTTTCTGAGAATGATTCCGTCTATTTTTTCTACGAAGATATTTCCTTTTCTACCGTTGGCCTCAAAGCGCTTGAAATCTCCACTTGCAAATTCCACAAAAAGAGAGTTTCAAATCTGCTCTGTCTAAAGGAAGGTTCAACTCTGTGAGTTGAATACACACCACAAAAAGAAGTTACTGAGAATTCTTCTGTCTAGCATTATATGAAAAATCCCGTTTCCAACGAAGGCCACAAAGAGGTCCAAATATCCACTTGCAGATTCTGCAAAAAGAGTGTTTCCAAACTGCTCTATGAAAAGAAACGTTAAACTCTGTGAGTTGAACACAAACATCACAAAGTAGTTTCTGAGAATGACTCTGTCTAGTTTTTATACGAAGATATTTCCTTTCCTACCATTCACTTCAAAGCGCTTGAAGTCTCCCCCTGAAAATTCCACAAAAAGTGTTTCCAATCTGCTCCGCCTAAAGGAAGCTTCAACTCTGTGAGTTGAATACCCACAACCCAAAGAAGTTACTGAGAATTCTTCTGTCTAGCATTATATGAAGAAATCCCGTTTCCAACGAAGGCCTCAAATACATCCAAATATCCAGTTGCTGACTTTACAAACTGAGTGTTTCCAAACTGCTCTATGAAAAGAAAGGTTAAACACTGTGAGTTGAACACACACGTACCAAAGTAGTTTCTGAGAATGATTCTGTCTAGTTTGCATACGAAGATATTTCCTTTTCTACCATTGGCCTCAAAGCTCTGAAATCTCCACTTGCAAATTCCACAAAAAGAGAGTTTCAAATCTGCTGTTTCTAAAGGAAAGTTCAACTCTGAGAGTTGAATACACACCAGAAAAAGCAGTTACTGAGAAGTCTTCTGTCTAGCATTATATGAAGAAATCCCATTTCCAACGAAGACTTCAAAGAGGTCCAAATATCCACTTGCAGATTCTGCAAAAAGAGTGTTTCGAAACAACTGTATGAAAAGAAAGGTTAAACACTGTGAGTTGAACGCACACATTGCAAAGCGGTTTCTGAGAATGATTCCGTCTAATTATTATACGAAGGTATTTCCTTTTCTATCATTGGCCTCAAAGCGCTTGATACCTCCACCTGAAAATTCCACAAAAAGAGTGTTTCCAATCTACTCTGTCTAAAGGAACGTTCAACTCTGTGAGTTGAATACACACACACAGAAAGAATTCACTGAGAATTCTTCTGTCTGGCATTACATGAAGAAATCCCGTTTCCAACGAAGGCCTCAAAGAGGTCCAAATATCCACTTGCAGATTCTGCAAAAAGAGTGTTTCAAAACCGCTCCATTAAAAGGAATGTTGAACTCTGTGAGTTGAATGCAAACATCACAACTCAGTTGCTGAGAATGCTTCTGACTAGATTTTATGGTAAGATATTTCCTTTTCTACCGTAGGCTTCAATGCCCTCTAAATACACCCTTGCAAATTCTACAAAGAGACTGTTTCATAACTGCTCTATAGGAAGAAAGGTTCAACTCTGTGAGTTGAATGCAGAGATCACAACGTGGTTTCTGCGAATGATTCTTTGTAGTTTTTACATGAAGATATTTCGTTGTCAACCGTAGGCTTCAAAGCACTCAAAGTATTCACTTGGAACTTTTACAAAAAGAGTGTTAGAAAACTGCTCTTTCCAAAGTAAGGTTCAACTCTGTGAGTTGAATGCACACATAACAATCAAGAAGTTTCTGAGAATTCTTCTGTCCTGGTTTATATGAAAAAATCCCGTTTCCAACGAAGGCCTCAAAGACGTTTAAATATCCACTTGCAGACTTCACAAACAGAGTGTTTCCAAACTGCTCTATGAAAAGAAAGGTTAAACTCTGTGAGTTGAACGCACACATCACAAAGTAGTTTCTGAGAATGATACTGTCTAGTTTTTATACGAAGATATTTCCTTTCTACCATTGGCGTCAAAGCGCTAGAATTCTCCACTTGCAAATTCCACAAAAAGAGTGTTTCCAATCTGCTCTGTCTAAAGGAAGGTTCAACTCTGTGAGTTGAATACACACACACAAAGAAGCTACTGAGAATTCTTTTTTCAAGAAATTATAAGAAGAAATCCCGTTTCCAACGAAGGCCTCAAAGAGTTCCAAATATCCACTTGCACACTGCACAAACTAAGTCTTTCCAAACTGCTCTATGCAAAGAAATGTTCAACTCTGTGAGTTTAATACACACATCACAAAGCAGTTTCTGAGAATGATAACTGTCTAGTTTTTATACGAAGATATTTCCTTTTGTACCATTGGCCTCATACTGCTAGAATTTTCCACTTGCAAATTCCACAAAAAGAGTGTTTCCAATCCGCTCTGTCTGAAGGAAGGTTCAACTCTCTGATTTGAATACATACATCCCAAAAGAAGTTACTGAGAATTCTTCTGTCTAGCATTATGTGAAGAAATCCCGTTTCCAACGAAAGCCTCAAAGAGGTCCAAATATCCAGTGGCAGAATTTACAAACTGACTGTTTCCAAACTCATCTATGAAAAGAAAGGTTAAACTCTGTGAGTTGAATGCACATATCACAAAGTAGTTCCTGAGAATGATTCTGTCTAGTTTTTATACGAAGATATTTCCTTTTCCACCAATGGCCTCAAAGTGCTTGAAATCTCCCCTTGCAAATTCCACAGACAAGTGTTTCAAATCTGCACTGTCTAAAGGAAGGTTCAACCCTGTGAGTTGAATACACACACACAGAAAAAAATTCACTGAGAATTCTATGGTCTATCATGACACGAAGAAATCCCGTTTACTACGAAGGCCTCAAAGAGGTCCAAATATCCAGCTGCAGACATTACAAACTGAGTGTTTCCAAAGTGCTCTATGAAAAGAAGTGTTAAACACTGTGAGTTCAATGCACACATCCCAAAGCAGTTTCTGAGAATGATTCCGTCTATTTTTTCTACGAAGATATTTCCTTTTCTGCCGTTGGCCTCAAAGCGCTTGAAATCTCCACTTGCAAATTCCACAAAAAGAGAGTTTCAAATCTGCTCTGTCTAAAGGAAGGTTCAACTCTGTGAGTTGAATACACACCACAAAAAGAAGTTACTGAGAATTCTTCTGTCTGGCATTACATGAAGAAATCCCGTTTCCAACGAAGGCCTCAAAGAGGTCCAAATATCCACTTGCAGATTCTGCAAAAAGAGTGTTTCCAAACTGCTCTATGAAAAGAAACGTTAAACTCTGTGAGTTGAACGCAAACATCACAAAGTAGTTTCTGAGAATGACTCCGTCTAGTTTTTATACGAAGATATTTCCTTTCCTACCATTCACTTCAAAGCGCTTGAAGTCTCCCCCTGAAAATTCCACAAAAAGTGTTTCCAATCTGCTCCGCCTAAAGGAAGCTTCAACTCTGTGACTTGAATACCCACAACCCAAAGAAGTTACTGAGAATTCTTCTGTCTAGCATTATATGAAGAAATCCCGTTTCCAACGAAGGCCTCAAATACATCCAAATATCCAGTTGCTGACTTTACAAACTGAGTGTTTCCAAACTGCTCTATGAAAAGAAAGGTTAAACACTGTGAGTTGAACACACACGTACCAAAGTAGTTTCTGAGAATGATTCTGTCTAGTTTGCATACGAAGATATTTCCTTTTCTACCATTGGCCTCAAAGCTCTGAAATCTCCACTTGCAAATTCCACAAAAAGAGAGTTTCAAATCTGCTGTTTCTAAAGGAAAGTTCAACTCTGAGAGTTGAATACACACCAGAAAAAGCAGTTACTGAGAAGTCTTCTGTCTAGCATTATATGAAGAAATCCCATTTCCAACGAAGACTTCAAAGAGGTCCAAATATCCACTTGCAGATTCTGCAAAAAGAGTGTTTCGAAACAACTGTATGAAAAGAAAGGTTAAACACTGTGAGTTGAACGCACACATTGCAAAGCGGTTTCTGAGAATGATTCCGTCTAATTATTATACGAAGGTATTTCCTTTTCTATCATTGGCCTCAAAGCGCTTGATACCTCCACCTGAAAATTCCACAAAAAGAGTGTTTCCAATCTACTCTGTCTAAAGGAACGTTCAACTCTGTGAGTTGAATACACACACACAGAAAGAATTCACTGAGAATTCTTCTGTCTGGCATTACATGAAGAAATCCCGTTTCCAACGAAGGCCTCAAAGAGGTCCAAATATCCACTTGCAGATTCTGCAAAAAGAGTGTTTCAAAACCGCTCCATTAAAAGGAATGTTGAACTCTGTGAGTTGAATGCAAACATCACAACTCAGTTTCTGAGAATGCTTCTGACTAGATTTTATGGTAAGATATTTCCTTTTCTACCGTAGGCTTCAATGCCCTCTAAATACACCCTTGCAAATTCTACAAAGAGACTGTTTCATAACTGCTCTATAGGAAGAAAGGTTGAACTCTGTGAGTTGACTGCAGAGATCACAACGTGGTTTCTGCGAATGATTCTTTGTAGTTTTTACATGAAGATATTTCGTTGTCAACCGTAGGCTTCAAAGCACTCAAAGTATTCACTTGGAACTTTTACAAAAAGAGTGTTAGAAAACTGCTCTTTCCAAAGTAAGGTTCAACTCTGTGAGTTGAATGCACACATAACAATCAAGAAGTTTCTGAGAATTCTTCTGTCCTGGTTTATATGAAAAAATCCCGTTTCCAACGAAGGCCTCAAAGACGTTTAAATATCCACTTGCAGACTTCACAAACAGAGGGTTTCCAAACTGCTCTATGAAAAGAAAGGTTAAACTCTGTGAGTTGAACGCACACATCACAAAGTAGCTTCTGAGAATGATACTGTCTAGTTTTTATACGAAGATATTTCCTTTCTACCATTGGCGTCAAAGCGCTAGAATTCTCCACTTGCAAATTCCACAAAAAGAGTGTTTCCAATCTGCTCTGTCTAAAGGAAGGTTCAACTCTGTGAGTTGAATACACACACACAAAGGAAGCTACTGAGAATTCTTTTGTCAAGAATTATAAGAAGAAATCCCGTTTCCAACGAAGGCCTCAAAGAGTTCCAAATATCCACTTGCACACTGCACAAACTAAGTCTTTCCAAACTGCTCTATGCAAAGAAATGTTCAACTCTGTGAGTTTAATCCACACATCACAAAGCAGTTTCTGAGAATGATACTGTCTAGTTTTTATACGAAGATATTTCCTTTTGTACCATTGGCCTCATACTGCTAGAATTTTCCACTTGCAAATTCCACAAAAAGAGTGTTTCCAATCCGCTCTGTCTAAAGGAAGGTTCAACTCTCTGATTTGAATACATACATCCCAAAAGAAGTTACTGAGAATTCTTCTGTCTAGCATTATGTGAAGAAATCCCGTTTCCAACGAAAGCCTCAAAGAGGTCCAAATATCCAGTTGCAGAATTTACAAACTGACTGTTTCCAAACTCATCTATGAAAAGAAAGGTTAAACTCTATGAGTTGAATGCACATATCACAAAGTAGTTCCTGAGAATGATTCTGTCTAGTTTTTATACGAAGATATTTCCTTTTCCACCAATGGCCTCAAAGTGCTTGAAATCTCCCCTTGCAAATTCCACAGACAAGTGTTTCAAATCTGCACTGTCTAAAGGAAGGTTCAACCCTGTGAGTTGAATACACACACACAGAAAAAAATTCACTGAGAATTCTATTGTCTATCATTACACGAAGAAATCCCGTTTACTACGAAGGCCTCAAAGAGGTCCAAATATCCAGCTGCAGACATTACAAACTGAGTGTTTCCAAAGTGCTCTATGAAAAGAAGTGTTAAACACTGTGAGTTCAATGCACACATCCCCAAAGCAGTTTCTGAGAATGATTACGTCTATTTTTTCTACGAAGCATATTTCCTTTTCTACCGTTGGCCTCAAAGCGCTTGAAATCTCCACTTGCAAATTCCACAAAAAGAGAGTTTCAAATCTGCTCTGTCTAAAGGAAGGTTCAACTCTGTGAGTTGAATACACACCACAAAAAGAAGTTACTGAGAATTCTTCTGTCTAGCATTATATGAAAAATCCCGTTTCCAACGAAGGCCACAAAGAGGTCCAAATATCCACTTGCAGATTCTGCAAAAAGAGTGTTTCCAAACTGCTCTATGAAAAGAAACGTTAAACTCTGTGAGTTGAACGCAAACATCACAAAGTAGTTTCTGAGAATGACTCCGTCTAGTTTTTATACGAAGATATTTCCTTTCCTACCATTCACTTCAAAGCGCTTGAAGTCTCCCCCTGAAAATTCCACAAAAAGTGTTTCCAATCTGCTCCGCCTAAAGGAAGCTTCAACTCTGTGACTTGAATACCCACAACCCAAAGAAGTTACTGAGAATTCTTCTGTCTAGCATTATATGAAGAAATCCCGTTTCCAACGAAGGCCTCAAATACATCCAAATATCCAGTTGCTGACTTTACAAACTGAGTGTTTCCAAACTGCTCTATGAAAAGAAAGGTTAAACACTGTGAGTTGAACACACACGTACCAAAGTAGTTTCTGAGAATGATTCTGTCTAGTTTGCATACGAAGATATTTCCTTTTCTACCATTGGCCTCAAAGCTCTGAAATCTCCACTTGCAAATTCCACAAAAAGAGAGTTTCAAATCTGCTGTTTCTAAAGGAAAGTTCAACTCTGAGAGTTGAATACACACCAGAAAAAGCAGTTACTGAGAAGTCTTCTGTCTAGCATTATATGAAGAAATCCCATTTCCAACGAAGACTTCAAAGAGGTCCAAATATCCACTTGCAGATTCTGCAAAAAGAGTGTTTCGAAACAACTGTATGAAAAGAAAGGTTAAACACTGTGAGTTGAACGCACACATTGCAAAGCAGTTTCTGAGAATGATTCCGTCTAATTATTATATGAAGGTATTTCCTTTTCTATCATGGGCCTCAAAGCGCTTGATACCTCCACCTGAAAATTCCACAAAAAGAGTGTTTCCAATCTACTCTGTCTAAAGGAACGTTCAACTCTGTGAGTTGAATACACACACACAGAAAGAATTCACTGAGAATTCTTCTGTCTGGCATTACATGAAGAAATCCCGTTTCCAACGAAGGCCTCAAAGAGGTCCAAATATCCACTTGCAGATTCTGCAAAAAGAGTGTTTCAAAACCGCTCTATTAAAAGGAATGTTGAACTCTGTGAGTTGAATGCAAACATCACAACTCAGTTTCTGAGAATGCTTCTGGCTAGATTTTATGGTCAGATATTTCCTTTTCTACCGTAGGCCTCAATGCCCTCTAAATACACCCTTGCAAATTCTACAAAGAGACTGTTTAATAACTGATCTATAGGAAGAAAGGTTGAACTCTGTGAGTTGAATGCAGAGATCACAACGTGGTTTCTGCGAATGATTCTTTGTAGTTTTTACATGAAGATATTTCGTTGTCTACCGTAGGCTTCAAAGCACTCAAAGTATTCACTTGGAACTTTTACAAAAAGAGTGTTAGAAAACTGCTCTTTCCAAAGTAAGGTTCAACTCTGTGAGTTGAATGCACACATAACAAACAAGAAGTTTCTGAGAATCCTTCTGTCCTGGTTTATATGAAAAAATCCCGTTTCCAACGAAGGCCTCAAAGACGTTTAAATATCCACTTGCAGACTTCACAAACAGAGTGTTTCCAAACTGCTCTATGAAAAGAAAGGTTAAACTCTGTGAGTTGAACGCACACATCACAAAGTAGTTTCTGAGAATGATACTGTCTAGTTTTTATACGGAGATATTTCCTTTCCTTCCATTGGCGTCAAAGCGCTAGAATTCTCCACTTGCAAATTCCACAAAAAGAGTGTTTCCAATCTGCTCTGTCTAAAGGAAGGTTCAACTCTGTGAGTTGAATACACACACACAAAGAAGCTACTGAGAATTCTTTTGTCAAGAATTATAAGAAGAAATCCCGTTTCCAACGAAGGCCTCAAAGAGTTCCAAATATCCACTTGCACACTGTACAAACTAAGTCTTTCCAAACTGCTCTATGCAAAGAAATGTTCAACTCTGTGAGTTTAATGCACACATCACAAAGCAGTTTCTGAGAATGATTCCGTCTAGTTTTTATACGAAGATAGCCTTTTCTACCATTGGCCTCAAGGCTCTTGAAATCTCCACCTGAAAATTCCGCAAAAAGCGTGTTTCCAATCCGCTCTGTCTAAAGGAAGGTTCAACTCTCTGAGTTGAATACATACATCCCAAAAGAAGTTACTGCGAATTCTTCTGTCTAGCATTATGTGAAGAAATCCCGTTTCCAACGAAAGCCTCAAAGAGGTCCAAATATCCAGTTGCAGAATTTCCAAACTGACTGTTTCCAAACTCATCTATGAAAAGAAAGGTTAAAACCTGTGAGTTGAATGCACATATCACAAGGTAGTTCCTGACAATGATTCTGTCTAGTTTTTATACGAAGATATTCCCTTTTCCACCAATGGCCTCAAAGTGCTTGAAATCTCCCCTTACAAATTCCACAGAAAAGTGTTTCAAATCTGCACTGTCTGAAGGAAGGTTCAACCCTGTGAGTTGAATACACACACACAGAAAAAAATTCACTGAGAATTCTACTGTCTATCATTACACGAAGAAATCCCGTTTACTACGAAGGCCTCAAAGAGGTCCACATATCCAGCTGCAGACATTACAAACTGAGTGTTTCCAAAGTGCTCTATGAAAAGAAGTGTTAAACCACTGTGAGTTCAATGCACACATCCCAAAGCAGTTTCCGAGAATGATTCCGTCTATTTTTTCTACGAAGATATTTCCTTTTCTACCGTTGGCCTCAAAGTGCTTTAAATCTCCAATGCAAATTCCACAAAAAGAGAGTTTCAAATCTGCTCTGTCTAAAGGAAGGTTCAACTCTGTGAGTTGAATACACACCACAAAAAGAAGTTACTGAGAATTCTTCTGTCTAGCATTATATGAAAAATCCCGTTTCCAACGAAGGCCACAAAGAGGTCCAAATATCCACTTGCAGATTCTGCAAAAAGAGTGTCTCCAAACTGCCCTATGAAAAGAAACGTTAAACTCTGTGAGTTGAACGCAAACATCACAAAGTAGTTTCTGAGAATGACTCCGTCTAGTTTTTATACGAAGATATTTCCTTTCCTACCATTCACTTCAAAGCGCTTGAAGTCTCCCCCTGAAAATTCCACAAAAAGTGTTTCCAATCTGCTCCACCTAAAGGAAGCTTCAACTCTGTGAGTTGAATACCCACAACCCAAAGAAGTTACTGAGAATTCTTCTGTCTAGCATTATATGAAGAAATCCCGTTTCCAACGAAGGCCTCAAATACATCCTAATATCCAGTTGCTGACTTTACAAACTGAGTGTTTCCAAACTGCTCTATGAAAAGAAAGGTTAAACACTGTGAGTTGAACACACACGTACCAAAGTAGTTTCTGAGAATGATTCTGTCTAGTTTGCATACGAAGATATTTCCTTTTCTACCATTGGCCTCAAAGCTCTGAAATCTCCACTTGCAAATTCCACAAAAAGAGAGTTTCAAATCTGCTGTTTCTAAAGGAAAGTTCAACTCTGAGAGTTGAATACACACCAGAAAAAGCAGTTACTGAGAAGTCTTCTGTCTAGCATTATATGAAGAAATCCCATTTCCAACGAAGACTTCAAAGAGGTCCAAATATCCACTTGCAGATTCTGCAAAAAGAGTGTTTCGAAACAACTGTATGAAAAGAAAGGTTAAACACTGTGAGTTGAACGCACACATTGCAAAGCGGTTTCTGAGAATGATTCCGTCTAATTATTATACGAAGGTATTTCCTTTTCTATCATTGGCCTCAAAGCGCTTGATACCTCCACCTGAAAATTCCACAAAAAGAGTGTTTCCAATCTACTCTGTCTAAAGGAACGTTCAACTCTGTGAGTTGAATACACACACACAGAAAGAATTCACTGAGAATTCTTCTGTCTGGCATTACATGAAGAAATCCCGTTTCCAACGAAGGCCTCAAAGAGGTCCAAATATCCACTTGCAGATTCTGCAAAAAGAGTGTTTCAAAACCGCTCCATTAAAAGGAATGTTGAACTCTGTGAGTTGAATGCAAACATCACAACTCAGTTGCTGAGAATGCTTCTGACTAGATTTTATGGTAAGATATTTCCTTTTCTACCGTAGGCTTCAATGCCCTGTAAATACACCCTTGCAAATTCTACAAAGAGACTGTTTCATAACTGCTCTATAGGAAGAAAGGTTCAACTCTGTGAGTTGAATGCAGAGATCACAACGTGGTTTCTGCGAATGATTCTTTGTAGTTTTTACATGAAGATATTTCGTTGTCAACCGTAGGCTTCAAAACACTCAAAGTATTCACTTGGAACTTTTACAAAAAGAGTGTTAGAAAACTGCTCTTTCCAAAGTAAGGTTCAACTCTGTGAGTTGAATGCACACATAACAATCAAGAAGTTTCTGAGAATTCTTCTGTCCTGGTTTATATGAAGAAATCCCGTTTCCAACGAAGGCCTCAAAGACGTTTAAATATCCACTTGCAGACTTCACAAACAGAGTGTTTCCAAACTGCTCTATGAAAAGAAAGGTTAAACTCTGTGAGTTGAACGCACACATCACAAAGTAGTTTCTGAGAATGATACTGTCTAGTTTTTATACGAAGATATTTCCTTTCTACCATTGGCGTCAAAGCGCTAGAATTCTCCACTTGCAAATTCCACAAAAAGAGTGTTTCCAATCTGCTCTGTCTAAAGGAAGGTTCAACTCTGTGAGTTGAATACACACACACAAAGAAGCTACTGAGAATTCTTTTGTCAAGAATTATAAGAAGAAATCCCGTTTCCAACGAAGGCCTCAAAGAGTTCCAAATATCCACTTGCACACTGCACAAACTAAGTCTTTCCAAACTGCTCTATGCAAAGAAATGTTCAACTCTGTGAGTTTAATACACACATCACAAAGCAGTTTCTGAGAATGATACTGTCTAGTTTTTATACGAAGATATTTCCTTTTGTACCATTGGCCTCATACTGCTAGAATTTTCCACTTGCAAATTCCACAAAAAGAGTGTTTCCAATCCGCTCTGTCTAAAGGAAGGTTCAACTCTCTGATTTGAATACATACATCCCAAAAGAAGTTACTGAGAATTCTTCTGTCTAGCATTATGTGAAGAAATCCCGTTTCCAACGAAAGCCTCAAAGAGGTCCAAATATCCAGTTGCAGAATTTACAAACTGACTGTTTCCAAACTCATCTATGAAAAGAAAGGTTAAACTCTGTGAGTTGAATGCACATATCACAAAGTAGTTCCTGAGAATGATTCTGTCTAGTTTTCATACGAAGATATTTCCTTTTCCACCAATGGCCTCAAAGTGCTTGAAATCTCCCCTTGCAAATTCCACAGACAAGTGTTTCAAATCTGCACTGTCTAAAGGAAGGTTCAACCCTGTGAGTTGAATACACACACACAGAAAAAAATTCACTGAGAATTCTATTGTCTATCATTACACGAAGAAATCCCGTTTACTACGAAGGCCTCAAAGAGGTCCAAATATCCAGCTGCAGACATTACAAACTGAGTGTTTCCAAAGTGCTCTATGAAAAGAAGTGTTAAACACTGTGAGTTCAATGCACACATCCCAAAGCAGTTTCTGAGAATGATTCCGTCTATTTTTTCTACGAAGATATTTCCTTTTCTGCCGTTGGCCTCAAAGCGCTTGAAATCTCCACTTGCAAATTCCACAAAAAGAGAGTTTCAAATCTGCTCTGTCTAAAGGAAGGTTCAACTCTGTGAGTTGAATACACACCACAAAAAGAAGTTACTGAGAATTCTTCTGTCTAGCATTATATGAAAAATCCCGTTTCCAACGAAGGCCACAAAGGAGGTCCAAATATCCACTTGCAGATTCTGCAAAAAGAGTGTTTCCAAACTGCTCTATGAAAAGAAACGTTAAACTCTGTGAGTTGAACGCAAACATCACAAAGTAGTTTCTGAGAATGACTCCGTCTAGTTTTTATACGAAGATATTTCCTTTTCTACCATTCACTTCAAAGCGCTTGAAGTCTCCCCCTGAAAATTCCACAAAAAGTGTTTCCAATCTGCTCCGCCTAAAGGAAGCTTCAACTCTGTGAGTTGAATACCCACAACCCAAAGAAGTTACTGAGAATTCTTCTGTCTAGCACTATATGAAGAAATCCCGTTTCCAACGAAGGCCTCAAATACATCCAAATATCCAGTTGCTGACTTTACAAACTGAGTGTTTCCAAACTGCTCTATGAAAAGAAAGGTTAAACACTGTGAGTTGAACACACACGTACCAAAGTAGTTTCTGAGAATGATTCTGTCTAGTTTGCATACGAAGATATTTCCTTTTCTACCATTGGCCTCAAAGCTTTGAAATCTCCACTTGCAAATTCCACAAAAAGAGAGTTTCAACTCTGCTGTTTCTAAAGGAAAGTTCAACTCTGAGAGTTGAATACACACCAGAAAAAGCAGTTACTGAGAAGTCTTCTGTCTAGCATTATATGAAGAAATCCCATTTCCAACGAAGACTTCAAAGAGGTCCAAATATCCACTTGCAGATTCTGCAAAAAGAGTGTTTCGAAACAACTGTATGAAAAGAAAGGTTAAACACTGTGAGTTGAACGCACACATTGCAAAGCAGTTTCTGAGAATGATTCCGTCTAATTATTATACGAAGGTATTTCCTTTTCTATCATTGGCCTCAAAGCGCTTGATACCTCCACCTGAAAATTCCACAAAAAGAGTGTTTCCAATCTACTCTGTCTAAAGGAACGTTCAACTCTGTGAGTTGAATACACACACACAGAAAGAATTCACTGAGAATTCTTCTGTCTGGCATTACATGAAGAAATCCCGTTTCCAACGAAGGCCTCAAAGAGGTCCAAATATCCACTTGCAGATTCTGCAAAAAGAGTGTTTCAAAACCGCTCCATTAAAAGGAATGTTGAACTCTGTGAGTTGAATGCAAACATCACAACTCAGTTGCTGAGAATGCTTCTGACTAGATTTTATGGTAAGATATTTCCTTTTCTACCGTAGGCTTCAATGCCCTCTAAATACACCCTTGCAAATTCTACAAAGAGACTGTTTCATAACTGCTCTATAGGAAGAAAGGTTGAACTCTGTGAGTTGAATGCAGAGATCACAACGTGGTTGCTGCGAATGATTCTTTGTAGTTTTTACATGAAGATATTTCGTTGTCAACCGTAGGCTTCAAAGCACTCAAAGTATTCACTTGGAACTTTTACAAAAAGAGTATTAGAAAACTGCTCTTTCCAAAGTAAGGTTCAACTCTGTGAGTTGAATGCACACATAACAATCAAGAAGTTTCTGAGAATTCTTCTGTCCTGGTTTATATGAAAAAATCCCGTTTCCAACGAAGGCCTCAAAGACGTTTAAATATCCACTTGCAGACTTCACAAACAGAGGGTTTCCAAACTGCTCTATGAAAAGAAAGGTTAAACTCTGTGAGTTGAACGCACACATCACAAAGTAGCTTCTGAGAATGATACTGTCTAGTTTTTATACGAAGATATTTCCTTTCTACCATTGGCGTCAAAGCGCTAGAATTCTCCACTTGCAAATTCCACAAAAAGAGTGTTTCCAATCTGCTCTGTCTAAAGGAAGGTTCAACTCTGTGAGTTGAATACACACACACAAAGAAGCTACTGAGAATTCTTTTGTCAAGAAATTATAAGAAGAAATCCCGTTTCCAACGAAGGCCTCAAAGAGTTCCAAATATCCACTTGCACACTGCACAAACTAAGTCTTTCCAAACTGCTCTATGCAAAGAAATGTTCAACTCTGTGAGTTTAATACACACATCACAAAGCAGTTTCTGAGAATGATACTGTCTAGTTTTTATACGAAGATATTTCCTTTTGTACCATTGGCCTCATACTGCTAGAATTTTCCACTTGCAAATTCCACAAAAAGAGTGTTTCCAATCCGCTCTGTCTAAAGGAAGGTTCAACTCTCTGATTTGAATACATACATCCCAAAAGAAGTTACTGAGAATTCTTCTGTCTAGCATTATGTGAAGAAATCCCGTTTCCAACGAAAGCCTCAAAGAGGTCCAAATATCCAGTTGCAGAATTTACAAACTGACTGTTTCCAAACTCATCTATGAAAAGAAAGGTTAAACTCTGTGAGTTGAATGCACATATCACAAAGTAGTTCCTGAGAATGATTCTGTCTAGTTTTTATACGAAGATATTTCCTTTTCCACCAATGGCCTCAAAGTGCTTGAAATCTCCCCTTGCAAATTCCACAGACAAGTGTTTCAAATCTGCACTGTCTAAAGGAAGGTTCAACCCTGTGAGTTGAATACACACACACAGAAAAAAATTCACTGAGAATTCTATTGTCTATCATTACACGAAGAAATCCCGTTTTCTACGAAGGCCTCAAAGAGGTCCAAATATCCAGCTGCAGACATTACAAACTGAGTGTTTCCAAAGTGATCTATGAAAAGAAGTGTTAAACACTGTGAGTTCAATGCACACATCCCAAAGCAGTTTCTGAGAATGATTCCGTCTATTTTTTCTACGAAGATATTTCCTTTTCTACCGTTGGCCTCAAAGCGCTTGAAATCTCCACTTGCAAATTCCACAAAAAGAGAGTTTCAAATCTGCTCTGTCTAAAGGAAGGTTCAACTCTGTGAGTTGAATACACACCACAAAAAGAAGTTACTGAGAATTCTTCTGTCTAGCATTATATGAAAAATCCCGTTTCCAACGAAGGCCACAAAGAGGTCCAAATATCCACTTGCAGATTCTGCAAAAAGAGTGTTTCCAAACTGCTCTATGAAAAGAAACGTTAAACTCTGTGAGTTGAACGCAAACATCACAAAGTAGTTTCTGAGAATGACTCCGTCTAGTTTTTATACGAAGATATTTCCTTTTCTACCATTCACTTCAAAGCGCTTGAAGTCTCCCCCTGAAAATTCCACAAAAAGTGTTTCCAATCTGCTCCGCCTAAAGGAAGCTTCAACTCTGTGAGTTGAATACCCACAACCCAAAGAAGTTACTGAGAATTCTTCTGTCTAGCACTATATGAAGAAATCCCGTTTCCAACGAAGGCCTCAAATACATCCAAATATCCAGTTGCTGACTTTACAAACTGGGTGTTTCCAAACTGCTCTATGAAAAGAAAGGTTAAACACTGTGAGTTGAACACACACGTACCAAAGTAGTTTCTGAGAATGATTCTGTCTAGTTTGCATACGAAGATATTTCCTTTTCTACCATTGGCCTCAAAGCTTTGAAATCTCCACTTGCAAATTCCACAAAAAGAGAGTTTCAACTCTGCTGTTTCTAAAGGAAAGTTCAACTCTGAGAGTTGAATACACACCAGAAAAAGCAGTTACTGAGAAGTCTTCTGTCTAGCATTATATGAAGAAATCCCATTTCCAACGAAGACTTCAAAGAGGTCCAAATATCCACTTGCAGATTCTGCAAAAAGAGTGTTTCGAAACAACTGTATGAAAAGAAAGGTTAAACACTGTGAGTTGAACGCACACATTGCAAAGCAGTTTCTGAGAATGATTCCGTCTAATTATTATACGAAGGTATTTCCTTTTCTATCATTGGCCTCAAAGCGCTTGATACCTCCACCTGAAAATTCCACAAAAAGAGTGTTTCCAATCTACTCTGTCTAAAGGAACGTTCAACTCTGTGAGTTGAATACACACACACAGAAAGAATTCACTGAGAATTCTTCTGTCTGGCATTACATGAAGAAATCCCGTTTCCAACGAAGGCCTCAAAGAGGTCCAAATATCCACTTGCAGATTCTGCAAAAAGAGTGTTTCAAAACCGCTCCATTAAAAGGAATGTTGAACTCTGTGAGTTGAATGCAAACATCACAACTCAGTTTCTGAGAATGCTTCTGACTAGATTTTATGGTAAGATATTTCCTTTTCTACCGTAGGCTTCAATGCCCTCTAAATACACCCTTGCAAATTCTACAAAGAGACTGTTTCATAACTGCTCTATAGGAAGAAAG
This sequence comes from Homo sapiens, assembly GCF_000001405.40. NCBI lineage: Eukaryota > Metazoa > Chordata > Mammalia > Primates > Hominidae > Homo > Homo sapiens. The sequence continues at coordinate 92,579,258 of NC_000003.12, read as the reverse complement.
GTTCAACTCTGTGAGTTGAATGCAGAGATCACAACGTGGTTTCTGCGAATGATTCTTTGTAGTTTTTACATGAAGATATTTCGTTGTCAACCGTAGGCTTCAAAGCACTCAAAGTATTCACTTGGAACTTTTACAAAAAGAGTGTTAGAAAACTGCTCTTTCCAAAGTAAGGTTCAACTCTGTGAGTTGAATGCACACATAACAATCAAGAAGTTTCTGAGAATTCTTCTGTCCTGGTTTATATGAAGAAATCCCGTTTCCAACGAAGGCCTCAAAGACGTTTAAATATCCACTTTCAGACTTCACAAACAGAGGGTTTCCAAACTGCTCTATGAAAAGAAAGGTTAAACTCTGTGAGTTGAACGCACACATCACAAAGTAGCTTCTGAGAATGATACTGTCTAGTTTTTATACGAAGATATTTCCTTTCTACCATTGGCGTCAAAGCGCTAGAATTCTCCACTTGCAAATTCCACAGAAAGAGTGTTTCCAATCTGCTCTGTCTAAAGGAAGGTTCAACTCTGTGAGTTGAATACACACACACAAAGAAGCTACTGAGAATTCTTTTGTCAAGAATTATAAGAAGAAATCCCGTTTCCAACGAAGGCCTCAAAGAGTTCCAAATATCCACTTGCACACTGCACAAACTAAGTCTTTCCAAACTGCTCTATGCAAAGAAATGTTCAACTCTGTGAGTTTAATACACACATCACAAAGCAGTTTCTGAGAATGATACTGTCTAGTTTTTATACGAAGATATTTCCTTTTGTACCATTGGCCTCATACTGCTAGAATTTTCCACTTGCAAATTCCACAAAAAGAGTGTTTCCAATCCGCTCTGTCTAAAGGAAGGTTCAACTCTCTGATTTGAATACATACATCCCAAAAGAAGTTACTGAGAATTCTTCTGTCTAGCATTATGTGAAGAAATCCCGTTTCCAACGAAAGCCTCAAAGAGGTCCAAATATCCAGTTGCAGAATTTACAAACTGACTGTTTCCAAACTCATCTATGAAAAGAAAGGTTGAACTCTGGGAGTTGAATGCACATATCACAAAGTAGTTCCTGAGAATGATTCTGTCTAGTTTTCATACGAAGATATTTCCTTTTCCACCAATGGCCTCAAAGTGCTTGAAATCTCCCCTTGCAAATTCCACAGACAAGTGTTTCAAATCTGCACTGTCTAAAGGAAGGTTCAACCCTGTGAGTTGAATACACACACACAGAAAAAAATTCACTGAGAATTCTATTGTCTATCATTACACGAAGAAATCCCGTTTACTACGAAGGCCTCAAAGAGGTCCAAATATCCAGCTGCAGACATTACAAACTGAGTGTTTCCAAAGTGCTCTATGAAAAGAAGTGTTAAACACTGTGAGTTCAATGCACACATCCCAAAGCAGTTTCTGAGAATGATTCCGTCTATTTTTTCTACAAAGATATTTCCTTTTCTGCCGTTGGCCTCAAAGCGCTTGAAATCTCCACTTGCAAATTCCACAAAAAGAGAGTTTCAAATCTGCTCTGTCTAAAGGAAGGTTCAATTCTGTGAGTTGAATACACACCACAAAAAGAAGTTACTGAGAATTCTTCTGTCTAGCATTATATGAAAAATCCCGTTTCCAACGAAGGCCACAAAGAGGTCCACATATCCACTTGCAGATTCTGCAAAAAGAGTGTTTCCAAACTGCTCTATGAAAAGAAACGTTAAACTCTGTGAGTTGAACGCAAACATCACAAAGTAGTTTCTGAGAATGACTCCGTCTAGTTTTTATACGAAGATATTTCCTTTCCTACCATTCACTTCAAAGCGCTTGAAGTCTCCCCCTGAAAATTCCACAAAAAGTGTTTCCAATCTGCTCCGCCTAAAGGAAGCTTCAACTCTGTGAGTTGAATACCCACAACCCAAAGAAGTTACTGAGAATTCTTCTGTCTAGCATTATATGAAGAAATCCCGTTTCCAACGAAGGCCTCAAATACATCCAAATATCCAGTTGCTGACTTTACAAACTGAGTGTTTCCAAACTGCTCTATGAAAAGAAAGGTTAAACACTGTGAGTTGAACACACACGTACCAAAGTAGTTTCTGAGAATGATTCTGTCTAGTTTGCATACGAAGATATTTCCTTTTCTACCATTGGCCTCAAAGCTTTGAAATCTCCACTTGCAAATTCCACAAAAAGAGAGTTTCAACTCTGCTGTTTCTAAAGGAAAGTTCAACTCTGAGAGTTGAATACACACCAGAAAAAGCAGTTACTGAGAAGTCTTCTGTCTAGCATTATATGAAGAAATACCATTTCCAACGAAGACTTCAAAGAGGTCCAAATATCCACTTGCAGATTCTGCAAAAAGAGTGTTTCGAAACAACTGTATGAAAAGAAAGGTTAAACACTGTGAGTTGAACGCACACATTGCAAAGCAGTTTCTGAGAATGATTCCGTCTAATTATTATACGAAGGTATTTCCTTTTCTATCATTGGCCTCAAAGCGCTTGATACCTCCACCTGAAAATTCCACAAAAAGAGTGTTTCCAATCTACTCTGTCTAAAGGAACGTTCAACTCTGTGAGTTGAATACACACACAGAGAAAGAATTCACTGAGAATTCTTCTGTCTGGCATTACATGAAGAAATCCCGTTTCCAACGAAGGCCTCAAAGAGGTCCAAATATCCACTTGCAGATTCTGCAAAAAGAGTGTTTCAAAACCGCTCCATTAAAAGGAATGTTGAACTCTGTGAGTTGAATGCAAACATCACAACTCAGTTGCTGAGAATGCTTCTGACTAGATTTTATGGTAAGATATTTCCTTTTCTACCGTAGGCTTCAATGCCCTCTAAATACACCCTTGCAAATTCTACAAAGAGACTGTTTCATAACTGCTCTATAGGAAGAAAGGTTCAACTCTGTGAGTTGAATGCAGAGATCACAACGTGGTTTCTGCGAATGATTCTTTGTAGTTTTTACATGAAGATATTTCGTTGTCAACCGTAGGCTTCAAAGCACTCAAAGTATTCACTTGGAACTTTTACAAAACGAGTGTTAGGAAACTGCTCTTTCCAAAGTAAGGTTCAACTCTGTGAGTTGAATGCACACATAACAATCAAGAAGTTTCTGAGAATTCTTCTGTCCTGGTTTATATGAAAAAATCCCGTTTCCAACGAAGGCCTCAAAGACGTTTAAATATCCACTTCCAGACTTCACAAACAGAGTGTTTCCAAACTGCTCTATGAAAAGAAAGGTTAAACTCTGTGAGTTGAACGCACACATCACAAAGTAGTTTCTGAGAATGATACTGTCTAGTTTTTATACGAAGATATTTCCTTTCTACCATTGGCGTCAAAGCGCTAGAATTCTCCACTTGCAAATTCCACAAAAAGAGTGTTTCCAATCTGCTCTGTCTAAAGGAAGGTTCAACTCTGTGAGTTGAATACACACACACAAAGAAGCTACTGAGAATTCTTTTGTCAAGAATTATAAGAAGAAATCCCGTTTCCAACGAAGGCCTCAAAGAGTTCCAAATATCCACTTGCACACTGCACAAACTAAGTCTTTCCAAACTGCTCTATGCAAAGAAATGTTCAACTCTGTGAGTTTAATACGCACATCACAAAGCAGTTTCTGAGAATGATACTGTCTAGTTTTTATACGAAGATATTTCCTTTTGTACCATTGGCCTCATACTGCTAGAATTTTCCACTTGCAAATTCCACAAAAAGAGTGTTTCCAATCCGCTCTGTCTAAAGGAAGGTTCAACTCTCTGATTTGAATACATACATCCCAAAAGAATTTACTGAGAATTCTTCTGTCTAGCATTATGTGAAGAAATCCCGTTTCCAACGAAAGCCTCAAAGAGGTCCAAATGTCCAGTTGCAGAATTTACAAACTGACTGTTTCCAAACTCATCTATGAAAAGAAAGGTTAAACTCTGTGAGTTGAATGCACATATCACAAAGTAGTTCCTGAGAATGATTCTGTCTAGTTTTCATACGAAGATATTTCCTTTTCCACCAATGGCCTCAAAGTGCTTGAAATCTCCCCTTGCAAATTCCACAGACAAGTGTTTCAAATCTGCACTGTCTAAAGGAAGGTTCAACCCTGTGAGTTGAATACACACACACAGAAAAAAATTCACTGAGAATTCTATTGTCTATCATTACACGAAGAAATCCCGTTTACTACGAAGGCCTCAAAGAGGTCCAAATATCCAGCTGCAGACATTACAAACTGAGTGTTTCCAAAGTGCTCTATGAAAAGAAGTGTTAAACACTGTGAGTTCAATGCACACATCCCAAAGCAGTTTCTGAGAATGATTCCGTCTATTTTTTCTACGAAGATATTTCCTTTTCTGCCGTTGGCCTCAAAGCGCTTGAAATCTCCACTTGCAAATTCCACAAAAAGAGAGTTTCAAATCTGCTCTGTCTAAAGGAAGGTTCAACTCTGTGAGTTGAATACACACCACAAAAAGAAGTTACTGAGAATTCTTCTGTCTAGCATTATATGAAAAATCCCGTTTCCAACGAAGGCCACAAAGAGGTCCAAATATCCACTTGCAGATTCTGCAAAAAGAGTGTTTCCAAACTGCTCTATGAAAAGAAACGTTAAACTCTGTGAGTTGAACGCAAACATCACAAAGTAGTTTCTGAGAATGACTCCGTCTAGTTTTTATACGAAGATATTTCCTTTCCTACCATTCACTTCAAAGCGCTTGAAGTCTCCCCCTGAAAATTCCACAAAAAGTGTTTCCAATCTGCTCCGCCTAAAGGAAGCTTCAACTCTGTGACTTGAATACCCACAACCCAAAGAAGTTACTGAGAATTCTTCTGTCTAGCATTATATGAAGAAATCCCGTTTCCAACGAAGGCCTCAAATACATCCAAATATCCAGTTGCTGACTTTACAAACTGAGTGTTTCCAAACTGCTCTATGAAAAGAAAGGTTAAACACTGTGAGTTGAACAAACACGTACCAAAGTAGTTTCTGAGAATGATTCTGTCTAGTTTGCATACGAAGATATTTCCTTTTCTACCATTGGCCTCAAAGCTCTGAAATCTCCACTTGCAAATTCCACAAAAAGAGAGTTTCAACTCTGCTGTTTCTAAAGGAAAGTTCAACTCTGAGAGTTGAATACACACCAGAAAAAGCAGTTACTGAGAAGTCTTCTGTCTAGCATTATATGAAGAAATCCCATTTCCAACCGAAGACTTCAAAGAGGTCCAAATATCCACTTGCAGATTCTGCAAAAAGAGTGTTTCGAAACAACTCTATGAAAAGAAAGGTTAAACACTGTGAGTTGAACGCACACATTGCAAAGCGGTTTCTGAGAATGATTCCGTCTAATTATTATACGAAGGTATTTCCTTTTCTATCATTGGCCTCAAAGCGCTTGATACCTCCACCTGAAAATTCCACAAAAAGAGTGTTTCCAATCTACTCTGTCTAAAGGAACGTTCAACTCTGTGAGTTGAATACACACACACAGAAAGAATTCACTGAGAATTCTTCTGTCTGGCATTACATGAAGAAATCCCGTTTCCAACGAAGGCCTCAAAGAGGTCCAAATATCCACTTGCAGATTCTGCAAAAAGAGTGTTTCAAAACCGCTCCATTAAAAGGAATGTTGAACTCTGTGAGTTGAATGCAAACATCACAACTCAGTTGCTGAGAATGCTTCTGACTAGATTTTATGGTAAGATATTTCCTTTTCTACCGTAGGCTTCAATGCCCTCTAAATACACCCTTGCAAATTCTACAAAGAGACTGTTTCATAACTGCTCTATAGGAAGAAAGGTTGAACTCTGTGAGTTGAATGCAGAGATCACAACGTGGTTTCTGCGAATGATTCTTTGTAGTTTTTACATGAAGATATTTCGTTGTCAACCGTAGGCTTCAAAGCACTCAAAGTATTCACTTGGAACTTTTACAAAAAGAGTGTTAGAAAACTGCTCTTTCCAAAGTAAGGTTCAACTCTGTGAGTTGAATGCACACATAACAATCAAGAAGTTTCTGAGAATTCTTCTGTCCTGGTTTATATGAAAAAATCCCGTTTCCAACGAAGGCCTCAAAGACGTTTAAATATCCACTTGCAGACTTCACAAACAGAGGGTTTCCAAACTGCTCTATGAAAAGAAAGGTTAAACTCTGTGAGTTGAACGCACACATCACAAAGTAGCTTCTGAGAATGATACTGTCTAGTTTTTATACGAAGATATTTCCTTTCTACCATTGGCGTCAAAGCGCTAGAATTCTCCACTTGCAAATTCCACAAAAAGAGTGTTTCCAATCTGCTCTGTCTAAAGGAAGGTTCAACTCTGTGAGTTGAATACACACACACAAAGAAGCTACTGAGAATTCTTTTTTCAAGAAATTATAAGAAGAAATCCCGTTTCCAACGAAGGCCTCAAAGAGTTCCAAATATCCACTTGCACACTGCACAAACTAAGTCTTTCCAAACTGCTCTATGCAAAGAAATGTTCAACTCTGTGAGTTTAATACACACATCACAAAGCAGTTTCTGAGAATGATACTGTCTAGTTTTTATACGAAGATATTTCCTTTTGTACCATTGGCCTCATACTGCTAGAATTTTCCACTTGCAAATTCCACAAAAAGAGTGTTTCCAATCCGCTCTGTCTAAAGGAAGGTTCAACTCTCTGATTTGAATACATACATCCCAAAAGAAGTTACTGAGAATTCTTCTGTCTAGCATTATGTGAAGAAATCCCGTTTCCAACGAAAGCCTCAAAGAGGTCCAAATATCCAGTTGCAGAATTTACAAACTGACTGTTTCCAAACTCATCTATGAAAAGAAAGGTTAAACTCTGTGAGTTGAATGCACATATCACAAAGTAGTTCCTGAGAATGATTCTGTCTAGTTTTCATACGAAGATATTTCCTTTTCCACCAATGGCCTCAAAGTGCTTGAAATCTCCCCTTGCAAATTCCACAGACAAGTGTTTCAAATCTGCACTGTCTAAAGGAAGGTTCAACCCTGTGAGTTGAATACACACACACAGAAAAAAATTCACTGAGAATTCTATTGTCTATCATTACACGAAGAAATCCCGATTACTACGAAGGCCTCAAAGAGGTCCAAATATCCAGCTGCAGACATTACAAACTGAGTGTTTCCAAAGTGCTCTATGAAAAGAAGTGTTAAACACTGTGAGTTCAATGCACACATCCCAAAGCAGTTTCTGAGAATGATTCCGTCTATTTTTTCTACGAAGATATTTCCTTTCCTACCGTTGGCCTCAAAGCGCTTGAAATCTCCACTTGCAAATTCCACAAAAAGAGAGTTTCAAATCTGCTCTGTCTAAAGGAAGGTTCAACTCTGTGAGTTGAATACACACCACAAAAAGAAGTTACTGAGAATTCTTCTGTCTAGCATTATATGAAAAATCCCGTTTCCAACGAAGGCCACAAAGAGGTCCAAATATCCACTTGCAGATTCTGCAAAAAGAGTGTTTCCAAACTGCTCTATGAAAAGAAACGTTAAACTCTGTGAGTTGAACGCAAACATCACAAAGTAGTTTCTGAGAATGACTCCGTCTAGTTTTTATACGAAGATATTTCCTTTCCTACCATTCACTTCAAAGCGCTTGAAGTCTCCCCCTGAAAATTCCACAAAAAGTGTTTCCAATCTGCTCCGCCTAAAGGAAGCTTCAACTCTGTGAGTTGAATACCCACAACCCAAAGAAGTTACTGAGAATTCTTCTGTCTAGCATTATATGAAGAAATCCCGTTTCCAACGAAGGCCTCAAATACATCCAAATATCCAGTTGCTGACTTTACAAACTGAGTGTTTCCAAACTGCTCTATGAAAAGAAAGGTTAAACACTCTGAGTTGAACACACACGTACCAAAGTAGTTTCTGAGAATGATTCTGTCTAGTTTGCATACGAAGATATTTCCTTTTCTACCATTGGCCTCAAAGCTCTGAAATCTCCACTTGCAAATTCCACAAAAAGAGAGTTTCAAATCTGCTGTTTCTAAAGGAAAGTTCAACTCTGGGAGTTGAATACACACCAGAAAAAGCAGTTACTGAGAAGTCTTCTGTCTAGCATTATATGAAGAAATCCCATTTCCAACGAAGACTTCAAAGAGGTCCAAATATCCACTTGCAGATTCTGCAAAAAGAGTGTTTCGAAACAACTGTATGAAAAGAAAGGTTAAACACTGTGAGTTGAACGCACACATTGCAAAGCAGTTTCTGAGAATGATTCCGTCTATTATTATACGAAGGTATTTCCTTTTCTATCATTGGCCTCAAAGCGCTTGATACCTCCACCTGAAAATTCCACAAAAAGAGTGTTTCCAATCTACTCTGTCTAAAGGAACGTTCAACTCTGTGAGTTGAATACACACACACAGAAAGAATTCACTGAGAATTCTTCTGTCTGGCATTACATGAAGAAATCCCGTTTCCAACGAAGGCCTCAAAGAGGTCCAAATATCCACTTGCAGATTCTGCAAAAAGAGTGTTTCAAAACCGCTCCATGAAAAGGAATGTTGAACTCTGTGAGTTGAATGCAAACATCACAACTCAGTTGCTGAGAATGCTTCTGACTAGATTTTATGGTAAGATATTTCCTTTTCTACCGTAGGCTTCAATGCCCTCTAAATACACCCTTGCAAATTCTACAAAGAGACTGTTTCATAACTGCTCTATAGGAAGAAAGGTTGAACTCTGTGAGTTGAATGCAGAGATCACAACGTGGTTTCTGCGAATGATTCTTTGTAGTTTTTACATGAAGATATTTCGTTGTCAACCGTAGGCTTCAAAGCACTCAAAGTATTCACTTGGAACTTTTACAAAAAGAGTATTAGAAAACTGCTCTTTCCAAAGTAAGGTTCAACTCTGTGAGTTGAATGCACACATAACAATCAAGACGTTTCTGAGAATTCTTCTGTCCTGGTTTATATGAAAAAATCCCGTTTCCAACGAAGGCCTCAAAGACGTTTAAATATCCACTTGCAGACTTCACAAACAGAGTGTTTCCAAACTGCTCTATGAAAAGAAAGGTTAAACTCTGTGAGTTGAACGCACACATCACAAAGTAGCTTCTGAGAATCATACTGTCTAGTTTTTATACGAAGATATTTCCTTTCTACCATTGGCGTCAAAGCGCTAGAATTCTCCACTTGCAAATTCCACAAAAAGAGTGTTTCCAATCTGCTCTGTCTAAAGGAAGGTTCAACTCTGTGAGTTGAATACACACACACAAAGAAGCTACTGAGAATTCTTTTGTCAAGAATTATAAGAAGAAATCCCGTTTCCAACGAAGGCCTCAAAGAGTTCCAAATATCCACTTGCACACTGTACAAACTAAGTCTTTCCAAACTGCTCTATGCAAAGAAATGTTCAACCCTGTGAGTTTAATGAACACATCACAAAGCAGTTTCTGAGAATGATACTGTCTAGTTTTTATACGAAGATATTTCCTTTCTACCATTGGCGTCAAAGCGCTAGAATTCTCCACTTGCAAATTCCACAAAAAGAGTGTTTCCAATCCGCTCTGTCTAAAGGAAAGTTCAACTCTCTGATTTGAATACATACATCCCAAAAGAAGTTACTGAGAATTCTTCTGTCTAGCATTATGTGAAGAAATCCCGTTTCCAACGAAAGCCTCAAAGAGGTCCAAATATCCAGTTGCAGAATTTACAAACTGACTGTTTCCAAACTCATCTATGAAAAGAAAGGTTAAACTCTGTGAGTTGAATGCACATATCACAAAGTAGTTCCTGAGAATGATTCTGTCTAGTTTTTATACGAAGATATTTCCTTTTCCACCAATGGCCTCAAAGTGCTTGAAATCTCCCCTTGCAAATTCCACAGACAAGTGTTTCAAATCTGCACTGTCTAAAGGAAGGTTCAACCCTGTGAGTTGAATACACACACACAGAAAAAAATTCACTGAGAATTCTATTGTCTATCATTACACGAAGAAATCCCGTTTACTACGAAGGCCTCAAAGAGGTCCAAATATCCAGCTGCAGACATTACAAACTGAGTGTTTCCAAAGTGCTCTATGAAAAGAAGTGTTAAACACTGTGAGTTCAATGCACACATCCCAAAGCAGTTTCTGAGAATGATTCCGTCTATTTTTTCTACGAAGATATTTCCTTTTCTGCCGTTGGCCTCAAAGCGCTTGAAATCTCCACTTGCAAATTCCACAAAAAGAGAGTTTCAAATCTGCTCTGTCTAAAGGAAGGTTCAACTCTGTGAGTTGAATACACACCACAAAAAGAAGTTACTGAGAATTCTTCTGTCTAGCATTATATGAAAAATCCCGTTTCCAACGAAGGCCACAAAGAGGTCCAAATATCCACTTGCAGATTCTGCAAAAAGAGTGTTTCCAAACTGCTCTATGAAAAGAAACTGTTAAACTCTGTGAGTTGAACGCAAACATCACAAAGTAGTTTCTGAGAATGACTCCGTCTAGTTTTTATACGAAGGATATTTCCTTTTCTACCGTTGGCCTCAAAGCGCTTGAAGTCTCCCCCTGAAAATTCCACAAAAAGTGTTTCCAATCTGCTCCGCCTAAAGGAAGCTTCAACTCTGTGAGTTGAATACCCACAACACAAAGAAGTTACTGAGAATTCTTCTGTCTAGCATTACATGAAGAAATCCCGTTTCCAACGAAGGCCTCAAATACATCCAGATATCCAGTTGCTGACTTTACAAACTGAGTGTTTCCAAACTGCTCTATGCAAAGAAAGGTTAAACACTGTGAGTTGAACACACACGTACCAAAGTAGTTTCTGAGAATGATTCTGTCTAGTTTGCATACAAAGATATTTCCTTTTCTACCACTGGCCTCAAAGCTTTGAAATCTCCACTTGCAAATTCCACAAAAAGAGAGTTTCAAATCTGCTGTTCCTAAAGGAAAGTTCAACTCTGAGAGTTGAATACACACCAGAAAAAGCAGTTACTGAGAAGTCTTCTGTCTAGCATTATATGAAGAAATCCCATTTCCAAAGAAGACTTCAAACAGGTCCAAATATCCACTTGCAGATTCTGCAAAAAGAGTGTTTCGAAACAACTGTATGAAAAGAAAGGTTAAACACTGTGAGTTGAACGCACCCATTGCAAAGCATTTTCTGACAATGATTCCGTCTAATTATTATACGAAGGTATTTCCTTTTCTATCATGGGCCTCAAAGCGCTTGATACCTCCACCTGAAAATTCCACAAAAAGAGTGTTTCCAATCTACTCTGTCTAAAGGAACGTTCAACTCTGTGAGTTGAATACACACACACAGAAAGAATTCACTGAGAATTCTTCTGTCTGGCATTACATGAAGAAATCCCGTTTCCAACGAAGGCCTCAAAGAGGTCCAAATATCCACTTGCAGATTCTGCAAAAAGAGTGTTTCAAAACCGCTCTATTAAAAGGAATGTTGAACTCTGTGAGTTGAATGCAAACATCACAACTCAGTTTCTGAGAATGCTTCTGACTAGATTTTATGGTAAGATATTTCCTTTTCTACCGTAGGCTTCAATGCCCTCTAAATACACCCTTGCAAATTCTACAAAGAGACTGTTTAATAACTGCTCTATAGGAAGAAAGGTTGAACTCTGTGAGTTGAATGCAGAGATCACAACGTGGTTTCTGCGAATGATTCTTTGTAGTTTTTACATGAAGATATTTCGTTGTCTACCGTAGGCTTCAAAGCACTCAAAGTATTCACTTGGAACTTTTACAAAAAGAGTGTTAGAAAACTGCTCTTTCCAAAGTAAGGTTCAACTCTGTGAGTTGAATGCACACATAACAAACAAGAAGTTTCTGAGAATCCTTCTGTCCTGGTTTATATGAAAAAATCCCGTTTCCAACGAAGGCCTCAAAGACGTTTAAATATCCACTTGCAGACTTCACAAACAGAGTGTTTCCAAACTGCTCTATGAAAAGAAAGGTTAAACTCTGTGAGTTGAACGCACACATCACAAAGTAGTTTCTGAGAATGATACTGTCTAGTTTTTATACGGAGATATTTCCTTTCCTTCCATTGGCGTCAAAGCGCTAGAATTCTCCACTTGCAAATTCCACAAAAAGAGTGTTTCCAATCTGCTCTGTCTAAAGGAAGGTTCAACTCTGTGAGTTGAATACACACACACAAAGAAGCTACTGAGAATTCTTTTGTCAAGAATTATAAGAAGAAATCCCGTTTCTAACGAAGGCCTCAAAGAGTTCCAAATATCCACTTGCACACTGTACAAACTAAGTCTTTCCAAACTGCTCTATGCAAAGAAATGTTCAACTCTGTGAGTTTAATGCACACATCACAAAGCAGTTTCTGAGAATGATACTGTCTAGTTTTTATACGAAGATATTTCCTTTTGTACCATTGGCCTCATACTGCTAGAATTTTCCACTTGCAAATTCCACAAAAAGAGTCTTTCCAATCCGCTCTGTCTAAAGGAAGGTTCAACTCTCTGATTTGAATACATACATCCCAAAAGAAGTTACTGAGAATTCTTCTGTCTAGCATTATGTGAAGAAATCCCGTTTCCAACGAAAGCCTCAAAGAGGTCCAAATATCCAGTTGCAGAATTTACACACTGACTGTTTCCAAACTCATCTATGAAAAGAAAGGTTAAACTCTGGGAGTTGAATGCACATATCACAAAGTAGTTCCTGAGAATGATTCTGTCTAGTTTTTATACGAAGATATTTCCTTTTCCACCAATGGCCTCAAAGTGCTTGAAATCTCCCCTTGCAAATTCCACAGACAAGTGTTTCAAATCTGCACTGTCTAAAGGAAGGTTCAACCCTGTGAGTTGAATACACACACACAGAAAAAAATTCACTGAGAATTCTATTGTCTATCATTACACGAAGAAATCCCGTTTACTACGAAGGCCTCAAAGAGGTCCAAATATCCAGCTGCAGACATTACAAACTGAGTGTTTCCAAAGTGCTCTATGAAAAGAAGTGTTAAACACTGTGAGTTCAATGCACACATCCCAAAGCAGTTTCTGAGAATGATTCCGTCTATTTTTTCTACGAAGATATTTCCTTTTCTGCCGTTGGCCTCAAAGCGCTTGAAATCTCCACTTGCAAATTCCACAAAAAGAGAGTTTCAAATCTGCTCTGTCTAAAGGAAGGTTCAACTCTGTGAGTTGAATACACACCACAAAAAGAAGTTACTGAGAATTCTTCTGTCTAGCATTATATGAAAAATCCCGTTTCCAACGAAGGCCACAAAGAGGTCCAAATATCCACTTGCAGATTCTGCAAAAAGAGTGTTTCCAAACTGCTCTATGAAAAGAAACGTTAAACTCTGTGAGTTGAACGCAAACATCACAAAGTAGTTTCTGAGAATGACTCCGTCTAGTTTTTATACGAAGATATTTCCTTTCCTACCATTCACTTCAAAGCGCTTGAAGTCTCCCCCTGAAAATTCCACAAAAAGTGTTTCCAATCTGCTCCGCCTAAAGGAAGCTTCAACTCTGTGACTTGAATACCCACAACCCAAAGAAGTTACTGAGAATTCTTCTGTCTAGCATTATATGAAGAAATCCCGTTTCCAACGAAGGCCTCAAATACATCCAAATATCCAGTTGCTGACTTTACAAACTGAGTGTTTCCAAACTGCTCTATGAAAAGAAAGGTTAAACACTGTGAGTTGAACACACACGTACCAAAGTAGTTTCTGAGAATGATTCTGTCTAGTTTGCATACGAAGATATTTCCTTTTCTACCATTGGCCTCAAAGCTCTGAAATCTCCACTTGCAAATTCCACAAAAAGAGAGTTTCAAATCTGCTGTTTCTAAAGGAAAGTTCAACTCTGAGAGTTGAATACACACCAGAAAAAGCAGTTACTGAGAAGTCTTCTGTCTAGCATTATATGAAGAAATCCCATTTCCAACGAAGACTTCAAAGAGGTCCAAATATCCACTTGCAGATTCTGCAAAAAGAGTGTTTCGAAACAACTGTATGAAAAGAAAGGTTAAACACTGTGAGTTGAACGCACACATTGCAAAGCGGTTTCTGAGAATGATTCCGTCTAATTATTATACGAAGGTATTTCCTTTTCTATCATTGGCCTCAAAGCGCTTGATACCTCCACCTGAAAATTCCACAAAAAGAGTGTTTCCAATCTACTCTGTCTAAAGGAACGTTCAACTCTGTGAGTTGAATACACACACACAGAAAGAATTCACTGAGAATTCTTCTGTCTGGCATTACATGAAGAAATCCCGTTTCCAACGAAGGCCTCAAAGAGGTCCAAATATCCACTTGCAGATTCTGCAAAAAGAGTGTTTCAAAACCGCTCCATTAAAAGGAATGTTGAACTCTGTGAGTTGAATGCAAACATCACAACTCAGTTGCTGAGAATGCTTCAGACTAGATTTTATGGTAAGATATTTCCTTTTCTACCGTAGGCTTCAATGCCCTCTAAATACACCCTTGCAAATTCTACAAAGAGACTGTTTCATAACTGCTCTATAGGAAGAAAGGTTCAACTCTGTGAGTTGAATGCAGAGATCACAACGTGGTTTCTGCGAATGATTCTTTGTAGTTTTTACATGAAGATATTTCGTTGTCAACCGTAGGCTTCAAAGCACTCAAAGTATTCACTTGGAACTTTTACAAAAAGAGTGTTAGAAAACTGCTCTTTCCAAAGTAAGGTTCAACTCTGTGAGTTGAATGCACACATAACAATCAAGAAGTTTCTGAGAATTCTTCTGTCCTGGTTTATATGAAAAAATCCCGTTTCCAACGAAGGCCTCAAAGACGTTTAAATATCCACTTGCAGACTTCACAAACAGAGGGTTTCCAAACTGCTCTATGAAAAGAAAGGTTAAACTCTGTGAGTTGAACGCACACATCACAAAGTAGCTTCTGAGAATGATACTGTCTAGTTTTTATACGAAGATATTTCCTTTCTACCATTGGCGTCAAAGCGCTAGAATTCTCCACTTGCAAATTCCACAAAAAGAGTGTTTCCAATCTGCTCTGTCTAAAGGAAGGTTCAACTCTGTGAGTTGAATACACACACACAAAGAAGCTACTGAGAATTCTTTTGTCAAGAATTATAAGAAGAAATCCCGTTTCCAACGAAGGCCTCAAAGAGTTCCAAATATCCACTTGCACACTGCAAAAACTAAGTCTTTCCAAACTGCTCTATGCAAAGAAATGTTCAACTCTGTGAGTTTAATTCACACATCACAAAGCAGTTTCTGAGAATGATACTGTCTAGTTTTTATACGAAGATATTTCCTTTTTTACCATTGGCCTCATACTGCTAGAATTTTCCACTTGCAAATTCCACAAAAAGAGTGTTTCCAATCCGCTCTGTCTAAAGGAAGGTTCAACTCTCTGATTTGAATACATACATCCCAAAAGAAGTTACTGAGAATTCTTCTGTCTAGCATTATGTGAAGAAATCCCGTTTCCAACGAAAGCCTCAAAGAGGTCCAAATATCCAGTTGCAGAATTTACAAACTGACTGTTTCCAAACTCATCTATGAAAAGAAAGGTTAAACTCTGGGAGTTGAATGCCCATATCACAAAGTAGTTCCTGAGAATGATTCTGTCTAGTTTTTATACGAAGATATTTCCTTTTCCACCAATGGCCTCAAAGTGCTTGAAATCTCCCCTTGCAAATTCCACAGACAAGTGTTTCAAATCTGCACTGTCTAAAGGAAGGTTCAACCCTGTGAGTTGAATACACACACACAGAAAAAAATTCACTGAGAATTCTATTGTCTATCATTACACGAAGAAATCCCGTTTACTACGAAGGCCTCAAAGAGGTCCAAATATCCAGCTGCAGACATTACAAACTGAGTGTTTCCAAAGTGCTCTATGAAAAGAAGTGTTAAACACTGTGAGTTCAATGCACACATCCCAAAGCAGTTTCTGAGAATGATTCCGTCTATTTTTTCTACGAAGATATTTCCTTTTCTGCCGTTGGCCTCAAAGCGCTTGAAATCTCCACTTGCAAATTCCACAAAAAGAGAGTTTCAAATCTGCTCTGTCTAAAGGAAGGTTCAACTCTGTGAGTTGAATACACACCACAAAAAGAAGTTACTGAGAATTCTTCTGTCTGGCATTACATGAAGAAATCCCGTTTCCAACGAAGGCCTCAAAGAGGTCCAAATATCCACTTGCAGATTCTGCAAAAAGAGTGTTTCAAAACCGCTCCATTAAAAGGAATGTTGAACTCTGTGAGTTGAATGCAAACATCACAACTCAGTTTCTGAGAATGCTTCTGACTAGATTTTATGGTAAGATATTTCCTTTTCTACCGTAGGCTTCAATGCCCTCTAAATACACCCTTGCAAATTCTACAAAGAGACTGTTTCATAACTGCTCTATAGGAAGAAAGGTTGAACTCTGTGAGTTGAATGCAGAGATCACAACGTGGTTTCTGCGAATGATTCTTTGTAGTTTTTACATGAAGATATTTCGTTGTCAACCGTAGGCTTCAAAGCACTCAAAGTATTCACTTGGAACTTTTACAAAAAGAGTGTTAGAAAACTGCTCTTTCCAAAGTAAGGTTCAACTCTGTGAGTTGAATGCACACATAACAATCAAGAAGTTTCTGAGAATTCTTCTGTCCTGGTTTATATGAAAAAATCCCGTTTCCAACGAAGGCCTCAAAGACGTTTAAATATCCACTTGCAGACTTCACAAACAGAGGGTTTCCAAACTGCTCTATGAAAAGAAAGGTTAAACTCTGTGAGTTGAACGCACACATCACAAAGTAGCTTCTGAGAATGATACTGTCTAGTTTTTATACGAAGATATTTCCTTTCTACCATTGGCGTCAAAGCGCTAGAATTCTCCACTTGCAAATTCCACAAAAAGAGTGTTTCCAATCTGCTCTGTCTAAAGGAAGGTTCAACTCTGTGAGTTGAATACACACACACAAAGAAGCTACTGAGAATTCTTTTGTCAAGAATTATAAGAAGAAATCCCGTTTCCAACGAAGGCCTCAAAGAGTTCCAAATATCCACTTGCACACTGCACAAACTAAGTCTTTCCAAACTGCTCTATGCAAAGAAATGTTCAACTCTGTGAGTTTAATACACACATCACAAAGCAGTTTCTGAGAATGATACTGTCTAGTTTTTATACGAAGATATTTCCTTTTGTACCATTGGCCTCATACTGCTAGAATTTTCCACTTGCAAATTCCACAAAAAGAGTGTTTCCAATCCGCTCTGTCTAAAGGAAGGTTCAACTCTCTGATTTGAATACATACATCCCAAAAGAAGTTACTGAGAATTCTTCTGTCTAGCATTATGTGAAGAAATCCCATTTCCAACGAAAGCCTCAAAGAGGTCCAAATATCCAGTTGCAGAATTTACAAACTGACTGTTTCCAAACTCATCTATGAAAAGAAAGGTTAAACTCTGGGAGTTGAATGCACATATCACAAAGTAGTTCCTGAGAATGATTCTGTCTAGTTTTCATACGAAGATATTTCCTTTTCCACCAATGGCCTCAAAGTGCTTGAAATCTCCCCTTGCAAATTCCACAGACAAGTGTTTCAAATCTGCACTGTCTAAAGGAAGGTTCAACCCTGTGAGTTGAATACACACACACAGAAAAAAATTCACTGAGAATTCTATTGTCTATCATTACACGAAGAAATCCCGTTTACTACGAAGGCCTCAAAGAGGTCCAAATATCCAGCTGCAGACATTAAAAACTGAGTGTTTCCAAAGTGCTCTATGAAAAGAAGTGTTAAACACTGTGAGTTCAATGCACACATCCCAAAGCAGTTTCTGAGAATGATTCCGTCTAATTATTATACGAAGGTATTTCCTTTTCTATCATTGGCCTCAAAGCGCTTGATACCTCCACCTGAAAATTCCACAAAAAGAGTGTTTCCAATCTACTCTGTCTAAAGGAACGTTCAACTCTGTGAGTTGAATACACACACACAGAAAGAATTCACTGAGAATTCTTCTGTCTGGCATTACATGAAGAAATCCCGTTTCCAACGAAGGCCTCAAAGAGGTCCAAATATCCACTTGCAGATTCTGCAAAAAGAGTGTTTCAAAACCGCTCCATTAAAAGGAATGTTGAACTCTGTGAGTTGAATGCAAACATCACAACTCAGTTTCTGAGAATGCTTCTGACTAGATTTTATGGTAAGATATTTCCTTTTCTACCGTAGGCTTCAATGCCCTCTAAATACACCCTTGCAAATTCTACAAAGAGACTGTTTCATAACTGCTCTATAGGAAGAAAGGTTCAACTCTGTGAGTTGAATGCAGAGATCACAACGTGGTTTCTGCGAATGATTCTTTGCAGTTTTTACATGAAGATATTTCGTTGTCTACCGTAGGCTTCAAAGCACTCAAAGTATTCACTTGGAACTTTTACAAAAAGAGTGTTAGAAAACTGCTCTTTCCAAAGTAAGGTTCAACTCTGTGAGTTGAATGCACACATAATAAACAAGAAGTTTCTGAGATTTCTTCTGTCCTGGTTTATATGAAAAAATCCCGTTTCCAACGAAGGCCTCAAAGACGTTTAAATATCCACTTGCAGACTTCACAAACAGAGTGTTTCCAAACTGCTCTATGAAAAGAAAGGTTAAACTCGGTGAGTTGAACGCACACATCACAAAGTAGTTTCTGAGAATGATACTGTCTAGTTTTTATACGAAGATATTTCCTTTCTACCATTGGCGTCAAAGCGCTAGAATTCTCCACTTGCAAATTCCACAAAAAGAGTGTTTCCAATCTGCTCTGTCTCAAGGCAGGTTTCAACTCTGTGAGTTGAATACACACACACAAAGAAGCTACTGAGAATTCTTTTGTCAAGAATTATAAGAAGAAATCCCGTTTCCAACGAAGGCCTCAAAGAGTTCCAAATATCCACTTGCACACTGCACAAACTAAGTCTTTCCAAACTGCTCTATGCAAAGAAATGTTCAACTCTGTGAGTTTAATACACACATCACGAAGCAGTTTCTGAGAATGATACTGTCTAGTTTTTATACGAAGATATTTCCTTTTGTACCATTGGCCTCATACTGCTAGAATTTTCCACTTGCAAATTCCACAAAAAGAGTGTTTCCAATCCGCTCTGTCTAAAGGAAGGTTCAACTCTCTGATTTGAATACATACATCCCAAAAGAAGTTACTGAGAATTCTTCTGTCTAGCATTATGTGAAGAAATCCCGTTTCCAACGAAAGCCTCAAAGAGGTCCAAATATCCAGTTGCAGAATTTACAAACTGACTGTTTCCAAACTCATCTATGAAAAGAAAGGTTAAACTCTGTGAGTTGAATGCACATATCACAAAGTAGTTCCTGAGAATGATTCTGTCTAGTTTTTATACGAAGATATTTCCTTTTCCACCAATGGCCTCAAAGTGCTTGAAATCTCCCCTTGCAAATTCCACAGACAAGTGTTTCAAATCTGCACTGTCTAAAGGAAGGTTCAACCCTGTGAGTTGAATACACACACACAGAAAAAAATTCACTGAGAATTCTATTGTCTATCATTACACGAAGAAATCCCGTTTACTACGAAGGCCTCAAAGAGGTCCAAATATCCAGCTGCAGACATTACAAACTGAGTGTTTCCAAAGTGCTCTATGAAAAGAAGTGTTAAACACTGTGAGTTCAATGCACACATCCCAAAGCTGTTTCTGAGAATGATGCCGTCTATTTTTTCTACGAAGATATTTCCTTTTCTGCCGTTGGCCTCAAAGCGCTTGAAATCTCCACTTGCAAATTCCACAAAAAGAGAGTTTCAAATCTGCTCTGTCTAAAGGAAGGTTCAACTCTGTGAGTTGAATACACACCACAAAAAGAAGTTACTGAGAATTCTTCTGTCTAGCATTATATGAAAAATCCCGTTTCCAACGAAGGCCACAAAGAGGTCCAAATATCCACTTGCAGATTCTGCAAAGAGTGTTTCCAAACTGCTCTATGAAAAGAAACGTTAAACTCTGTGAGTTGAACGCAAACATCACAAAGTAGTTTCTGAGAATGACTCCGTCTAGTTTTTATACGAAGATATTTCCTTTCCTACCATTCACTTCAAAGCGCTTGAAGTCTCCCCCTGAAAATTCCACAAAAAGTGTTTCCAATCTGCTCCGCCTAAAGGAAGCTTCAACTCTGTGACTTGAATACCCACAACCCAAAGAAGTTACTGAGAATTCTTCTGTCTAGCATTATATGAAGAAATCCCGTTTCCAACGAAGGCCTCAAATACATCCAAATATCCAGTTGCTGACTTTACAAACTGAGTGTTTCCAAACTGCTCTATGAAAAGAAAGGTTAAACACTGTGAGTTGAACACACACGTACCAAAGTAGTTTCTGAGAATGATTCTGTCTAGTTTGCATACGAAGATATTTCCTTTTCTACCATTGGCCTCAAAGCTCTGAAATCTCCACTTGCAAATTCCACAAAAAGAGAGTTTCAAATCTGCTGTTTCTAAAGGAAAGTTCAACTCTGAGAGTTGAATACACACCAGAAAAAGCAGTTACTGAGAAGTCTTCTGTCTAGCATTATATGAAGAAATCCCATTTCCAACGAAGACTTCAAAGAGGTCCAAATATCCACTTGCAGATTCTGCAAAAAGAGTGTTTCGAAACAACTGTATGAAAAGAAAGGTTAAACACTGTGAGTTGAACGCACACATTGCAAAGCAGTTTCTGAGAATGATTCCGTCTAATTATTATACGAAGGTATTTCCTTTTCTATCATTGGCCTCAAAGCGCTTGATACCTCCACCTGAAAATTCCACAAAAAGAGTGTTTCCAATCTACTCTGTCTAAAGGAACGTTCAACTCTGTGAGTTGAATACACACACACAGAAAGAATTCACTGAGAATTCTTCTGTCTGGCATTACATGAAGAAATCCCGTTTCCAACGAAGGCCTCAAAGAGGTCCAAATATCCACTTGCAGATTCTGCAAAAAGAGTGTTTCAAAACCGCTCCATTAAAAGGAATGTTGAACTCTGTGAGTTGAATGGAAACATCACAACTCAGTTGCTGAGAATGCTTCTGACTAGATTTTATGGTAAGATATTTCCTTTTCTACCGTAGGCTTCAATGCCCTCTAAATACACCCTTGCAAATTCTACAAAGAGACTGTTTCATAACTGCTCTATAGGAAGAAAGGTTCAACTCTGTGAGTTGAATGCAGAGATCACAACGTGGTTTCTGCGAATGATTCTTTGTAGTTTTTACAGGAAGATATTTCGTTGTCAACCGTAGGCTTCAAAGCACTCAAAGTATTCACTTGGAACTTTTACAAAAAGAGTGTTAGAAAACTGCTCTTTCCAAAGTAAGGTTCAACTCTGTGAGTTGAATGCACACATAACAATCAAGAAGTTTCTGAGAATTCTTCTGTCCTGGTTTATATGAAAAAATCCCGTTTCCAACGAAGGCCTCAAAGACGTTTATATATCCACTTGCAGACTTCACAAACAGAGGGTTTCCAAACTGCTCTATGAAAAGAAAGGTTAAACTCTGTGAGTTGAACGCACACATCACAAAGTAGCTTCTGAGAATGATACTGTCTAGTTTTTATACGAAGATATTTCCTTTCTACCATTGGCGTCAAAGCGCTAGAATTCTCCACTTGCAAATTCCACAAAAAGAGTGTTTCCAATCTGCTCTGTCTAAAGGAAGGTTCAACTCTGTGAGTTGAATACACACACACAAAGAAGCTACTGAGAATTCTTTTGTCAAGAATTATAAGAAGAAATCCCGTTTCCAACGAAGGCCTCAAAGAGTTCCAAATATCCACTTGCACACTGCACAAACTAAGTCTTTCCAAACTGCTCTATGCAAAGAAATGTTCAACTCTGTGAGTTTAATACACACATCACAAAGCAGTTTCTGAGAATGATACTGTCTAGTTTTTATACGAAGATATTTCCTTTTGTACCATTGGCCTCATACTGCTAGAATTTTCCACTTGCAAATTCCACAAAAAGAGTGTTTCCAATCCGCTCTGTCTAAAGGAAGGTTCAACTCTCTGATTTGAATACATACATCCCAAAAGAAGTTACTGAGAATTCTTCTGTCTAGCATTATGTGAAGAAATCCCGTTTCCAACGAAAGCCTCAAAGAGGTCCAAATATCCAGTTGCAGAATTTACAAACTGACTGTTTCCAAACTCATCTATGAAAAGAAAGGTTAAACTCTGTGAGTTGAATGCACATATCACAAAGTAGTTCCTGAGAATGATTCTGTCTAGTTTTCATACGAAGATATTTCCTTTTCCACCAATGGCCTCAAAGTGCTTGAAATCTCCCCTTGCAAATTCCACAGACAAGTGTTTCAAATCTGCACTGTCTAAAGGAAGGTTCAACCCTGTGAGTTGAATACACACACACAGAAAAAAATTCACTGAGAATTCTATTGTCTATCATTACACGAAGAAATCCCGTTTACTACGAAGGCCTCAAAGAGGTCCAAATATCCAGCTGCAGACATTACAAACTGAGTGTTTCCAAAGTGCTCTATGAAAAGAAGTGTTAAACACTGTGAGTTCAATGCACACATCCCAAAGCAGTTTCTGAGAATGATTCCGTCTATTTTTTCTACGAAGATATTTCCTTTTCTACCGTTGGCCTCAAAGCGCTTGAAATCTCCACTTGCAAATTCCACAAAAAGAGAGTTTCAAATCTGCTCTGTCTAAAGGGAAGGTTCAACTCTGTGAGTTGAATACACACCACAAAAAGAAGTTACTGAGAATTCTTCTGTCTAGCATTATATGAAAAATCCCGTTTCCAACGAAGGCCACAAAGAGGTCCAAATATCCACTTGCAGATTCTGCCAAAAGAGTGTTTCCAAACTGCTCTATGAAAAGAAACGTTAAACTCTGTGAGTTGAACGCAAACATCACAAAGTAGTTTCTGAGAATGACTCCGTCTAGTTTTTATACGAAGATATTTCCTTTCCTACCATTCACTTTCAAAGCGCTTGAAGTCTCCCCCTGAAAATTCCACAAAAAGTGTTTCCAATCTGCTCCGCCTAAAGGAAGCTTCAACTCTGTGAGTTGAATACCCACAACCCAAAGAAGTTACTGAGAATTCTTCTGTCTAGCATTATATGAAGAAATCCCGTTTCCAACGAAGGCCTCAAATACATCCAAATATCCAGTTGCTGACTTTACAAACTGAGTGTTTCCAAACTGCTCTATGACAAGAAAGGTTAAACACTGTGAGTTGAACACACACGTACCAAAGTAGTTTCTGAGAATGATTCTGTCTAGTTTGCATACGAAGATATTTCCTTTTCTACCATTGGCCTCAAAGCTTTGAAATCTCCACTTGCAAATTCCACAAAAAGAGAGTTTCAACTCTGCTGTTTCTAAAGGAAAGTTCAACTCTGAGAGTTGAATACACACCAGAAAAAGCAGTTACTGAGAAGTCTTCTGTCTAGCATTATATGAAGAAATCCCATTTCCAACGAAGACTTCAAAGAGGTCCAAATATCCACTTGCAGATTCTGCAAAAAGAGTGTTTCGAAACAAAACTGTATGAAAAGAAAGGTTAAACACTGTGAGTTGAACGCACACATTGCAAAGCAGTTTCTGAGAATGATTCCGTCTAATTATTATACGAAGGTATTTCCTTTTCTATCATTGGCCTCAAAGCGCTTGATACCTCCACCTGAAAATTCCACAAAAAGAGTGTTTCCAATCTACTCTGTCTAAAGGAACGTTCAACTCCGTGAGTTGAATACACACACACAGAAAGAATTCACTGAGAATTCTTCTGTCTGGCATTACATGAAGAAATCCCGTTTCCAACGAAGGCCTCAAAGAGGTCCAAATATCCACTTGCAGATTCTGCAAAAAGAGTGTTTCAAAACTGCTCCATGAAAAGGAATGTTGAACTCTGTGAGTTGAATGCAAACATCACAACTCAGTTTCTGAGAATGCTTCTGACTAGATTTTATGGTAAGATATTTCCTTTTCTACCGTAGGCTTCAATGCCCTGTAAATACACCCTTGCAAATTCTACAAAGAGACTGCTTCATAACTGCTCTATAGGAGGAAAGGTTCAACTCTGTGAGTTGAATGCAGAGATCACAACGTGGTTTCTGCGAATGATTCTTTGTAGTTTTTACATGAAGATATTTCGTTGTCTACCGTAAGGCTTCAAAGCACTCAAAGTATTCACTTGGAACTTTCACAAAAAGAGTGTTAGAAAACTGCTCTTTCCAAAGTAAGGTTCAACTCTGTGAGTTGAATGCACACATAACAAACAAGAAGTTTCTGAGAATTCTTCTGTCCTGGTTTATATGAAGAAATCCCGTTTCCAACGAAGGCCTCAAAGACGTTTAAATATCCACTTGCAGACTTCACAAACAGAGTGTTTCCAAACTACTCTATGAAAAGAAAGGGTAAACACTGTGAGTTGAACGCACACCTCACAAAGTAGTTTCTGAGAATGATACTGTCTAGTTTTTATACGAAGATATTTCCTTTTGTACCATTGGCCTCATACTGCTAGAATTTTCCACTTGCAAATTCCACAAAAAGAGTGTTTCCAATCTGCTCTGTCTAAAGGAAGGTTCAACTCTGTGAGTTGAGTACACACACACAAAGAAGCTACTGAGAATTCTTTTGTCAAGAATTATAAGAAGAAATCCCGTTTCCAACCAAGGCCTCAAAGAGTTCCAAATATCCACTTGCACACTGCACAAACTAAGTCTTTCCATACTGCTCTATGCAAAGAAATGTTCAAATCTGTGAGTTTAATACACACATCACAAAGCAGTTTCTGAGAATGATACTGTCTAGTTTTTATACGAAGATATTTCCTTTTGTACCATTGGCCTCATACTGCTAGAATTTTCCACTTGCAAATTCCACAAAAAGAGTGTTTCCAATCCGCTCTGTCTAAAGGAAGGTTCAACTCTCTGATTTGAATACATACATCCCAAAAGAAGTTACTGAGAATTCTTCTGTCTAGCATTATGTGAAGAAATCCCGTTTCCAACGAAAGCCTCAAAGAGGCCCAAATATCCAGTTGCAGCATTTACAAACTGACTGTTTCCAAACTCATCTATGAAAAGAAAGGTTAAACTCTGTGAGTTGAATGCACATATCACAAAGTAGTTCCTGAGAATGATTCTGTCTAGTTTTTATACGAAGATATTTCCTTTTCCACCAATGGCCTCAAAGTGCTTGAAATCTCCCCTTGCAAATTCCACAGACAAGTGTCTCAAATCTGCACTGTCTAAAGGAAGGTTCAACCCTGTGAGTTGAATACACACACACAGAAAAAAATTCACTGAGAATTCTATTGTCTATCATTACACGAAGAAATCCCGTTTACTACGAAGGCCTCAAAGAGGTCCAAATATCCAGCTGCAGACATTACAAACTGAGTGTTTCCAAAGTGCTCTATGAAAAGAAGTGTTAAACACTGTGAGTTCAATGCACACATCCCAAAGCAGTTTCTGAGAATGATTCCGTCTATTTTTTCTACGAAGATATTTCCTTTTCTACCGTTGGCCTCAAAGCGCTTGAAATCTCCACTTGCAAATTCCACAAAAAGAGAGTTTCAAATCTGCTCTGTCTAAAGGAAGGTTCAACTCTGTGAGTTGAATACACACCACAAAAAGAAGTTACTGAGAATTCTTCTGTCTAGCATTATATGAAAAATCCCGTTTCCAACGAAGGCCACAAAGAGGTCCAAATATCCACTTGCAGATTCTGCAAAAAGAGTGTTTCCAAACTGCTCTATGAAAAGAAACGTTAAACTCTGTGAGTTGAACGCAAACATCACAAAGTAGTTTCTGAGAATGACTCCGTCTAGTTTTTATACGAAGATATTTCCTTTTCTACCATTCACTTCAAAGCGCTTGAAGTCTCCCCCTGAAAATTCCACAAAAAGTGTTTCCAATCTGCTCCGCCTAAAGGAAGCTTCAACTCTGTGAGTTGAATACCCACAACCCTAAGAAGTTACTGAGAATTCTTCTGTCTAGCACTATATGAAGAAATCCCGTTTCCAACGAAGGCCTCAAATACATCCAAATATCCAGTTGCTGACTTTACAAACTGAGTGTTTCCAAACTGCTCTATGAAAAGAAAGGTTAAACACTGTGAGTTGAACACACACGTACCAAAGTAGTTTCTGAGAATGATTCTGTCTAGTTTGCATACGAAGATATTTCCTTTTCTACCATTGGCCTCAAAGCTTTGAAATCTCCACTTGCAAATTCCACAAAAAGAGAGTTTCAACTCTGCTGTTTCTAAAGGAAAGTTCAACTCTGAGAGTTGAATACACACCAGAAAAAGCAGTTACTGAGAAGTCTTCTGTCTAGCATTATATGAAGAAATCCCATTTCCAACGAAGACTTCAAAGAGGTCCAAATATCCACTTGCAGATTCTGCAAAAAGAGTGTTTCGAAACAACTGTATGAAAAGAAAGGTTAAACACTGTGAGTTGAACGCACACATTGCAAAGCAGTTTCTGAGAATGATTCCGTCTAATTATTATACGAAGGTATTTCCTTTTCTATCATTGGCCTCAAAGCGCTTGATACCTCCACCTGAAAATTCCACAAAAAGAGTGTTTCCAATCTACTCTGTCTAAAGGAACGTTCAACTCTGTGAGTTGAATACACACACACAGAAAGAATTCACTGAGAATTCTTCTGTCTGGCATTACATGAAGAAATCCCGTTTCCAACGAAGGCCTCAAAGAGGTCCAAATATCCACTTGCAGATTCTGCAAAAAGAGTGTTTCAAAACCGCTCCATTAAAAGGAATGTTGAACTCTGTGAGTTGAATGCAAACATCACAACTCAGTTTCTGAGAATGCTTCTGACTAGATTTTATGGTAAGATATTTCCTTTTCTACCGTAGGCTTCAATGCCCTCTAAATACACCCTTGCAAATTCTACAAAGAGACTGTTTCATAACTGCTCTATAGGAAGAAAGGTTGAACTCTGTGAGTTGACTGCAGAGATCACAACGTGGTTTCTGCGAATGATTCTTTGTAGTTTTTACATGAAGATATTTCGTTGTCAACCGTAGGCTTCAAAGCACTCAAAGTATTCACTTGGAACTTTTACAAAAAGAGTGTTAGAAAACTGCTCTTTCCAAAGTAAGGTTCAACTCTGTGAGTTGAATGCACACATAACAATCAAGAAGTTTCTGAGAATTCTTCTGTCCTGGTTTATATGAACAAATCCCGTTTCCAATGAAGGCCTCAAAGACGTTTAAATATCCACTTGCAGACTTCACAAACAGAGTGTTTCCAAACTGCTCTATGAAAAGAAAGGTTAAACTCTGTGAATTGAACGCACACATCACAAAGTAGTTTCTGAGAATGATACTGTCTAGTTTTTATACGAAGATATTTCCTTTCTACCATTGGCGTCAAAGCGCTAGAATTCTCCACTTGCAAATTCCACAAAAAGAGTGTTTCCAATCTGCTCTGTCTAAAGGAAGGTTCAACTCTGTGAGTTGAATACACACACACAAAGAAGCTACTGAGAATTCTTTTGTCAAGAATTATAAGAAGAAATCCCGTTTCCAACGAAGGCCTCAAAGAGTTCCAAATATCCACTTGCACACTGCACAAACTAAGTCTTTCCAAACTGCTCTATGCAAAGAAATGTTCAACTCTGTGAGTTTAATACACACATCACAAAGCAGTTTCTGAGAATGATACTGTCTAGTTTTTATACGAAGATATTTCCTTTTGTACCATTGGCCTCATACTGCTAGAATTTTCCACTTGCAAATTCCACAAAAAGAGTGTTTCCAATCCGCTCTGTCTAAAGGAAGGTTCAACTCTCTGATTTGAATACATACATCCCAAAAGAAGTTACTGAGAATTCTTCTGTCTAGCATTATGTGAAGAAATCCCGTTTCCAACGAAAGCCTCAAAGAGGTCCAAATATCCAGTTGCAGAATTTACAAACTGACTGTTTCCAAACTCATCTATGAAAAGAAAGGTTAAACTCTGTGAGTTGAATGCACATATCACAAAGTAGTTCCTGAGAATGATTCTGTCTAGTTTTTATATGAAGATATTTCCTTTTCCACCAATGGCCTCAAAGTGGTTGAAATCTCCCCTTGCAAATTCCACAGACAAGTGTTTCAAATCTGCACTGTCTAAAGGAAGGTTCAACCCTGTGAGTTGAATACACACACACAGAAACAAATTCACTGAGAATTCTATTGTCTATCATTACACGAAGAAATCCCGTTTACTACGAAGGCCTCAAAGAGGTCCAAATATCCAGCTGCAGACATTACAAACTGAGTGTTTCCAAAGTGCTCTATGAAAAGAAGTGTTAAACACTGTGAGTTCAATGCACACATCCCAAAGCAGTTTCTGAGAATGATTCCGTCTATTTTTTCTACGAAGATATTTCCTTTTCTGCCGTTGGCCTCAAAGCGCTTGAAATCTCCACTTGCAAATTCCACAAAAAGAGAGTTTCAAATCTGCTCTGTCTAAAGGAAGGTTCAACTCTGTGAGTTGAATACACACCACAAAAAGAAGTTACTGAGAATTCTTCTGTCTAGCATTATATGAAAAATCCCGTTTCCAACGAAGGCCACAAAGAGGTCCAAATATCCACTTGCAGATTCTGCAAAAAGAGTGTTTCCAAACTGCTCTATGAAAAGAAACGTTAAACTCTGTGAGTTGAACGCAAACATCACAAAGTAGTTTCTGAGAATGACTCCGTCTAGTTTTTATACGAAGATATTTCCTTTCCTACCATTCACTTCAAAGCGCTTGAAGTCTCCCCCTGAAAATTCCACAAAAAGTGTTTCCAATCTGCTCCGCCTAAAGGAAGCTTCAACTCTGTGACTTGAATACCCACAACCCAAAGAAGTTACTGAGAATTCTTCTGTCTAGCATTATATGAAGAAATCCCGTTTCCAACGAAGGCCTCAAATACATCCAAATATCCAGTTGCTGACTTTACAAACTGAGTGTTTCCAAACTGCTCTATGAAAAGAAAGGTTAAACACTGTGAGTTGAACACACACGTACCAAAGTAGTTTCTGAGAATGATTCTGTCTAGTTTGCATACGAAGATATTTCCTTTTCTACCATTGGCCTCAAAGCTCTGAAATCTCCACTTGCAAATTCCACAAAAAGAGAGTTTCAAATCTGCTGTTTCTAAAGGAAAGTTCAACTCTGAGAGTTGAATACACACCAGAAAAAGCAGTTACTGAGAAGTCTTCTGTCTAGCATTATATGAAGAAATCCCATTTCCAACGAAGACTTCAAAGAGGTCCAAATATCCACTTGCAGATTCTGCAAAAAGAGTGTTTCGAAACAACTGTATGAAAAGAAAGGTTAAACACTGTGAGTTGAATGCACACATTGCAAAGCAGTTTCTGAGAATGATTCCGTCTAATAATTATACGAAGGTATTTCCTTTTCTATCATTGGCCTCAAAGCGCTTGATACCTCCACCTGAAAATTCCACAAAAAGAGTGTTTCCAATCTACTCTGTCTAAAGGAACGTTCAACTCTGTGAGTTGAATACACACACACAGAAAGAATTCACTGAGAATTCTTCTGTCTGGCATTACATGAAGAAATCCCGTTTCCAACGAAGGCCTCAAAGAGGTCCAAATATCCACTTGCAGATTCTGCAAAAAGAGTGTTTCAAAACCGCTCCATTAAAAGGAATGTTGAACTCTGTGAGTTGAATGCAAACATCACAACTCAGTTGCTGAGAATGCTTCTGACTAGATTTTATGGTAAGATATTTCCTTTTCTACCGTAGGCTTCAATGCCCTCTAAATACACCCTTGCAAATTCTACAAAGAGACTGTTTCATAACTGCTCTATAGGAGGAAAGGTTCAACTCTGTGAGTTGAATGCAGAGATCACAACGTGGTTTCTGCGAATGATTCTTTGTAGTTTTTACATGAAGATATTTCGTTGTCTACCGTAGCGCTTCAAAGCACTCAAAGTATTCACTTGGAACTTTTACAAATGAGTGTTAGAAAACTGCTCTTTCCAAAGTAAGGTTCAACTCTGTGAGTTGAATGCACACATAACAAACAAGAAGTTTCTGAGAATTCTTCTGTCCTGGTTTATATGAAGAAATCCCGTTTCCAACGAAGGCCTCAAAGACGTTTAAATATCCACTTGCAGACTTCACAAACAGAGTGTTTCCAAACTGCTCTATGAAAAGAAAGGGTAAACACTGTGAGTTGAACGCACACCTCACAAAGTAGTTTCTGAGAATGATACTGTCTAGTTTTTATACGAAGATATTTCCTTTTGTACCATTGGCCTCATACTGCTAGAATTTTCCACTTGCAAATTCCACAAAAAGAGTGTTTCCAATCTGCTCTGTCTAAAGGAAGGTTCAACTCTGTGAGTTGAGTACACACACACAAAGAAGCTACTGAGAATTCTTTTGTCAAGAATTATAAGAAGAAATCCCGTTTCCAACCAAGGCCTCAAAGAGTTCCAAATATCCACTTGCACACTGCACAAACTAAGTCTTTCCATACTGCTCTATGCAAAGAAATGTTCAAATCTGTGAGTTTAATACACACATCACAAAGCAGTTTCTGAGAATGATACTGTCTAGTTTTTATACGAAGATATTTCCTTTTGTACCATTGGCCTCATACTGCTAGAATTTTCCACTTGCAAATTCCACAAAAAGAGTGTTTCCAATCCGCTCTGTCTAAAGGAAGGTTCAACTCTCTGATTTGAATACATACATCCCAAAAGAAGTTACTGAGAATTCTTCTGTCTAGCATTATGTGAAGAAATCCCGTTTCCAACGAAAGCCTCAAAGAGGCCCAAATATCCAGTTGCAGCATTTACAAACTGACTGTTTCCAAACTCATCTATGAAAAGAAAGGTTAAACTCTGTGAGTTGAATGCACATATCACAAAGTAGTTCCTGAGAATGATTCTGTCTAGTTTTTATACGAAGATATTTCCTTTTCCACCAATGGCCTCAAAGTGCTTGAAATCTCCCCTTGCAAATTCCACAGACAAGTGTCTCAAATCTGCACTGTCTAAAGGAAGGTTCAACCCTGTGAGTTGAATACACACACACAGAAAAAAATTCACTGAGAATTCTATTGTCTATCATTACCCGAAGAAATCCCGTTTACTACGAAGGCCTCAAAGAGGTCCAAATATCCAGCTGCAGACATTCCAAACTGAGTGTTTCCAAAGTGCTCTATGAAAAGAAGTGTTAAACACTGTGAGTTCAATGCACACATCCCAAAGCAGTTTCTGAGAATGATTCCGTCTATTTTTTCTACGAAGATATTTCCTTTTCTACCGTTGGCCTCAAAGCGCTTGAAATCTCCACTTGCAAATTCCACAAAAAGAGAGTTTCAAATCTGCTCTGTCTAAAGGAAGGTTCAACTCTGTGAGTTGAATACACACCACAAAAAGAAGTTACTGAGAATTCTTCTGTCTAGCATTATATGAAAAATCCCGTTTCCAACGAAGGCCACAAAGAGGTCCAAATATCCACTTGCAGATTCTGCAAAAAGAGTGTCTCCAAACTGCTCTATGAAAAGAAACGTTAAACTCTGTGAGTTGAACGCAAACATCACAAAGTAGTTTCTGAGAATGACTCCGTCTAGTTTTTATACGAAGATATTTCCTTTTCTACCGTTGGCCTCAAAGCGCTTGAAGTCTCCCCCTGAAAATTCCACAAAAAGTGTTTCCAATCTGCTCCGCCTAAAGGAAGCTTCAACTCTGTGAGTTGAATACCCACAACACAAAGAAGTTACTGAGAATTCTTCTGTCTAGCATTATATGAAGAAATCCCGTTTCCAACGAAGGCCTCAAATACATCCAAATATCCAGTTGCTGACTTCACAAACTGAGTGTTTCCAAACTGCTCTATGAAAAGAAAGATTAAACACTGTGAGTTGAACACACACGTACCAAAGTAGTTTCTGAGAATGATTCTGTCTAGTTTGCATACGAAGATATTTCCTTTTCTACCATTGTCCTCAAAGCTCTGAAAACTCCACTTGCAAATTCCACAAAAAGAGAGTTTCAAATCTGCTGTTTCTAAAGGAAAGTTCAACTCTGAGAGTTGAATACACACCAGAAAAAGCAGTTACTGAGAAGTCTTCTGTCTAGCATTATATGAAGAAATCCCATTTCCAACGAAGACTTCAAAGAGGTCCAAATATCCACTTGCAGATTCTGCAAAAAGAGTGTTTCGAAACAACTGTATGAAAAGGAAAGGTTAAACACTGTGAGTTGAACGCACACATTGCAAAGCAGTTTCTGAGAATGATTCCGTCTAATTATTATACGAAGGTATTTCCTTTTCTATCATTGGCCTCAAAGCGCTTGATACCTCCACCTGAAAATTCCACAAAAAGAGTGTTTCCAATCTACTCTGTCTAAAGGAACGTTCAACTCTGTGAGTTGAATACACACACACAGAAAGAATTCACTGAGAATTCTTCTGTCTGGCATTACATGAAGAAATCCCGTTTCCAACGAAGGCCTCAAAGAGTTCCAAATATCCACTTGCACACTGCACAAACTAAGTCTTTCCAAACTGCTCTATGCAAAGAAATGTTCAACTCTGTGAGTTTAATACACACATCTCAAAGCAGTTTCTGAGAATGATTCTGACTAGATTTTATGGTAAGATATTTCCTTTTCTACCGTAGGCTTCAATGCCCTCTAAATACACCCTTGCAAATTCTACAAAGAGACTGTTTCATAACTGCTCTATAGGAAGAAAGGTTGAACTCTGTGAGTTGAATGCAGAGATCACAACGTGGTTTCTGCGAATGATTCTTTGTAGTTTTTACAGGAAGATATTTCGTTGTCAACCGTAGGCTTCAAAGCACTCAAAGTATTCACTTGGAACTTTTACAAAAAGAGTGTTAGAAAACTGCTCTTTCCAAAGTAAGGTTCAACTCTGTGAGTTGAATGCACACATAACAATCAAGAAGTTTCTGAGAATTCTTCTGTCCTGGTTTATATGAAAAAATCCCGTTTCCAACGAAGGCCTCAAAGACGTTTAAATATCCACTTGCAGACTTCACAAACAGAGTGTTTCCAAACTGCTCTATGAAAAGAAAGGTTAAACTCTGTGAGTTGAACGCACACATCACAAAGTAGCTTCTGAGAATGATACTGTCTAGTTTTTATACGAAGATATTTCCTTTCTACCATTGGTGTCAAAGCGCTAGAATTCTCCACTTGCAAATTCCACAAAAAGAGTGTTTCCAATCTGCTCTGTCTAAAGGAAGGTTCAACTCTGTGAGTTGAATACACACACACAAAGAAGCTACTGAGAATTCTTTTGTCAAGAATTATAAGAAGAAATCCCGTTTCCAACGAAGGCCTCAAAGAGTTCCAAATATCCACTTGCACACTGCACAAACTAAGTCTTTCCAAACTGCTCTATGCAAAGAAATGTTCAACTCTGTGAGTTTAATACACACATCACAAAGCAGTTTCTGAGAATGATACTGTCTAGTTTTTATACGAAGATATTTCCTTTTGTACCATTGGCCTCATACTGCTAGAATTTTCCACTTGCAAATTACACAAAAAGAGTGTTTCCAATCCGCTCTGTCTAAAGGAAGGTTCAACTCTCTGATTTGAATACATACATCCCAAAAGAATTTACTGAGAATTCTTCTGTCTAGCATTATGTGAAGAAATCCCGTTTCCAACGAAAGCCTCAAAGAGGTCCAAATATCCAGTTGCAGAATTTACAAACTGACTGTTTCCAAACTCATCTATGAAAAGAAAGGTTAAACTCTGTGAGTTGAATGCACATATCACAAAGTAGTTCCTGAGAATGATTCTGTCTAGTTTTTATACGAAGATATTTCCTTTTCCACCAATGGCCTCAAAGTGCTTGAAATCTCTCTCCCTTGCAAATTCCACAGACAAGTGTTTCAAATCTGCACTGTCTAAAGGAAGGTTCAACCCTGTGAGTTGAATACACACACACAGAAAAAAATTCACTGAGAATTCTATTGTCTATCATTACACGAAGAAATCCCGTTTACTACGAAGGCCTCAAAGAGGTCCAAATATCCAGCTGCAGACATTACAAACTGAGTGTTTCCAAAGTGCTCTATGAAAAGAAGTGTTAAACACTGTGAGTTCAATGCACACATCCCAAAGCAGTTTCTGAGAATGATTCCGTCTGTTTTTTCTACGAAGATATTTCCTTTTCTACCGTTGGCCTCAAAGCGCTTGAAATCTCCACTTGCAAATTCCACAAAAAGAGAGTTTCAAATCTGCTCTGTCTAAAGGAAGGTTCAACTCTGTGAGTTGAATACACACCACAAAAAGAAGTTACTGAGAATTCTTCTGTCTAGCATTATATGAAAAATCCCGTTTCCAACGAAGGCCACAAAGAGGTCCAAATATCCACTTGCAGATTCTGCAAAAAGAGTGTCTCCAAACTGCTCTATGAAAAGAAACGTTAAACTCTGTGAGTTGAATGCAAACATCACAAAGTAGTTTCTGAGAATGACTCCGTCTAGTTTTTATACGAAGATATTTCCTTTTCTACCGTTGGCCTCAAAGCGCTTGAAGTCTCCCCCTGAAAATTCCACAAAAAGTGTTTCCAATCTGCTCCGCCTAAAGGAAGCTTCAACTCTGTGAGTTGAATACCCACAACACAAAGAAGTTACTGAGAATTCTTCTGTCTCGCATTATAGGAAGAAATCCCGTTTCCAACGAAGGCCTCAAATACATCCACATATCCAGTGGCTGACTTTACAAACTGAGTGTTTCCAAACTGCTCTATGAAAAGAAAGGTTAAACACTGTGAGTTGAACACACACGTACCAAAGTAGTTTCTGAGAATGATTCTGTCTAGTTTGCATACAAAGATATTTCCTTTTCTACCACTGGCCTCAAAGCTTTGAAATCTCCACTTGCAAATTCCACAAAAAGAGAGTTTCAAATCTGCTGTTCCTAAAGGAAAGTTCAACTCTGAGAGTTGAATACACACCAGAAAAAGCAGTTACTGAGAAGTCTTCTGTCTAGCATTATATGAAGAAATCCCATTTCCAAAGAAGACTTCAAACAGGTCCAAATATCCACTTGCAGATTCTGCAAAAAGAGTGTTTCGAAACAACTGTATGAAAAGAAAGGTTAAACACTGTGAGTTGAACGCACCCATTGCAAAGCATTTTCTGACAATGATTCCGTCTAATTATTATACGAAGGTATTTCCTTTTCTATCATGGGCCTCAAAGAGCTTGATACCTCCACCTGAAAATTCCACAAAAAGAGTGTTTCCAATCTACTCTGTCTAAAGGAACGTTCAACTCTGTGAGTTGAATACACACACACAGAAAGAATTCACTGAGAATTCTTCTGTCTGGCATTACATGAAGAAATCCCGTTTCCAACGAAGGCCTCAAAGAGGTCCAAATATCCACTTGCAGATTCTGCAAAAAGAGTGTTTCAAAACCGCTCTATTAAAAGGAATGTTGAACTCTGTGAGTTGAATGCAAACATCACAACTCAGTTTCTGAGAATGCTTCTGACTAGATTTTATGGTAAGATATTTCCTTTTCTACCGTAGGCTTCAATGCCCTCTAAATACACCCTTGCAAATTCTACAAAGAGACTGTTTAATAACTGCTCTATAGGAAGAAAGGTTGAACTCTGTGAGTTGAATGCAGAGATCACAACGTGGTTTCTGCGAATGATTCTTTGTAGTTTTTACATGAAGATATTTCGTTGTCTACCGTAGGCTTCAAAGCACTCAAAGTATTCACTTGGAACTTTTACAAAAAGAGTGTTAGAAAACTGCTCTTTCCAAAGTAAGGTTCAACTCTGTGAGTTGAATGCACACATAACAAACAAGAAGTTTCTGAGAATCCTTCTGTCCTGGTTTATATGAAAAAATCCCGTTTCCAACGAAGGCCTCAAAGACGTTTAAATATCCACCTGCAGACTTCACAAACAGAGTGTTTCCAAACTGCTCTATGAAAAGAAAGGTTAAACTCTGTGAGTTGAACGCACACATCACAAAGTAGTTTCTGAGAATGATACTGTCTAGTTTTTATACGGAGATATTTCCTTTCCTTCCATTGGCGTCAAAGCGCTAGAATTCTCCACTTGCAAATTCCACAAAAAGAGTGTTTCCAATCTGCTCTGTCTAAAGGAAGGTTCAACTCTGTGAGTTGAATACACACACACAAAGAAGCTACTGAGAATTCTTTTGTCAAGAATTATAAGAAGAAATCCCGTTTCCAACGAAGGCCTCAAAGAGTTCCAAATATCCACTTGCACACTGCACAAACTAAGTCTTTCCAAACTGCTCTATGCAAAGAAATGTTCAACTCTGTGAGTTTAATACACACATCACAAAGCAGTTTCTGAGAATGATACTGTCTAGTTTTTATACGAAGATATTTCCTTTTGTACCATTGGCCTCATACTGCTAGAATTTTCCACTTGCAAATTCCACAAAAAGAGTGTTTCCAATCCGCTCTGTCTAAAGGAAGGTTCAACTCTCTGATTTGAATACATACATCCCAAAAGAAGTTACTGAGAATTCTTCTGTCTAGCATTATGTGAAGAAATCCCGTTTCCAACGAAAGCCTCAAAGAGGTCCAAATATCCAGTTGCAGAATTTACAAACTGACTGTTTCCAAACTCATCTATGAAAAGAAAGGTTAAACTCTGTGAGTTGAATGCACATATCACAAAGTAGTTCCTGAGAATGATTCTGTCTAGTTTTTATACGAAGATATTTCCTTTTCCACCAATGGCCTCAAAGTGCTTGAAATCTCCCCTTGCAAATTCCACAGACAAGTGTTTCAAATCTGCACTGTCTAAAGGAAGGTTCAACCCTGTGAGTTGAATACACACACACAGAAAAAAATTCACTGAGAATTCTATTGTCTATCATTACACGAAGAAATCCCGTTTACTACGAAGGCCTCAAGGAGGTCCAAATATCCAGCTGCAGACATTACAAACTGAGTGTTTCCAAAGTGCTCTATGAAAAGAAGTGTTAAACACTGTGAGTTCAATGCACACATCCCAAAGCAGTTTCTGAGAATGATTCCGTCTATTTTTTCTACGAAGATATTTCCTTTTCTGCCGTTGGCCTCAAAGCACTTGAAATCTCCACTTGCAAATTCCACAAAAAGAGAGTTTCAAATCTGCTCTGTCTAAAGGAAGGTTCAACTCTGTGAGTTGAATACACACCACAAAAAGAAGTTACTGAGAATTCTTCTGTCTAGCATTATATGAAAAATCCCGTTTCCAACGAAGGCCACAAAGAGGTCCAAATATCCACTTGCAGATTCTGCAAAAAGAGTGTTTCCAAACTGCTCTATGAAAAGAAACGTTAAACTCTGTGAGTTGAACGCAAACATCACAAAGTAGTTTCTGAGAATGACTCCGTCTAGTTTTTATACGAAGATATTTCCTTTCCTACCATTCACTTCAAAGCGCTTGAAGTCTCCCCCTGAAAATTCCACAAAAAGTGTTTCCAATCTGCTCCGCCTAAAGGAAGCTTCAACTCTGTGACTTGAATACCCACAACCCAAAGAAGTTACTGAGAATTCTTCTGTCTAGCATTATATGAAGAAATCCCGTTTCCAACGAAGGCCTCAAATACATCCAAATATCCAGTTGCTGACTTTACAAACTGAGTGTTTCCAAACTGCTCTATGAAAAGAAAGGTTAAACACTGTGAGTTGAACACACACGTACCAAAGTAGTTTCTGAGAATGATTCTGTCTAGTTTGCATACGAAGATATTTCCTTTTCTACCATTGGCCTCAAAGCTCTGAAATCTCCACTTGCAAATTCCACAAAAAGAGAGTTTCAAATCTGCTGTTTCTAAAGGAAAGTTCAACTCTGAGAGTAGAATACACACCAGAAAAAGCAGTTACTGAGAAGTCTTCTGTCTAGCATTATATGAAGAAATCCCATTTCCAACGAAGACTTCAAAGAGGTCCAAATATCCACTTGCAGATTCTGCAAAAAGAGTGTTTCGAAACAACTGTATGAAAAGAAAGGTTAAACACTGTGAGTTGAACGCACACATTGCAAAGCGGTTTCTGAGAATGATTCCGTCTAATTATTATACGAAGGTATTTCCTTTTCTATCATTGGCCTCAAAGCGCTTGATACCTCCACCTGAAAATTCCACAAAAAGAGTGTTTCCAATCTACTCTGTCTAAAGGAACGTTCAACTCTGTGAGTTGAATACACACACACAGAAAGAATTCACTGAGAATTCTTCTGTCTGGCATTACATGAAGAAATCCCGTTTCCAACGAAGGCCTCAAAGAGGTCCAAATATCCACTTGCAGATTCTGCAAAAAGAGTGTTTCAAAACCGCTCCATTAAAAGGAATGTTGAACTCTGTGAGTTGAATGCAAACATCACAACTCAGTTGCTGAGAATGCTTCTGACTAGATTTTATGGTAAGATATTTCCTTTTCTACCGTAGGCTTCAATGCCCTGTAAATACACCCTTGCAAATTCTACAAAGAGACTGCTTCATAACTGCTCTATAGGAGGAAAGGTTCAACTCTGTGAGTTGAATGCAGAGATCACAACGTGGTTTCTGCGAATGATTCTTTGTAGTTTTTACATGAAGATATTTCGTTGTCTACCGTAGGCTTCAAAGCACTCAAAGTATTCACTTGGAACTTTTACAAAAAGAGTGTTAGAAAACTGCTCTTTCCAAAGTAAGGTTCAACTCTGTGAGTTGAATGCACACATAACAACAAGAAGTTTCTGAGAATTCTTCTGTCCTGGTTTATATGAAGAAATCCCGTTTCCAACGAAGGCCTCAAAGACGTTTAAATATCCACTTGCAGACTTCACAAACAGAGTGTTTCCAAACTGCTCTATGAAAAGAAAGGGTAAACACTGTGAGTTGAACGCACACCTCACAAAGTAGTTTCTGAGAATGATACTGTCTAGTTTTTATACGAAGATATTTCCTTTTGTACCATTGGCCTCATACTGCTAGAATTTTCCACTTGCAAATTCCACAAAAAGAGTGTTTCCAATCTGCTCTGTCTAAAGGAAGGTTCAACTCTGTGAGTTGAGTACACACACACAAAGAAGCTACTGAGAATTCTTTTGTCAAGAATTATAAGAAGAAATCCCGTTTCCAACCAAGGCCTCAAAGAGTTCCAAATATCCACTTGCACACTGCACAAACTAAGTCTTTCCATACTGCTCTATGCAAAGAAATGTTCAAATCTGTGAGTTTAATACACACATCACAAAGCAGTTTCTGAGAATGATACTGTCTAGTTTTTATACGAAGATATTTCCTTTTGTACCATTGGCCTCATACTGCTAGAATTTGCCACTTGCAAATTCCACAAAAAGAGTGTTTCCAATCCGCTCTGTCTAAAGGAAGGTTCAACTCTCTGATTTGAATACATACATCCCAAAAGAAGTTACTGAGAATTCTTCTGTCTAGCATTATGTGAAGAAATCCCGTTTCCAACGAAAGCCTCAAAGAGGCCCAAATATCCAGTTGCAGCATTTACAAACTGACTGTTTCCAAACTCATCTATGAAAAGAAAGGTTAAACTCTGTGAGTTGAATGCACATATCACAAAGTAGTTCCTGAGAATGATTCTGTCTAGTTTTTATACGAAGATATTTCCTTTTCCACCAATGGCCTCAAAGTGCTTGAAATCTCCCCTTGCAAATTCCACAGACAAGTGTCTCAAATCTGCACTGTCTAAAGGAAGGTTCAACCCTGTGAGTTGAATACACACACACAGAAAAAAATTCACTGAGAATTCTATTGTCTATCATTACACGAAGAAATCCCGTTTACTACGAAGGCCTCAAAGAGGTCCAAATATCCAGCTGCAGACATTACAAACTGAGTGTTTCCAAAGTGCTCTATGAAAAGAAGTGTTAAACACTGTGAGTTCAATGCACACATCCCAAAGCAGTTTCTGAGAATGATTCCGTCTATTTTTTCTACGAAGATATTTTCTTTTCTGCCGTTGGCCTCAAAGCGCTTGAAATCTCCACTTGCAAATTCCACAAAAAGAGAGTTTCAAATCTGCTCTGTCTAAAGGAAGGTTCAACTCTGTGAGTTGAATACACACCACAAAAAGAAGTTACTGAGAATTCTTCTGTCTAGCATTATATGAAAAATCCCGTTTCCAACGAAGGCCACAAAGAGGTCCAAATATCCACTTGCAGATTCTGCAAAAAGAGTGTTTCCAAACTGCTCTATGAAAAGAAACGTTAAACTCTGTGAGTTGAACGCAAACATCACAAAGTAGTTTCTGAGAATGACTCCGTCTAGTTTTTATACGAAGATATTTCCTTTCCTACCATTCACTTCAAAGCGCTTGAAGTCTCCCCCTGAAAATTCCACAAAAAGTGTTTCCAATCTGCTCCGCCTAAAGGAAGCTTCAACTCTGTGACTTGAATACCCACAACCCAAAGAAGTTACTGAGAATTCTTCTGTCTAGCATTATATGAAGAAATCCCGTTTCCAACGAAGGCCTCAAATACATCCAAATATCCAGTGGCTGACTTTACAAACTGAGTGTTTCCAAACTGCTCTATGAAAAGAAAGGTTAAACACTGTGAGTTGAACACACACGTACCAAAGTAGTTTCTGAGAATGATTCTGTCTAGTTTGCATACGAAGATATTTCCTTTTCTACCATTGGCCTCAAAGCTCTGAAATCTCCACTTGCAAATTCCACAAAAAGAGAGTTTCAAATCTGCTGTTTCTAAAGGAAAGTTCAACTCTGAGAGTTGAATACACACCAGAAAAAGCAGTTACTGAGAAGTCTTCTGTCTAGCATTATATGAAGAAATCCCATTTCCAACGAAGACTTCAAAGAGGTCCAAATATCCACTTGCAGATTCTGCAAAAAGAGTGTTTCGAAACAACTGTATGAAAAGAAAGGTTAAACACTGTGAGTTGAACGCACACATTGCAAAGCAGTTTCTGAGAATGATTCCGTCTAATTATTATACGAAGGTATTTCCTTTTCTATCATTGGCCTCAAAGCGCTTGATACCTCCACCTGAAAATTCCACAAAAAGAGTGTTTCCAATCTACTCTGTCTAAAGGAACGTTCAACTCTGTGAGTTGAATACACACACACAGAAAGAATTCACTGAGAATTCTTCTGTCTGGCATTACATGAAGAAATCCCGTTTCCAACGAAGGCCTCAAAGAGGTCCAAATATCCACTTGCAGATTCTGCAAAAAGAGTGTTTCAAAACCGCTCCATTAAAAGGAATGTTGAACTCTGTGAGTTGAATGCAAACATCACAACTCAGTTGCTGAGAATGCTTCTGACTAGATTTTATGGTAAGATATTTCCTTTTCTACCGTAGGCTTCAATGCCCTCTAAATACACCCTTGCAAATTCTACAAAGAGACTGTTTCATAACTGCTCTATAGGAAGAAAGGTTCAACTCTGTGAGTTGAATACAGAGATCACAACGTGGTTTCTGCGAATGATTCTTTGTAGTTTTTACATGAAGATATTTCGTTGTCAACCGTAGGCTTCAAAGCACTCAAAGTATTCACTTGGAACTTTTACAAAAAGAGTGTTAGAAAACTGCTCTTTCCAAAGTAAGGTTCAACTCTGTGAGTTGAATGCACACATAACAATCAAGAAGTTTCTGAGAATTCTTCTGTCCTGGTTTATATGAAGAAATCCCGTTTCCAACGAAGGCCTCAAAGACGTTTAAATATCCACTTGCAGACTTCACAAACAGAGTGTTTCCAAACTGCTCTATGAAAAGAAAGGGTAAACACTGTGAGTTGAACGCACACCTCACAAAGTAGTTTCCTGAGAATGATTACTGTCTAGTTTTTATACGAAGATATTTCCTTTCTACCATTGGCGTCAAAGCGCTAGAATTCTCCACTTGCAAATTCCACAAAAAGAGTGTTTCCAATCTGCTCTGTCTAAAGGAAGGTTCAACTCTGTGAGTTGAATACACACACACAAAGAAGCTACTGAGAATTCTTTTTTCAAGAAATTATAAGAAGAAATCCCGTTTCCAACGAAGGCCTCAAAGAGTTCCAAATATCCACTTGCACACTGCACAAACTAAGTCTTTCCAAACTGCTCTATGCAAAGAAATGTTCAACTCTGTGAGTTTAATACACACATCACAAAGCAGTTTCTGAGAATGATACTGTCTAGTTTTTATACGAAGATATTTCCTTTTGTACCATTGGCCTCATACTGCTAGAATTTTCCACTTGCAAATTCCACAAAAAGAGTGTTTCCAATCCGCTCTGTCTAAAGGAAGGTTCAACTCTCTGATTTGAATACATACATCCCAAAAGAAGTTACTGAGAATTCTTCTGTCTAGCATTATGTGAAGAAATCCCGTTTCCAACGAAAGCCTCAAAGAGGTCCAAATATCCAGTTGCAGAATTTACAAACTGACTGTTTCCAAACTCATCTATGAAAAGAAAGGTTAAACTCTGTGAGTTGAATGCACATATCACAAAGTAGTTCCTGAGAATGATTCTGTCTAGTTTTTATACGAAGATATTTCCTTTTCCACCAATGGCCTCAAAGTGCTTGAAATCTCCCCTTGCAAATTCCACAGAAAAGTGTTTCAAATCTGCACTGTCTGAAGGAAAGTTCAACCCTGTGAGTTGAATACACACACACAGAAAAAAATTCACTGAGAATTCTATTGTCTATCATTACACGAAGAAATCCCGTTTACTACGAAGGCCTCAAAGAGGTCCAAATATCTAGCTGCAGACATTACAAACTGAGTGTTTCCAAAGTGCTCTATGAAAAGAAGTGTTAAACACTGTGAGTTCAATGCACACATGCCCAAAGCAGTTTCTGAGAATGATTCCGTCTATTTTTTCTACGAAGATATTTCCTTTTCTGCCGTTGGCCTCAAAGCGCTTGAAATCTCCACTTGCAAATTCCACAAAAAGAGAGTTTCAAATCTGCTCTGTCTAAAGGAAGGTTCAACTCTGTGAGTTGAATACACACCACAAAAAGAAGTTACTGAGAATTCTTCTGTCTGGCATTACATGAAGAAATCCCGTTTCCAACGAAGGCCTCAAAGAGGTCCAAATATCCACTTGCAGATTCTGCAAAAAGAGTGTTTCAAAACCGCTCCATTAAAAGGAATGTTGAACTCTGTGAGTTGAATGCAAACATCACAACTCAGTTGCTGAGAATGCTTCTGACTAGATTTTATGGTAAGATATTTCCTTTTCTACCGTAGGCTTCAATGCCCTCTAAATACACCCTTGCAAATTCTACAAAGAGACTGTTTCATAACTGCTCTATAGGAAGAAAGGTTGAACTCTGTGAGTTGAATGCAGAGATCACAACGTGGTTTCTGCGAATGATTCTTTGTAGTTTTTACATGAAGATATTTCGTTGTCTACCGTAGGCTTCAAAGCACTCAAAGTATTCACTTGGAACTTTCACAAAAAGAGTGTTAGAAAACTGCTCTTTCCAAAGTAAGGTTCAACTCTGTGAGTTGAATGCACACATAACAAACAAGAAGTTTCTGAGAATTCTTCTGTCCTGGTTTATATGAAGAAATCCCGTTTCCAACGAAGGCCTCAAAGACGTTTAAATATCCACTAGCAGACTTCACAAACAGAGTGTTTCCAAACTGCTCTATGAAAAGAAAGGGTAAACACTGTGAGTTGAACGCACACATCACAAAGTAGTTTCTGAGAATGATACTGTCTAGTTTTTATACGAAGATATTTCCTTTTGTACCATTGGCCTCATACTGCTAGAATTTTCCACTTGCAAATTCCACAAAAAGAGTGTTTCCAATCTGCTCTGTCTAAAGGAAGGTTCAACTCTGTGAGTTGAGTACACACACACACAAAGAAGCTACTGAGAATTCTTTTGTCAAGAATTATAAGAAGAAATCCCGTTTCCAACCAAGGCCTCAAAGAGTTCCAAATATCCACTTGCACACTGCACAAACTAAGTCTTTCCATACTGCTCTATGCAAAGAAATGTTCAAATCTGTGAGTTTAATACACACATCACAAAGCAGTTTCTGAGAATGATACTGTCTAGTTTTTATACGAAGATATTTCCTTTTGTACCATTGGCCTCATACTGCTAGAATTTTCCACTTGCAAATTCCACAAAAAGAGTGTTTCCAATCCGCTCTGTCTAAAGGAAGGTTCAACTCTCTGATTTGAATACATACATCCCAAAAGAAGTTACTGAGAATTCTTCTGTCTAGCATTATGTGAAGAAATCCCGTTTCCAACGAAAGCCTCAAAGAGGCCCAAATATCCAGTTGCAGCATTTACAAACTGACTGTTTCCAAACTCATCTATGAAAAGAAAGGTTAAACTCTGTGAGTTGAATGCACATATCACAAAGTAGTTCCTGAGAATGATTCTGTCTAGTTTTTATACGAAGATATTTCCTTTTCCACCAATGGCCTCAAAGTGCTTGAAATCTCCCCTTGCAAATTCCACAGACAAGTGTCTCAAATCTGCACTGTCTAAAGGAAGGTTCAACCCTGTGAGTTGAATACACACACACAGAAAAAAATTCACTGAGAATTCTATTG
Organism: Homo sapiens; assembly: GCF_000001405.40. Classification (NCBI taxonomy): domain Eukaryota; kingdom Metazoa; phylum Chordata; class Mammalia; order Primates; family Hominidae; genus Homo; species Homo sapiens. Next base: position 92,534,780 of record NC_000003.12, on the reverse strand, counting down.
TCTATCATTACACGAAGAAATCCCGTTTACTACGAAGGCCTCAAAGAGGTCCAAATATCCAGCTGCAGACATTACAAACTGAGTGTTTCCAAAGTGCTCTATGAAAAGAAGTGTTAAACACTGTGAGTTCAATGCACACATCCCAAAGCAGTTTCTGAGAATGATTCCGTCTATTTTTTCTACGAAGATATTTCCTTTTCTACCGTTGGCCTCAAAGCGCTTGAAATCTCCACTTGCAAATTCCACAAAAAGAGAGTTTCAAATCTGCTCTGTCTAAAGGAAGGTTCAACTCTGTGAGTTGAATACACACCACAAAAAGAAGTTACTGAGAATTCTTCTGTCTAGCATTATATGAAAAATACCGTTTCCAACGAAGGCCACAAAGAGGTCCAAATATCCACTTGCAGATTCTGCAAAAAGAGTGTTTCCAAACTGCTCTATGAAAAGAAACGTTAAACTCTGTGAGTTGAACGCAAACATCACAAAGTAGTTTCTGAGAATGACTCCGTCTAGTTTTTATACGAAGATATTTCCTTTCCTACCATTCACTTCAAAGCGCTTGAAGTCTCCCCCTGAAAATTCCACAAAAAGTGTTTCCAATCTGCTCCGCCTAAAGGAAGCTTCAACTCTGTGAGTTGAATACCCACAACCCAAAGAAGTTACTGAGAATTCTTCTGTCTAGCATTATATGAAGAAATCCCGTTTCCAACGAAGGCCTCAAATACATCCAAATATCCAGTTGCTGACTTTACAAACTGAGTGTTTCCAAACTGCTCTATGAAAAGAAAGGTTAAACACTGTGAGTTGAACACACACGTACCAAAGTAGTTTCTGAGAATGATTCTGTCTAGTTTGCATACGAAGATATTTCCTTTTCTACCATTGGCCTCAAAGCTCTGAAATCTCCACTTGCAAATTCCACAAAAAGAGAGTTTCAAATCTGCTGTTTCTAAAGGAAAGTTCAACTCTGAGAGTTGAATACACACCAGAAAAAGCAGTTACTGAGAAGTCTTCTGTCTAGCATTATATGAAGAAATCCCATTTCCAACGAAGACTTCAAAGAGGTCCAAATATCCACTTGCAGATTCTGCAAAAAGAGTGTTTCGAAACAACTGTATGAAAAGAAAGGTTAAACACTGTGAGTTGAACGCACACATTGCAAAGCAGTTTCTGAGAATGATTCCGTCTAATTATTATACGAAGGTATTTCCTTTTCTATCACTGGCCTCAAAGCGCTTGATACCTCCACCTGAAAATTCCACAAAAAGAGTGTTTCCAATCTACTCTGTCTAAAGGAACGTTCAACTCCGTGAGTTGAATACACACACACAGAAAGAATTCACTGAGAATTCTTCTGTCTGGCATTACATGAAGAAATCCCGTTTCCAACGAAGGCCTCAAAGAGGTCCAAATATCCACTTGCAGATTCTGCAAAAAGAGTGTTTCAAAACCGCTCCATTAAAAGGAATGTTGAACTCTGTGAGTTGAATGCAAACATCACAACTCAGTTGCTGAGAATGCTTCTGACTAGATTTTATGGTAAGATATTTCCTTTTCTACCGTAGGCTTCAATGCCCTCTAAATACACCCTTGCAAATTCTACAAAGAGACTGTTTCATAACTGCTCTATAGGAAGAAAGGTTGAACTCTGTGAGTTGAATGCAGAGATCACAACGTGGTTTCTGCGAATGATTCTTTGTAGTTTTTACATGAAGATATTTCGTTGTCAACCGTAGGCTTCAAAGCACTCAAAGTATTCACTTGGAACTTTTACAAAAAGAGTGTTAGAAAACTGCTCTTTCCAAAGTAAGGTTCAACTCTGTGAGTTGAATGCACACATAACAATCAAGAAGTTTCTGAGAATTCCTCTGTCCTGGTTTATATGAAAAAATCCCGTTTCCAACGAAGGCCTCAAAGACGTTTAAATATCAACTTGCAGACTTCACAAACAGAGTGTTTCCAAACTGCTCTATGAAAAGAAAGGTTAAACTCTGTGAGTTGAACGCACACATCACAAAGTAGTTTCTGAGAATGATACTGTCTAGTTTTTATACGAAGATATTTCCTTTCTACCATTGGCGTCAAAGCGCTAGAATTCTCCACTTGCAAATTCCACAAAAAGAGTGTTTCCAATCTGCTCTGTCTAAAGGAAGGTTCAACTCTGTGAGTTGAATACACACACACAAAGAAGCTACTGAGAATTCTTTTGTCAAGAATTATAAGAAGAAATCCCGTTTCCAACGAAGGCCTCAAAGAGTTCCAAATATCCACTTGCACACTGCACAAACTAAGTCTTTCCAAACTGCTCTATGCAAAGAAATGTTCAACTCTGTGAGTTTAATACACACATCACAAAGCAGTTTCTGAGAATGATTCCCTCTAGTTTTTATACGAAGATAGCCTTTTGTACCATTGGCCTCAAGGCTCTTGGAATCTCCACCTGAAAATTCCGCAAAAAGCGTGTTTCCAATGCGCTCTGTCTAAAGGAAGGTTCAACTCTCTGAGTTGAATACATACATCCCAAAGGAAGTTACTGCGAATTCTTCTGTCTAGCATTATGTGAAGAAATCCCGTTTCCAACAAAAGCCTCAAAGAGGCCCAAATATCCAGTTGCAGCATTTACAAACTGACTGTTTCCAACTCATCTATGAAAAGAAATGTTAAACTCTGTGAGTTGAATGCGCATATCACAAAGTAGTTCCTGAGAATGATTCTGTATAGTTTTCATACGAAGATATTTCCTTTTCCACCAATGGCCTCAAAGTGCTTGAAATCTCCCCTTGCAAATTCCACAGACAAGTGTTTCAAATCTGCACTGTCTAAAGGATGGTTCAACCCTGTGAGTTGAATACACACACACAGAAAAAAATTCACTGAGAATTCTATTGTCTATCATTACACGAAGAAATCCCGTTTACTACGAAGGCCTCAAAGAGGTCCAAATATCCAGCTGCAGACATTACAAACTGAGTGTTTCCAAAGTGCTCTATGAAAAGAAGTGTTAAACACTGTGAGTTCAATGCACACATCCCAAAGCAGTTTCTGAGAATGATTCCGTCTATTTTTTCTACGAAGATATTTCCTTTTCTGCCGTTGGCCTCAAAGCGCTTGAAATCTCCACTTGCAAATTCCACAAAAAGAGAGTTTCAAATCTGCTCTGTCTAAAGGAAGGTTCAACTCTGTGAGTTGAATACACACCACAAAAAGAAGTTACTGAGAATTCTTCTGTCTAGCATTATATGAAAAATCCCGTTTCCAACGAAGGCCACAAAGAGGTCCAAATATCCACTTGCAGATTCTGCAAAAAGAGTGTTTCCAAACTGCTCTATGAAAAGAAACGTTAAACTCTGTGAGTTGAACGCAAACATCACAAAGTAGTTTCTGAGAATGACTCCGTCTAGTTTTTATACGAAGATATTTCCTTTCCTACCATTCACTTCAAAGCGCTTGAAGTCTCCCCCTGAAAATTCCACAAAAAGTGTTTCCAATCTGCTCCGCCTAAAGGAAGCTTCAACTCTGTGACTTGAATACCCACAACCCAAAGAAGTTACTGAGAATTCTTCTGTCTAGCATTATATGAAGAAATCCCGTTTCCAACGAAGGCCTCAAATACATCCAAATATCCAGTTGCTGACTTTACAAACTGAGTGTTTCCAAACTGCTCTATGAAAAGAAAGATTAAACACTGTGAGTTGAACACACACGTACCAAAGTAGTTTCTGAGAATGATTATCTGTCTAGTTTGCATACGAAGATATTTCCTTTTCTACCATTGGCCTCAAAGCTCCGAAATCTCCACTTGCAAATTCCACAAAAAGAGAGTTTCAAATCTGCTGTTTCTAAAGGAAAGTTCAACTCTGAGAGTTGAATACACACCAGAAAAAGCAGTTACTGAGAAGTCTTCTGTCTAGCATTATATGAAGAAATCCCATTTCCAACGAAGACTTCAAAGAGGTCCAAATATCCACTTGCAGATTCTGCAAAAAGAGTGTTTCGAAACAACTGTATGAAAAGAAAGGTTAAACACTGTGAGTTGAACGCACACATTGCAAAGCGGTTTCTGAGAATGATTCCGTCTAATTATTATACGAAGGTATTTCCTTTTCTATCATTGGCCTCAAAGCGCTTGATACCTCCACCTGAAAATTCCACAAAAAGAGTGTTTCCAATCTACTCTGTCTAAAGGAACGTTCAACTCTGTGAGTTGAATACACACACACAGAAAGAATTCACTGAGAATTCTTCTGTCTGGCATTACATGAAGAAATCCCGTTTCCAACGAAGGCCTCAAAGAGGTCCAAATATCCACTTGCAGATTCTGCAAAAAGAGTGTTTCAAAACCGCTCCATTAAAAGGAATGTTGAACTCTGTGAGTTGAATGCAAACATCACAACTCAGTTTCTGAGAATGCTTCTGACTAGATTTTATGGTAAGATATTTCCTTTTCTACCGTAGGCTTCAATGCCCTGTAAACACACCCTTGCAAATTCTACAAAGAGACTGCTTCATAACTGCTCTATAGGAGGAAAGGTTCAACTCTGTGAGTTGAATGCAGAGATCACAACGTGGTTTCTGCGAATGATTCTTTGTAGTTTTTACATGAAGATATTTCGTTGTCTACCGTAGGCTTCAAAGCACTCAAAGTATTCACTTGGAACTTTTACAAAAAGAGTGTTAGAAAACTGCTCTTTCCAAAGTAAGGTTCAACTCTGTGAGTTGAATGCACACATAACAAACAAGAAGTTTCTGAGAATTCTTCTGTCCTGGTTTATATGAAAAAATCCCGTTTCCAACGAAGGCCTCAAAGACGTTTAAATATCCACTTGCAGACTTCACAAACAGAGTGTTTCCAAACTGCCCTATGAAAAGAAAGGTTAAACTGCTGTGAGTTGAACGCACACATCACAAAGTAGTTTCTGAGAATGATACTGTCTAGTTTTTATACGAAGATATTTCCTTTTGTACCATTGGCCTCATACTGCTAGAATTTTCCACTTGCAAATTCCACAAAAAGAGTGTTTCCAATCTGCTCTGTCTAAAGGAAGGTTCAACTCTGTGAGTTGAGTACACACACACAAAGAAGCTACTGAGAATTCTTTTGTCAAGAATTATAAGAAGAAATCCCGTTTCCAACCAAGGCCTCAAAGAGTTCCAAATATCCACTTGCACACTGCACAAACTAAGTCTTTCCATACTGCTCTATGCAAAGAAATGTTCAAATCTGTGAGTTTAATACACACATCACAAAGCAGTTTCTGAGAATGATACTGTCTAGTTTTTATACGAAGAATATTTCCTTTTGTACCATTGGCCTCATACTGCTAGAATTTTCCACTTGCAAATTCCACAAAAAGAGTGTTTCCAATCCGCTCTGTCTAAAGGAAGGTTCAACTCTCTGATTTGAATACATACATCCCAAAAGAAGTTACTGAGAATTCTTCTGTCTAGCATTATGTGAAGAAATCCCGTTTCCAACGAAAGCCTCAAAGAGGCCCAAATATCCAGTTGCAGCATTTACAAACTGACTGTTTCCAAACTCATCTATGAAAAGAAAGGTTAAACTCTGTGAGTTGAATGCACATATCACAAAGTAGTTCCTGAGAATGATTCTGTCTAGTTTTTATACGAAGATATTTCCTTTTCCACCAATGGCCTCAAAGTGCTTGAAATCTCCCCTTGCAAATTCCACAGACAAGTGTCTCAAATCTGCACTGTCTAAAGGAAGGTTCAACCCTGTGAGTTGAATACACACACACAGAAAAAAATTCACTGAGAATTCTATTGTCTATCATTACACGAAGAAATCCCGTTTACTACGAAGGCCTCAAAGAGGTCCAAATATCCAGCTGCAGACATTACAAACTGAGTGTTTCCAAAGTGCTCTATGAAAAGAAGTGTTAAACACTGTGAGTTCAATGCACACATCCCAAAGCAGTTTCTGAGAATGATTCCGTCTATTTTTTCTACGAAGATATTTCCTTTTCTACCGTTGGCCTCAAAGCGCTTGAAATCTCCACTTGCAAATTCCACAAAAAGAGAGTTTCAAATCTGCTCTGTCTAAAGGAAGGTTCAACTCTGTGAGTTGAATACACACCACAAAAAGAAGTTACTGAGAATTCTTCTGTCTAGCATTATATGAAAAATCCCGTTTCTAACGAAGGCCACAAAGAGGTCCAAATATCCACTTGCAGATTCTGCAAAAAGAGTGTTTCCAAACTGCTCTATGAAAAGAAACGTTAAACTCTGTGAGTTGAACGCAAACATCAGAAAGTAGTTTCTGAGAATGACTCCGTCTAGTTTTTATACGAAGATATTTCCTTTCCTACCATTCACTTCAAAGCGCTTGAAGTCTCCCCCTGAAAATTCCACAAAAAGTGTTTCCAATCTGCTCCGCCTAAAGGAAGCTTCAACTCTGTGAGTTGAATACCCACAACCCAAAGAAGTTACTGAGAATTCTTCTGTCTAGCATTATATGAAGAAATCCCGTTTCCAACGAAGGCCTCAAATACATCCAGATATCCAGTTGCTGACTTTACAAACTGAGTGTTTCCAAATTGCTCTATGAAAGGAAAGGTTGAACACTGTGAGTTGAACACACACGTACCAAAGTAGTTTCTGAGAATGATTCTGTCTAGTTTGCATACGAAGATATTTCCTTTTCTACCATTGGCCTCAAAGCTCTGAAATCTCCACTTGAAAATTCCACAAAAAGAGAGTTTCAAATCTGCTGTTTCTAAAGGAAAGTTCAACTCTGAGAGTTGAATACACACCAGAAAAAGCAGTTACTGAGAAGTCTTCTGTCTAGCATTATATGAAGAAATCCCATTTCCAACGAAGACTTCAAAGAGGTCCAAATATCCACTTGCAGATTCTGCAAAAAGAGTGTTTCGAAACAACTGTATGAAAAGAAAGGTTAAACACTGTGAGTTGAACGCACACATTGCAAAGCAGTTTCTGAGAATGATTCCGTCTAATTATTATACGAAGGTATTTCCTTTTCTATCATTGGCCTCAAAGCGCTTGATACCTCCACCTGAAAATTCCACAAAAAGAGTGTTTCCAATCTACTCTGTCTAAAGGAACGTTCAACTCTGTGAGTTGAATACACACACACAGAAAGAATTCACTGAGAATTCTTCTGTCTGGCATTACATGAAGAAATCCCGTTTCCAACGAAGGCCTCAAAGAGGTCCAAATATCCACTTGCAGATTCTGCAAAAAGAGTGTTTCAAAACCGCTCCATTAAAAGGAATGTTGAACTCTGTGAGTTGAATGGAAACATCACAACTCAGTTGCTGAGAATGCTTCTGACTAGATTTTATGGTAAGATATTTCCTTTTATACCGTAGGCTTCAATGCCCTCTAAATACACCCTTGCAAATTCTACAAAGAGACTGTTTCATAACTGCTCTATAGGAAGAAAGGTTCAACTCTGTGAGTTGAATGCAGAGATCACAACGTGGTTTCTGCGAATGATTCTTTGTAGTTTTTACAGGAAGATATTTCGTTGTCAACCGTAGGCTTCAAAGCACTCAAAGTATTCACTTGGAACTTTTACAAAAAGAGTGTTAGAAAACTGCTCTTTCCAAAGTAAGGTTCAACTCTGTGAGTTGAATGCACACATAACAATCAAGAAGTTTCTGAGAATTCTTCTGTCCTGGTTTATATGAAAAAATCCCGTTTCCAACGAAGGCCTCAAAGACGTTTAAATATCCACTTGCAGACTTCACAAACAGAGGGTTTCCAAACTGCTCTATGAAAAGAAAGGTTAAACTCTGTGAGTTGAACGCACACATCACAAAGTAGCTTCTGAGAATGATACTGTCTAGTTTTTATACGAAGATATTTCCTTTCTACCATTGGTGTCAAAGCGCTAGAATTCTCCACTTGCAAATTCCACAAAAAGAGTGTTTCCAATCTGCTCTGTCTAAAGGAAGGTTCAACTCTGTGAGTTGAATACACACACACAAAGAAGCTACTGAGAATTCTTTTGTCAAGAATTATAAGAAGAAATCCCGTTTCCAACGAAGGCCTCAAAGAGTTCCAAATATCCACTTGCACACTGCACAAACTAAGTCTTTCCAAACTGCTCTATGCAAAGAAATGTTCAACTCTGTGAGTTTAATACGCACATCACAAAGCAGTTTCTGAGAATGATTACTGTCTAGTTTTTATACGAAGAATATTTCCTTTTGTACCATTGGCCTCATACTGCTAGAATTTTCCACTTGCAAATTCCACAAAAAGAGTGTTTCCAATCCGCTCTGTCTAAAGGAAGGTTCAACTCTCTGATTTGAATACATACATCCCAAAAGAAGTTACTGAGAATTCTTCTGTCTAGCATTATGTGAAGAAATCCCGTTTCCAACGAAAGCCTCAAAGAGGTCCAAATATCCAGTTGCAGAATTTACAAACTGACTGTTTCCAAACTCATCTATGAAAAGAAAGGTTAAACTCTGGGAGTTGAATGCACATATCACAAAGTAGTTCCTGAGAATGATTCTGTCTAGTTTTCATACGAAGATATTTCCTTTTCCACCAATGGCCTCAAAGTGCTTGAAATCTCCCCTTGCAAATTCCACAGACAAGTGTTTCAAATCTGCACTGTCTAAAGGAAGGTTCAACCCTGTGAGTTGAATACACACACACAGAAAAAAATTCACTGAGAATTCTATTGTCTATCATTACACGAAGAAATCCCGTTTACCACGAAGGCCTCAAAGAGGTCCAAATATCCAGCTGCAGACATTACAAACTGAGTGTTTCCAAAGTGCTCTATGAAAAGAAGTGTTAAACACTGTGAGTTCAATGCACACATCCCAAAGCAGTTTCTGAGAATGATTCCGTCTATTTTTTCTACGAAGATATTTCCTTTTCTGCCGTTGGCCTCAAAGCGCTTGAAATCTCCACTTGCAAATTCCACAAAAAGAGAGTTTCAAATCTGCTCTGCCTAAAGGCAACTCACAGAGTTGAATACACACCACAAAAAGAAGTTACTGAGAATTCTTCTATCTAGCATTATATGAAAAATCCCGTTTCCAACGAAGGCCACAAAGAGGTCCAAATATCCACTTGCAGATTCTGCAAAAAGAGTGTTTCCAAACTGCTCTATGAAAAGAAACGTTAAACTCTGTGAGTTGAACGCAAACATCACAAAGTAGTTTCTGAGAATGACTCCGTCTAGTTTTTATACGACGATATTTCCTTTCCTACCATTCACTTCAAAGCGCTTGAAGTCTCCCCCTGAAAATTCCACAAAAAGTGTTTCCAATCTGCTCCGCCTAAAGGAAGCTTCAACTCTGTGACTTGAATACCCACAACCCAAAGAAGTTACTGAGAATTCTTCTGTCTAGCATTATATGAAGAAATCCCGTTTCCAACGAAGGCCTCAAATACATCCAAATATCCAGTTGCTGACTTTACAAACTGAGTGTTTCCAAACTGCTCTATGAAAAGAAAGGTTAAACACTGTGAGTTGAACACACACGTACCAAAGTAGTTTCTGAGAATGATTCTGTCTAGTTTGCATACGAAGATATTTCCTTTTCTACCATTGGCCTCAAAGCTCTGAAATCTCCACTTGCAAATTCCACAAAAAGAGAGTTTCAAATCTGCTGTTTCTAAAGGAAAGTTCAACTCTGAGAGTTGAATACACACCAGAAAAAGCAGTTACTGAGAAGTCTTCTGTCTAGCATTATATGAAGAAATCCCATTTCCAACGAAGACTTCAAAGAGGTCCAAATATCCACTTGCAGATTCTGCAAAAAGAGTGTTTCGAAACAACTGTATGAAAAGAAAGGTTAAACACTGTGAGTTGAACGCACACATTGCAAAGCAGTTTCTGAGAATGATTCCGTCTAATTATTATACGAAGGTATTTCCTTTTCTATCATTGGCCTCAAAGCGCTTGATACCTCCACCTGAAAATTCCACAAAAAGAGTGTTTCCAATCTACTCTGTCTAAAGGAACGTTCAACTCTGTGAGTTGAATACACACACACAGAAAGAATTCACTGAGAATTCTTCTGTCTGGCATTACATGAAGAAATCCCGTTTCCAACGAAGGCCTCAAAGAGGTCCAAATATCCACTTGCAGATTCTGCAAAAAGAGTGTTTCAAAACCGCTCCATTAAAAGGAATGTTGAACTCTGTGAGTTGAATGCAAACATCACAACTCAGTTTCTGAGAATGCTTCTGACTAGATTTTATGGTAAGATATTTCCTTTTCTACCGTAGGCTTCAATGCCCTCTAAATACACCCTTGCAAATTCTACAAAGAGACTGTTTCACAACTGCTCTATAGGAAGAAAGGTTCAACTCTGTGAGTTGAATGCAGAGATCACAACGTGGTTTCTGCGAATGATTCTTTGTAGTTTTTACATGAAGATATTTCGTTGTCAACCGTAGGCTTCAAAGCACTCAAAGTATTCACTTGGAACTTTTACAAAAAGAGTGTTAGAAAACTGCTCTTTCCAAAGTAAGGTTCAACTCTGTGAGTTGAATGCACACATAACAATCAAGAAGTTTCTGAGAATTCTTCTGTCCTGGTTTATATGAAAAAATCCCGTTTCCAACGAAGGCCTCAAAGACGTTTAAATATCCACTTGCAGACTTCACAAACAGAGGGTTTCCAAACTGCTCTATGAAAAGAAAGGTTAAACTCTGTGAGTTGAACGCACACATCACAAAGTAGCTTCTGAGAATGATACTGTCTAGTTTTTATACGAAGATATTTCCTTTCTACCATTGGCGTCAAAGCGCTAGAATTCTCCACTTGCAAATTCCACAAAAAGAGTGTTTCCAATCTGCTCTGTCTAAAGGAAGGTTCAACTCTGTGAGTTGAATACACACACACAAAGAAGCTACTGAGAATTCTTTTGTCAAGAATTATAAGAAGAAATCCCGTTTCCAACGAAGGCCTCAAAGAGTTCCAAATATCCACTTGCACACTGCACAAACTAAGTCTTTCCAAACTGCTCTATGCAAAGAAATGTTCAACTCTGTGAGTTTAATACACACATCACAAAGCAGTTTCTGAGAATGATACTGTCTAGTTTTTATACGAAGATATTTCCTTTTGTACCATTGGCCTCATACTGCTAGAATTTTCCACTTGCAAATTCCACAAAAAGAGTGTTTCCAATCTGCTCTGTCTAAAGGAAGGTTCAACTCTCTGATTTGAATACATACATCCCAAAAGAAGTTACTGAGAATTCTTCTGTCTAGCATTATGTGAAGAAATCCCGTTTCCAACGAAAGCCTCAAAGAGGTCCAAATATCCAGTTGCAGAATTTACAAACTGACTGTTTCCAAACTCATCTATGAAAAGAAAGGTTGAACTCTGTGAGTTGAATGCACATATCACAAAGTAGTTCCTGAGAATGATTCTGTCTAGTTTTCATACGAAGATATTTCCTTTTCCACCAGTGGCCTCAAAGTGCTTGAAATCTCCCCTTGCAAATTCCACAGACAAGTGTTTCAAATCTGCACTGTCTAAAGGAAGGTTCAACCCTGTGAGTTGAATACACACACACAGAAAAAAATTCACTGAGAATTCTATTGTCTATCATTACACGAAGAAATCCCGTTGACTACGAAGGCCTCAAAGAGGTCCAAATATCCAGCTGCAGACATTACAAACTGAGTGTTTCCAAAGTGCTCTATGAAAAGAAG